>NC_000006.12:25211515-25514545 GCF_000001405.40 Homo sapiens
TCAACAAAGTCTCAGGATACAAAGTTAATGTGCAGAAATCACAAGCATACACCAATAACAGACCAGCAGAGAGCCAAATCATGAGTGAACTCCCATTCACAATTGCTACAAAGAGAATAAAGTACCTAAGAATATAACTTACAAGGGACATGAAGGACCTCTTCAAGGAGAACCACAAACCACTGCTCAAGGAAATAAGAGAGTAAACAAACAAATGGAAAAACATTCCATGCTCATGGATAAGAAGAATCAATATTGTGACAATGGCCATACAGCCCAAAGTAATTTATAGATTCAATGCTATTCGCATCAAGCTACCATTGACTTCCTTTGCAGAATTAGAAAAAACTACATTCAATTTCATATGGAACCAAAAGAGCCCATATAGCCAAGACAATCCTAAGCAAAAAGAACAAAGCTGGAGGCATCACACTACCTGACTTCAAACTATACTACAAGACTACAGTAACCAAAACAGCATGGTACTGGTATCAAAACATATATATAGACCAATGGAACAGAACAGAGACCTCAGAAATAACACCACACAACTACAACCATCTGATCTTTGACAAACCTGACAAAAACAAGCAGTGGGGAAAGGAGTCCCTATTTAATAAACAGTGCTGGGAAAACTGGCTAGCCATATGCAGAAAACACAAACTGGACCCCTTCCTTACACCTTATATGAAAACTAACTCAAGATGGATTAAAGATTTACATGTAAAACCCAAAACCATAAAAACAATAGAAGAAAACCTAGGCAATACCCTTCAGGACATAGGCATGGGCAAAGACTTCCTGACTCAAATGCCAAAGGCAACTGTGACAAAAGCCAAAATTGACAAATGGGATCTAATTAAACTAAGGAGCTTCTTCTCAGCAAAAGAAACTATCATCAGAGTGAACAGGCAACCTACAGAATAGGAGAGAAATTTGCAATCTACCCATTTGACAAATGTCTAAACAAGGAACTTAACAAGAAAAAAACAAACAATCCCATCAAAAAGTGGATGGAGGATGTGAACAGACGCTTTTCAAAAGAAGACATTTATGCAGCCAACAAACATATTTTTAAAAAGCTCATCATCACTGGTCATTAGAGAAATGCAAATCAAAACCACAATGAGATACCATCTCACACCAGTTAGAATGACGATCATTTAAAATTCAGGAAACAACAGATGCTGGCGAGGCTGTGGAGAAATAGGAATGTTTTTACACTGTTGGTGGGAGTATAAATTAGTTCAACCATTGTGGAAGACAGTGTGGTGATTCCTCAAGGATCTAGAATCAGAAATACCATTTGACCCAGCAATCCTGTTACCAGGTATATACACAAAGGTTTACAAATCATTCTACTATAAAGACACATGTACATGTATGTTTATTGCAGCACTATTTACAATAGCAAAGACTTAGAACCAACCCAAATGCCCATCAGTGATAGACTGGATTAAGAAAATGTGGCACATATACACCGTGGAATACTACACAGCCATAAAAAAGAATGAATTCATGTCCTTTGCAGGGACATGGATGAAGCTGGAAACCATCATTCTCGGCAAAGTAACACAGGAACAGAAAACTAAACACAGCATGTTCTCACTCATAAGTGGGAGTTGAAAAGTGAGAACACATGGAGGAAGGGAGGGGAACATCACACACCAAGGCCTGTTGGGGGGTGGGGTGCAAGGGGAGTGAAAGTATTAGGACAAATACCTAATGCATGTGGGACTTAAAACCTAGATGATGGGTTGATAGATGCAGCAAACCACCATGGCACATGCATACCTATGTAGCCAACCTGCATGTTCTGCACATGTATCCCAGAACTTAAAGTAAAATAAAATAAAATTTAAAATTTTTCAAACTGACCAAGGGTTTGAAAAAAATCAGTCTTATTGTAATTTTGGTTTGTAACACCACTTTTTATTCTCTACAGGATTTAAAAGCCAAATGCATAAAAATTAATTATAAATCTATATTAATGGGTATACAATGTATAAAGATGTAATTTGTGATATCAGTAACATAAAGGTGGGATGAAATTGTATAGGAATATAGTTTTTGTATATGACTGAAGTTAAATTATCAATTCAAAGTAGATCATTATAACTTTAGGATATTACATGTAATCCCCATAGTGATCACAAAGAAATTATCTATAGAAAACACACAAATGAAATGAAAAGGTAATCAAAATGAGTCAGCTCAGAAAAAATAAAGACAAAGAAAGGTAGTAACAGAAGGAATGGGAAACAAAGCTATGATGTACAGAAAATAAATTTAAAAAAGGTAAAAGTAAGTTCTTACCTATCAATAATTATGAGCTACAACATGGTTAAATCTTGAAAACTTTATACTAAATGAAATAAGCTAGACAAAAGAGTAAATATTATATGGTCCCACTTAAATGAGGTATCTAGAAGAATCAAATTGGTAGAGAAAGAAAATATAATAGTGGTTACCAGGGTGGGAGAACAGGGAGTTTCAGTTTGGGATAATAAAAATGTTTTGGAGATGGCGTGTAGTGATGGTTGCACAACAATGTAAATATAGTTAATTCTACCAAATTTCACACTCAAAAAGGGTTAAAATAACATTTATAAGTATTTTACAACTTTTTTTTAAATTAGTACCTTGGAAATTAACAAACTAACTCCTTCCCCACTTTCATTGGCACATGACTTTTTTCCACTCATGTTTTCAACTTGTTGAGACTACTTCCTAGTAGAGTAGGTAGATTCTAATGTTCTGATGCAGGGGGGAATTATAGGACCAAGAGGACAAATAAAAAAATGACATAATCAGAATACAAAAAAAGTTCTGAAACATTCATGATGTTGAAAACATGAGAACCATGAAAGGGAATAATGGAGTTGTGACTACATCTAATAAAGCACCCACTGAATCACTGAATACTGTTTTCCTTGCCCAAAGCATTCACTTTTTCATCAGGAAGCCATATTAAAGATGGCTTTAAATTATTATCTGAGGTTACTGGACAGAAAAATCACATCAACATGACTTTTTATTATTTACTTCACTGCCAAGTCATTGGCAAGCTTTGAAAAAGCTAAGTCTACAATTTGTCATTATTAATACCTGCGTAATAGCCCACATTTTTGTTCCCTTTTAGTTAACTATTTCGGTTGAATCCAGGTTTTTAGAAACCATTATTGATACAAATAATCCTGCTCTAAACAAAAAATTCTAAATATATTTTAGCCATACATATAACATGGTCTCAAATTCATATGTAAACAAGAAAAACTATACCTACATACATAGTCATTGTCTCCTAATACCTTTTTTTTTTTTTTTGAGACCCTCTGAGTCTCGCTCTGTCACCCAGGTTGGAGTGCACTGGTGCGATCTCAGCTCACTGCAACCTCCCCCTCGCAGGCTCAAGCGATCCTCCCACCTCAGCCTCCCGAGTAGCTGGGACTACTGGTGTGTACCACCACACCCGGCTAACTTTTGTATTTTTTAATGGAGTTGGGGTTTCACCATGTTGCCCAAGCTGGTCTTGAGCTCCTGGGCTCAAACTGTCCACCCTCTTGGCCTCCCAAAGAGTTGGGATTTCAGGCCTGAGCCACCGCACCCGACCCTCCCAATACTCTTTCCGTCTGTCACCATTGTGTAGTAGCTATGTGGTTTTAATGGGACTGACAACCTCCTCAGCCAATCAGGGTAGTCCCATCCCCCTTGCCATATTGATTAATTTAACAGTCCTGCCCAAGCTAGTCAGGGCATGGAATTCCCCCAGCCCCCAGGATTAATGTAGAAGTGCGCACCTGACCCAAGATACTCTGAGAAGCTCAAAAAATTTTCACAATAGCTCTGAGAGGTCTGTCTCTGGATGTGAACAAGGATGCATGAAGCCCCATATGTTACTGGCAGCCATCTTGTGACCACAGAAACAGACTAGAGAATAAAGATCGCACACAAGGGAGAACAAAGCTCAAATTCTCACAGAGAAATAAAGTCAGAATTCAGATTAAACCAATCAGCCTTAACCGGACTTAAGTTTTTTTGTACATAAAGATGAATGTAGAAAATAATGCAACGAGGCCAGGCGCGTGGCTTACGCCTGTAATCCCAGCACTTTGGGAGTCCGAGATGGGCGGATCACGACGTCAGGAGATCGAGACCATCCTGGCTAACATGGTGAAACCCTGTCTCTACTAAAAAAATACAAAAAATTAGCCAAGCGTGGTGGCGGGCGCCAGCTACTAGGGAGGCTGAGGCAGGAGACTGGCCGGAACCTGGGAGGCGGAACTTGCAGCCAGCCGAGACCACACCACTGCCCTCCAGCCTGGGCGACAGAGTGAGACTCCGTCTCAAAAAGAAAAAAGAAAAAAGAATATAATGCAACGAACATCCCTGAACCTCCATTGTGTTTTATCATATTTTAGTATCTTGCCTATTTGCCTCAGGAATAGGAGTTTGGGGAGTTTTAAGGTTTGTGTCTTGTTTGTTTTTTCTTGCTTTGTTTTGGAGACAGAGTCTCCCTCTGTTGCCCAGACTGGAGTGTAGTGGCGCAATCACAGCTCACTGCAGCCTTCCCCTCAGGCTCATTCTTGTGCCTCAGCCTCCCGAGTAGCTGGGATTACAGGCCTGCAAGGCCTGCACCCTGCCCGGGTAATTTTTTGCTTTTTTAGTAGAGACGGGGTTTCATCATGTTGACCAGGATGGTCTTGAACTCCTGGCCTCAAGTGATCGCCCACCTCAGTCTCCCAAAGTGCTGGGATTACAGGCGTGAGTGACCGCACCTAGACTTTGATTGCCTTTTCTAATCAATATACAAAACCACTATGGATTTTTGTACATTGGTCAATCTAGAAATGCTGTTGAGGCCTCTTATTAATTCTGTTTATAATATTCTTTGGATTTTCTAATAATCATGTTTATGTAAATTAGTTTATTCTCTTCCTTATTATTATACACTTGATATTGGATATGTCTTGCTCACCACTTCTGACCTCTTTGCCACCCAGGTGCAACCTGATGGTAACCTCACTGTGTCCTGGAAATTGTTCCTGTCCTGGAAATTTGCTCAGCAGCACTCAGAGACAACCCAGAAGTGGGGTAGGGGAGGGAGAGTTAATGCTTGATGAGGAAATCCTTGACAGATGGGGAATAGGAGCAAGTGGAAAAGTGCTTTCCCCTTTATTCCCCTATGCAGACAGTTCTGAGATACATTTCATAAGGCTTCTGAGCAAGTCCTATGAGCTCAAGCAACCAGTGTCTATAGTAGACACTGGTTTTTCAGGTCTATTTCTTTTTCAGGTCTCACTACATTAACCAAATTCTCTCTACAATGTTGACTGACATGGGGATAGCAGGTGTGTTTGTCTTATTTTTGGCTTTAATAGGAATGCCTCCAAAGAGGTATATGGATGATGTGGATATCTGCGTCCTCATGTGCGTGCTCACTAAAGGGCAACCCCTACAGGTAGATAAAAATCACATTCCTGGCTGGGCATGGTGGCTTACGCCTATAATCCCAGCACTTTGGGAGGCTGAGGTGGGCGGATCACCTGAGGTCAGGAGCTCAAGACCAGCCTGGCCAACATGGTGAAACCCTGTCTCTACTCAAAATACAAAAATTAGTCGGGTATGGTGGCACACGTCTGTAATCCCAGCTACTCGGGAGGCTGAGGCAGGAGAATTGCTTGAACCCAGTAGGCAGAGGTTGCAGTGAGCCGAGATCATTCCATTGCACTCCAGCCTGGGCAGCAAGAGTGAAACTCTGTCTCAAAGAAAAAACAAAAATCACATTCCTTCAGTCAGCCTCTTTCCCAAATGCAAAGTGGCCATACTGGCAGGGATCAATAATGTGAGTTCCCCTCTCTGAGGCCTGCTACCAACATTACCAGATGTGGGATCTTCCAACAGCAGAGACCAAAGCTGAGTCTCCAATATAGCACCATTCCCCCGGGAACATCAGCCAACCACCTGGTGACAGATTGATTACATCAGGCCCCTTACATCATAGAAGGAGAACTGATTTGTCCTCCTTGGAATAGACACTATTCTGAATATGGATTAGCTCTCCCTGCCAGAATATGTACTAGCCAGCACCATCTGCACTCACAAAACTGATGGACTGATTCCCTAGAAATTCACTGGCCTTACCAGGTAACCCATGACCACGAAACATGTGGGTCATGGTAACAAGCTGGTAAGAGGCTTACCAAAAACTCAGCTACAGATGGTACCAATTAGGGGACAACACCCTAAAAGGATAGATTCTATCTTACAGAATGCCAGAGGGAGAGAGGGAGACAGGGAGAGAGGGATTGATACATGGGTACTGTTTCTTCCACCAGCCCAGGATCAAGGAATGGTTGTGAGGTGATTCCCCTTATTATTCCATAGCTAACAACTCAATTGCAGGACTTTTGCTTCCCGTCCCAACTCTGAGCCCTGCTGGCTGTGTGTCTTAGTGCCAACAACAATGGAGCCCTTGAATTGGCAGCTGAAACAAGCACCTGGCCTTTTGGGGCTTCTCCTGCCACTGAAACAAAGAACAGTACTCAATTGCTGCAGCCATAGATCCTGATTACAAAAGGGAAATTAGATTGCTACTAAACAACAGGGCTAGGGAAGTCTGTGTCTAAACCCAGGAGATTCTCTGAGATGCCGCTTAATATCTCCATGTCCCATACTAAAAGTCAATGGAACATGCAGGGGGCGGCCTGAGAATCCAGAACATGTCCTGCTCCCCACCACCCCCACCCCACTCCCTCCCAGGGAGGTAGCGGACGCTGGAGCTTCTTAGGCCAGAAGTCCAGGGGCAGGGGCATGGTGGGGGCGCCTTTCTCACCCCGAGAAAACGCAGCGGTGGTCACGGGGAGGGGCGCCACCATGCAGCACCCAGGCCTGGATTCCAGCTAGCAGTATCAGCCTTCTCTCACTTTCGGGCAGCGACACCGCTGGTGTAGACCGTCTCAGGTGCGTCTTCGTTCAGCTCTACTGTCCTCAGCCCCAGCTTGGGCTCGCCCTCAGCCTGCTGGAGCTGTTGGATGTGTTCAGGCCTCCAGGCACCCTGGCCTCCCCCCACCCGCCCCGCGAAGACCGAGGGAAAGCAGACGCGTCTCCGCGGCAACCCGGAGCCTGCAGCCCGCAGGGACCCCACCGCCCCAGGTGCAGGCGTGTACATGCCAGTTGCAGAAAATATCACACCAAACCAGTCTGAGGGAGTCAAAGCAAACTATAATATTTCAGGCGTCAGAGACTCTCCTATTACAGAATTTGCCTGTTTGGATAGCATGACACCTTTTCCACAAGATTTTATTAATAAGCTGCACAAACAGTTTATAGGCTCAGTATCACACACCTGAGAAAAGAGTTTTCTTAACGTTACATTAAAATCCTTCCCAGCTAACAGAAATAGAGGCCAGAATACCATAGAGCAAAACTCAGAAAGCCTGAACACGGAAGGAAACTTCACATATCAGGCTCCGAATGGCTTGGTGTTAGTTATCCCTATAAATCTTTTGTGTTTCTACTATACAATATTCTCCGGCGTTTCTGCTTCTGATGTCAACATCAGAGATGTATGAACTGAACCGCGCCAAAGTCAGAACTCGGCTTCGGCCACACTAGGCATGGCCCAGGTAATCCCAGCTACTCAGGAGGCTAAGGCAGGAGAATCGCTTGAACCCGGGAGGTGGAGGTTGCAGTGAGCAGAGATTGTGCCATTGCACTGTAGCCTGGGCAACAAGAGCAAAACTCCGTCTCAAACAAACAAGAAAACAAAAAACACCTTTCAAGTGCACTGTCTTCCAACAGAACTAATGGAGCTGCTAGCTTCCTCCAGAAACTCTTCTTTTATGGAAATGTGCTTCCTCTGCCAATTAGGAAGTCTGCTGAATAGACTTCCTGGCCATAAATTCCCAAGAGTGGTTAAAGTATCCTAATGGACAGACAAGAAAGGCAAAGATGAATCTTCCACTTCCCTTGGCTTTTGTACAGTAGTTGATCCAGCCATACCTAAACCTCCATTCATATTGAAACCTACACCAAAAACAAACAAACAAAAAACAAACAAAAAACAAACAAAAAACAAACAAACAAAAAACAAACAAACAAAAAACAACTCTAAAACTAAACACAAACTAGATTTTACACCTACAGTTTGGGATGCCAAAAAGAAAAGTTGTTCTGGGATATGCTGAAGCAAAATTGTGTGCATGGGGGATCTGGCTGCTAATACACTTTGTTGAGTCAAAAACTGTGTTCAGATGAGTAAGCCTGAAGAAACAGGCCTGAACATATACAGGCTTTCTACCAAAAAAAGAAAAAAAAAGCAATGGACCTGGGTTCAGTTAAACACAACCTTTGTTTTTAAAATGGCAGGCTAGATTGTATCAGTGCAACTCAAGACATCTCTGAAATGAAGAAGGAACAGAGCATTTATAAAAATAAAATAGAAATTATCTTTTATTATGTTTACTGCTGGAGAAGCCGTGATGGATGAGATAATCAGCCCTTTCCCTGTCATGATGGAACTCTTACTAATGAGGACTAATAGTAGCACTACTGGAAAATACTCTGCTACCAAATTAGCTCAAAATAAGGATTCCATTAATCCTACTTCCCTTCTGAGGGCTATGATGCAACAAAATGAGTCTGGGCGTTTTATCCTGTTTCAAATACTGCACCCTTTGAAAGAGCTTTTTAAATGCATCTATGAGTGAAGCCAGTAATCAGCAAGATAATATTGTGCCAAATGCAAAAAGGCAATGTCTTCAAACATGAATCTATTGATCCATCTCAGCAAATGAACCTGACACTTTGTGGAGATCCTGCAAGTTTCCTTCCACATAATAATAATAATGACCTAATACAAGACTAGGAAAAACTTAAACATTGATTTTGAAGATATCAAATACAATCAGCAGAATGAGGAACTTCAGATCTGACTTTCTGGTAAGGATTTTATCTACTAGGCATAACAGATAAAATCCTAACTTATATCCAAGATTATTTTACAAGTCTACCGTCGTGTATTCAGGTCATAAGCAGTAACATTCCTTGGTTCTCAACTCAAGCTACAGGGTAGTTATAACCACCCCAATAGCTTTAGCACCAACAAATTCATGAGATGAAGTAGCAGCAACTGGGTCATAAAATGAGGCATAGCAAGTAAATGGCAGCTTACAGATTGGAGTTCTAATCAGGCCATGCCTTGCAGATATTCCCAGCAAGACCTACAACAGTATAAGGTGTTTTCCAATTTCCATGCCATGAATCAGACTTTCCCTACAAATCTGAGTTTAATGCTAGGCCTCATATACAGAAACTTAGTGCCTGTATTCAGGCTGTGTCACAACAACATTCCAAGTATACTCAGTTGGACTTCCCTGTAGGAAGTTTTGAACCATTGCTAGTATCCAACTACTTCTAATTTAGAAGATTTGGTCAGTTATTTATAAGTTTCTGAAAACCAACAACATGGAGAAAAAAGCAGTCTGTTGTAACTTTTCAAGTGTGTTATGCCAAGGACATGTCAACAGATCAGTGCCAGCCAGAAACTGCACACCTTTGTGGATCTGATGCAATATAAATACAACTCCAAGCTCATAGACATTTTAAAACAAGTTGCTTTCAATGAAACATATCTAGCTGAATAGCATAAATAACACTCGGACTATTTTATGTCCTCAGCCTCTGTTATCCATCAGAAACCAGATTGACATCCAGTGAGTTCTAACTCCAGGCCTGATTTTCGCCTTAGCTTTGGATGCTGTATAAATTAGCTTGCAGAAGGTTGCAGAATAAAACTGAACGTTCAGTGTCAGCAGGTTGACATGGAGGCACTGATGCACATTCCTTGTACTGTCATTTCAAACCAAATTGTTTTTGATCTTAGAAGATGATTTTAAAATAAAATATAAAATAATCTTATATTTTAATATAGATATATGCATATATAAATTTTAAAATAAAATTTTAAATCATCAGCCATTAAAATAGAAACCGTGCTGCTACAAACAGCAACATATTGCATTTCACCTTATTCTGAGCACCATGTTATATGAGATATTTGAGGGAAAAATGAGCATTTAAGATACTTTAAGAATTTTCTCTATTCAAATTATTATATCAGAATAAAAATGAAACACATGGGGTTTGAACTTATGGGCTGCTATTTTAGTATATCAAATACAAAGTTAAAAATCAAAAACTCTTTCCCTATTTATTAGCTTCTGTTTCTATCTCAGATGCTAAAAGAAGTAGTGTGGTGTTTTTATGAAAAGAAAATATCAATGTTTCCCTTCTTCACTGTTAATGTAAATGACTCACAATTTTTTTTAACCTATAACAGTATAGGTAAGTTAAGTCTCTTATTTCTTATATGATTATTACAATATAGCCAGATAATATGGTTCATATAACTTAGATTCTTAAACATTTTGACTTTAAAGACTTTCTTTGTGACCTAGTACCTGGAGCAGGAGTGAGGTAAGGTAATATTTGAAACTTGAATAGGATATGATTGGAGTTTTAAACAAAATGATGTTTAATAACCAAACTGATCCTGACATTATTAAATCTCCCCAAGATTTCATTAAGTGTCAGGAAAAGGATATTTTGCAGAGCCCAGGTAAAAGCAATGACAGGAAAAAATAATGTCTTCCTACTTTCATTGTCCAGTGAAGCAAGATTGCTCAATAAACCAATTATAGTAGGTCCTCAATTCATGCTTGTTGAAAATAATCTCTAGTTTTAATCTTTTATCTTCCATTGGATGCAAGCAGGGCTGGACTTAGACAAAATGAGAAAGTGGAAAAGTTTGTTTTTAGAATCTTCTTATCTTAGACAAAATTAGGAAGTGGAAAAGTTTGTGTTTAGTATCTTATCTCTGTCTCCAATTTCTGGCATTCCCTTCTGCCCACTTTTCTGCCCAGTCTTTGTTCAGGAGCCATCACTCCATATGCTTGTGGCTGACCCACTGGGAATCCTTAACAGAGCCTGGCACTCCACCCACACTGCCCTAGGTATGCCTCCAGAGCCATGCACAGATATTCACCTACTTTCCCTCCCTTGGTATCAGCAAGACCTTGCTAATATTACAGAGCACATCTCTAGTAGTGTTCAGGGAAATATTCTGGCTTAATGAAGTCCCAGGCTGTAAATAACATTTGTAGGAACAGTTGCAACTTTGAAGAACCGCTATAAGGGCTAAGGAAGGACACTCTACATTGCATTCAAGGGTCTCTGTGTCTCCCCTTAGTGGGCAAGGAAGCTGCCATTTTTCCTCCTCTAGAGCAAGTCTTATCTTCTCATCCTTCTAGTGAGGCCACTGGGCCTCTTATTCGAGATTCTTTCTTTTCTCTTTTTCTTCTCTGTCATCCCAATTAGCTTTCAGAGTGTCTATGATAAAAAAGAAAAAGACAATCTACAATTCAAAAAATTAAAAATTATACTAGAGTTTATGCCTGTAAGTGATCTTTTGATAATAAAACATGTAGGATTTTAAAATTTTGATACTCAATTTTTACAAAAACAAAACTGAAATGTACACCACTGTTTCACAGAGGATATCTTATAAGAGAATTAGAATGGCTGAATCTGAACTTGGCTTCCATAGCTTCTCACATCCAGAAATTCCAAATAAATAAAGTAACTCAAACAACGGCAGTCTGACAACTCCTATCAGACCTGGAGGACACAGGGACCCATCTTCCATGTGTTAAAGGGTGAGGAAGAAAGTAAAATAGGAAAACAAAAAAAGTATGCTTTATCCAAGGGCCTATGTCTTCCCCAAATGACTTTACATTCAGAATCTCTTTGCCTAACTCTCCCCAATTTGAGAGGTATTTTTCTTCAAAATCCTGATCCTGCTTTCATTCCATTCCCTGTTTAGTATAAATTCCTGGCTAAACACACTTGGTCTCAGA
The DNA here is from genome assembly GCF_000001405.40 of Homo sapiens. Classification (NCBI taxonomy): domain Eukaryota; kingdom Metazoa; phylum Chordata; class Mammalia; order Primates; family Hominidae; genus Homo; species Homo sapiens. The sequence continues at coordinate 25,223,434 of NC_000006.12, forward strand.
GAACCATGTCAAAGGTTACTAAGGTCAAAAAAGCTTTTCTTATTTTCTGACAGTCCCTGAGGTCCTGAGAGAATGCATTCTTCTTTTGTTTGGCTGGTAAATAGGAAGTTCTGCATTTTACTTTCCCCAACAAGGAAGCAAATATTTTCTTATTGTCTTATTCTGTGGCTGTATTAAAGAAAAAAATCAGCATTTCCAGAGCTCTATGCTAACAGGCCACTGGGTGGCAGTCCTGAGCTGTAATGCAGAAGAGAAGAGTCAGGAAAAACCTGTAAACCAGAGCGGGAGATATAATAATGTTCAGGAGATAACAACGTCATCAAAGATCAACTACTTTCCACCAATAGAGCCTAATTAAATGAAAGGAATCATACCAGGAAAAAATGGAGGTAGTATCATACGTTTAAATTAAAACTGCCCAAGACGCTTAGATAAAATTGGCAGAAAAGCATCCCTCCTTCCACTTTCATTATCACCAAGGTAACATGGTCCAGAGTGGAGCTGAATGTCAACCCAGTGCTAATGGGCAGGCTTCTTCCTACTCAATTTTCCCTTTTTCACCAGGACTTCAGAATAAAGCACTAGAACTCACACTGTCCTGCTCTGCAAGCTCCAACCCCAGATTAATCCTGAAATCCCCCTTCTCTGCTTCTATATCTTAGTGATTTGGGGCTTCTAGAGAGAAGTACAACCGTGGGAACTGGTATCTTCACAAAGGTATACTTTCCGATTTCAGAAGAATACTCCATTCATCTTGTCAATACTTCTCCTTATCTAAAAACAGCATCTCTCCCCTCATCCCTTCTCCTTCCCTCACTCCTCTCTATAGCGAGAATCTCATACCTTCAGTTCTGTCCATCCCCTGTCAGCAAGTGATCTTGCCCCCACAGAGACTACTGAGCCCACAAACCCTCAAATCTTCACTCTTCCATCCCACCCCCATACACATCCTGCCCCCATACAGGTTTATCTTCATTTTCACTCATTCTTGCTTCCTGTCCCACCAATCACAAGAAATAGAACAGCTGCCCTCCTCTCCCCTCCAGGTGTCTCCCAGCATTTCACCACATGCATCAATTTCTGTGTCTACATAAACTGTTTGCCCCGCCCCCACCCCCGAATGCTAATATGACAAGAGGACATATTAGAGGAGAATCGAATTCTCTTAGCAAATGGCATGAAAATTCCTTTTGGAGATTTCTTAGAAAAATTCATGGATAAGCCCATTGAGGTTGAAGGCGAGACCTTGACTCTGGGTTGATCACTCAGTTCTAGACAAGAAAAGTAATTCCTTGCTCTAAAGGAGGAGGAAGTTGGGAAAAACGGAGGAGGAGCCAGCAGGATGGCAGAGGGCAGTGTGGTTGGGCGTATAACCCCTCTCCAGGAGCACCTCCAAACTACCTTAAAGTTCCTTGTTAAATTGTTAACTCAATAGATTACCATTAACATGAGTGTTTGTGTAGAAACTGGCGAGAAGGCTGAGATTCGCACTGTGGTGCCACAAGATGGATCTGAAACCACAGGTACAGATGTGGCAGGGGACACAAAGAGAAGCATGAGGGAGCAAGCCTCAGAAATTTAGGGAAATCATAAAAGGAATCTTGGACTGTGGCTTTGGACCAGGTTTACAAAGATGGACCAACATCTCACAGAGCCAGGGAGGCCCCAGCTGACATTGGCTTGCTCTAGCTTCTCCCATCCTAAACAAAAGCCTCTCTACCCTGAGCCCTTTTTCACTTTCTCCTTCTGTCATCATCCAACTCTCTCAGAAGCTTGGTCTGTACTTGTGGCAGCTTCAGCACCTCCCAATAATTTCTCAAACTTCTGCTGACTGTTCTCACCAAGGTCATCAATGATGTCCTCATGAGGAACATTCTCAGTCCTTGTCTCACAGAACAGTTCTTCTTCATTAGGCACCACTGATAACTTTCATCTTATCTCTCCTTGGGTCTCTGACCTTTCCAGTTGCCTTCACCATGGGCTGCTCCTCTTCTTTCTGCTGCTTAAATGTCAGTGTTAGGGATTGAGGAGGTGCATTTCCAACCAGCATCTGAAAGACTTATGATGTTCACCAAACTAGGGTTAACAAGCCTGTGAGTTGAATTTGACTACAATTGAGTCAAACTGAATGGTGCAATCAGAGTGTGAATGAAGGAAAATAAAGAAACCAAGGGAGGAAACATTATAAATGGCAGGGAAGGGAGGCCAAGAATGTTCTTGAGAATATTAAGAATATTCTGAGAATAAAAGAAACAAGCTGGGTATGGTGGCTCACACCAGCAATCCTAGCACTTTAGGGAGCTGAGGCAGAAGAATTGCTTGAGCCCAGGAGTTCAAGACCAGCCTGGGCAAAATAGCGAAATCTTGTCTCCACTAAAAATACAAGAAATTAGCTAGGCATGGTGGTGTGCATCTGTGGTCCCAGCAACCCAAAGGCTGAGGTGGGAGGATCACTTGAGCTTGGGAGGTCGGGGCTGCAGTGAGCCAAGATTGCACCACTGCACTCCAGCCTGGGCCACAGAGTGAGACTTTGTCTCAGGGGGCGGGGGAAGGTGGGAAAAAAGAACAGAGTAGATACAGAAGCCAAATTGCAATACAAAGAGAGAGGTTAACATTGTGAGAGAAGGTGCAGGTGTTCAGAGATAGAAGGAAGTAATGTTATAAAAATAAAACTATATTTGTGTAATTTAACATAAAATAGTTCCTTGACAGGAAAAAAATTATGGGAAGCACTGTGCTACATAAATTCAACTGAAAATGTGTTCATCCAACCATTAATCATAATCTGTCTGGGCCAATGAAATACAAATGATGTTCTTGTTAGCTGCAGTAGGCTTCAGAGTCAAAGGCATTCAGATTATGTTCCCACTACATTCTAACAGGAAAATCAATCCATTCACTAAATGGGCGTTAGCAATAAAATACACTAGAGCGTTCCAAAACACACAATTTACCTGGTTTATTGGGCCAGATTATCTTTCTCTGTAGACATATGATCCTTCTTTGAAATGCTTTGTCCTCATTCAGCTTTTATTCATGTGACTAAATGCTAGAGTTTCACTGTAATCCTACCTATTCCAACCCAGAATTCATGGTAAAATATTCCATCTTGGACTCTGTTCAAGAAAACGAATCCGAAGAACTGGTAGAAGAACTGAAATACAACATTGTTACACCCATTCTATAGCCCCCACGTTGTCCAATATTCTGTTGTTATAACTACATGTGGTTGTTTAAATATAAATTAATTAAATAAAATTAAAAATTTGATTTTCCCTTTTATACTAGTCACCACTCAAGTGCTCAGTTGCCACATGTGACTAGTGGCTACTTCATTGGACAATCAAAAAGTATTTCCATCATTGCAGAAAACTGTTAGATAGCACTGATAGACAGACAGACACATACATACATACATACACACACACACACACACACACACACACACACACACACACACGCTCTGTGGTCATTAGGCAAGGACCATCAGAATAGCATGAAAGTAAAATGTCTGTCAGTGCAGAAGCCAATATGCCAAACTTTAACCTCCATACCCTAGTTTTAATTTCTGTATCAGGCTGTCTTATTGTCTTATTAAACTAATCTGTATTAAGATGATTTTTTCCTCCCAGAGGTATGTTAGTCATAGGTCACTAGATTGAGTGCCTAAGGAAGGCTGTAGCATCTCCTTCTATATAAAATAATTTGGAAACTGCCCCTTTTGGAAATTGGTAAGTAGAGTTATGAATTCTGAAAACTTCTTACATTTATTTTGCTCAAATAGAAAGATTTATAGATTTAGCAAAACTCACAGTCTATGTGGACAGTGCTAGCTTATTTGTACTTACTAGATCCTTATATGTTAGGTCCCAATGGGTTATTAACTAGGTAAGTCACTTATCTTCCCTGAGACTCAGTTTCTTTGACTATAAAATGGGAATTATAACATCAATGTCACAGATTTGTTATAAAGAAAGATTAAATATGATGTTGTATAGGAAAGTGTAGCCTTCATGGAAGTGGGCAAGAAATGATTAAAGAGTAACCACAGTTGCAAGTCAGGTGGAGTGTTAAAGATTCTAATGACTTCTGCACTTCAATCTAGGAATGGCTTTTGCCACCAAAGAGCCAGAAGCTTGCAGAAAATTCCTCTTACCACAAAGAGTGCAGAGCAGAAATCCAATTCACAAGTAATCATTGGTGGAATGGATTTTGTGAGATATGATTCTGTGATCTTCAAAAGCTGCCAGTGAAGAGATATTTGTACACCTGTGTTCCTAGTAGCACTATTCACGATTGCCAAAAGGTGTAAACCACCCAAATGTCCATTGATGGAGGAATGAACAAAATATGGTATATACAATGGATTATTCAACCTTGAAAAGGAAAGAAATTCTGATACTTGCTGCAACATGGATGAACCTTGAAGCCATTATGCTAAGTTAAATAAGCCAGTCAAAGGGCAAACACTGTATGACTCCACTTATGTGAGCATCCTAAAGTAGTCAAATTCATAGAGATAGAAAGTAGAATGGTATTGCCAGTGCCAAGTAGAATGGTTGTGGGGATGAGAGAATGGGGAGTTGTTTGGTGGGCAGTTTCAGTTTTGTAAGATGAAAAGTATTCTGGAGATTGGTTGCACAATAATGTGAATGTACTTAACATTACACATTACACTTAGAAATGGTTAAGATTGTAAATATGTGTTTTTCACAATTTTTGAAAAGCTGCATAATTTATATTACTATAAAGGTGGCAGACTCCATTTTGGGGGAAGACTTCTTTTGCAGGTGGAGGGGACACTAATAGATTTTAATTGTGCATAACAGGCCCAGAATCCTGCTCTGATGATAATATAAAAACCTCCTCTCATTGTGGATAGAACACTGGTGTGCAATGTCATGTTGGAGCCTGAGGCAAAAGGATAAATATGTACCCCTGTATATATATATATATATATATATATATATATATACACACACACACACACACATATATATAGTAGCTATATATATATATACACATATATATAGTAGCTGTATATATATATAGTAGCTATATATATATATATACACACACACAATAGCAAGAAAGACAGTTACTTAGATATTATATGAGAAAAAGGAGAGCAAAATCTTGTGTGTATATATATATACACACACACATACACACAAAGTACCCTCCCCCATATTTTGAACCAAATAGAAAAAGTAAAAGTTCTGCCATTCAAAAATATGACTAAATATAAAGCATTATATTGTCCAATCTGTTCACACACCATCATCACCCCTTATCAACCCGCCTAGCTCTGTGGGCTCAGGAACCTTGAGCTAATCAACAACTATGCTTTATTGCACAAAAATGCAGAGTTGCAAAACAAACAGCCTGTTTTTATTTAAACTATTGCTATTTTATTATCGATTTTAGCATTAATTTTAATTTTTAAAATATTGCATTAACATATTATTGCTCTTAATTGTTAACTCTTTTGGTGTTCCGTTAAAACTTGTGGCCTCATGCATCATTGCCTTACTCTCATTCTGGCCCTGTGCCTAGAGATTATCGTGAGCTTAACTCCAATTCTCCTACGGCTATAGCTAAGAAATAATGATGGAGTTGTGGGCTTTATGATGGAGAGAGTCAAGGGAACTGTTTGTTCAAGTGGGAGGCCGACCCAGTGCTATGGTCTGAATGTCCCCTCAAAATTCTTACGTTGAAACCTAACTACCAGGGTGATGTATTAGGAGGTGGGGCTTTTGGGAGATGGTTAGGTCATTAGGGCAGAACTATCATGAGTGGAATCAGTATCCTTCTTACAAGAGATCCCAGAGAGTTGCCTTGTCCCTTCTCCCATTGGAGAACACAGCAAGATGATGGCTGTCTACAAACCAGGAAGCAGGCCCTCACTAGACACTGAATTCATCAGTGCCCTGATCTTGGACTTCCCAGCCTCCAGCACTGTGAGGAGTAAAAGTTGTTTACAAGCCACCTAGCTTATGGTATTTTTGGTACAGCAGCTGAAACAAACTAAGACAGCCAGTAACTTGGAGACACTGGTGGGAGTGGGAGAAGGTGGGTAGAAGGATGACCAGGGATCGTCCTATGAAAAGGCCATGACTGAAAGGTTTCAGGAGCAATGGGATCTGAGGACAACTCAGGCACAGACTTTCCTTTCTGCATTGCAGGTCTTTGACCTTATTTTCAAGTCTTCAGTAAAGTTTCTTAAATGCTACAGTGATTCTTGGGAGAATGAAGAGCAAAACCAGAAACCACAGAGTGACAGATTGGCCTGGAGAAAGCTACAATAGCAAGAAAGACAGTTACTTAGATATTATATGAGAAAAAGGAGAGCAAAATCTTATTATTCAAGCCACATGCATGAACTGCATACTTCCTTGCCACCAATTAAAATTGCAAGTCCTACAGGCCCCCAAACTCAGGCACAGATGCAAGAACTGGACTTGATTGTAAAACCACACCCTGTGGTCATTAGATAACTAAGTCATTAGATAACTATGTCTGGAATGAAGGAAGAAACAGGCCAAATAGACAGAAAAAGAAGTTACTGGGATTTATGAAATCAGATAAAATAATTGGTATCTGGAATTATATTCTAAATGAAAAAAACCACATGGGATTTGAAACGTAGAAACAGGGCAACTTCAGAAACACCAGACTGATGTGAATTGGAGCATATTTATAGTTCTTCAGTTTCCACAGGCCAGCACACTGAGTAACTGAAAGACTGGATGGCTTTACTAGAAATTGAGGCTTTCTATTAAATAAGAAACACAAGAAAAGTCAGTCAAAAATTAAGTTTTTAATGGCATTTAAATTGTATTTCTGAACTGAAGAAAATCTATATTAATCAAGATTAGACAATCTACACTAGACAAATTGTACCTATTGTACCTGAAAGAAGGTCATCACGGGCAGACTTCAGAAGGTGGAGTACACGTGGCATGACCTAAAATTCACTTACAGGAATTTCATAAGTTCAAAATACTTACTAAGTGGAAATTAAAGATTGCTATAAATATTGCTGGGGCTCTTAGACTATGAAGAATACATCACTTCTATATGTCCAGAAGAGGCACAGCAGAGACGCTGGGAGCAGTGGAGACGCTGAGTAGAACAATGTGAAGTGAAAAGCAGTATCTTCAAGAATGTGTGTGTCCACGCACTTGCTGTCACTCAGAACGGGGTCCCAGATTTGAGTCTCTGAATACTAAAGTGAAAAGTGGCAATTGATATTAGAAAACTCAAAAGGATGATTATTTTAGGACAGGCTCACCTACAGTATATAAAATGATAAATAGACAACATAGATCCTGGAAAACCAGCAAAAAGCCAGGAGCCAGGTCCCTGAAGGGAACAAGACCCAGAGCAGATGATTTGCCTACATTAAGATTTGGCGTGAAATGCTTTCCCTCTCTATTTATATTCCTTGCATAGGTACCGACTATGAGAATCAGACACTACAACTTGGCTGCACGTGAGAGAGAAAAATGGAGATTTATCACTGGAATGACACTGTCTATAAGTTGTGACATATACATTCATGCTTAAGTGTTTAGCAAATTTTACTTAGTTCTCACATTATATGTTTTCACTTACTGTCAATGAATGACAACAAAACAAGATGCATAACATTCTGAATTAAAGAGCCCCTCTGGAGAATGCTAAAAAGATACCCCCAGCTGACAGAAATCCAAATTCTAGTAGTTAATCTAGAATAAGCAGACTAATTAAACAGTGTATCTGACTTAAGTGCCATCTATTTGAATCAGAATCATCTGGGATGCTTGTTAGAAACACACATCTCCAGGACCTAACCCAGACCCACCAAATCTGGGTTTAGGCATCTGCCTGTCAGCAACTTCCCTGGGTGATTCTTAGACACACAAGTGTGGGTGGAGCTTATTTTTTATAGCAAATACTAATAAAAGAGGGAATTCTCACTAAAATAAGTCATTGAGATCTGAGATTTTTGCCCTTCTACAAGGGGTGGGGTAGCCTCCAACCTGGATCCTACCCCAGGGGCTCCATCAGCTGCACAATTGGTCTTTGAGGACCAGATGACATCTGCCTCCTTGAGCCAAGCCCAGGATTTTTCTGAAGAGGGAAGAAAGTGGGCTGCCACAAGCCCCTGTGGCATGGCCAGATGGAGGCCCCGAGACCCTCCATTCTTCAGATTTTAACCTGGCACCCCAAGGAAAACCACAGGCAAAGTCCTAGGGAAATTCCCCTTCCCACCCTGCTATCTTACAAGCAGCAAACTCCCTCTGAAATGCCACATACCCTTACAGGTGTTATAACTGGAATTTTGGGAGACAAAGAACTACTCCAAATGTTGGGAAACAGGCCTTCCTGTGGGGTTTGTTCTTTAGCATGGAAGCAACAGGAGCATCTAATAAACTGCCCTCAGGAAGAATTTTTCTATGCTCTTAAGAACCACTAGCTTACACCCCAAACATATGAAACTTCGAACAAACGTGTTGAATGTTTTTCTATTAAAGGAAATCGTTTAACTCTTTAAAAATAAATAATAATATGCCGGCCAGGCACGGTGGCTCACCCCTGTAATCCCAGCACTTTGGGAGGCTGAGGTGGGAGGACTGCTTGAGCCCTGGAGTTCAAGAGCAGCCTGGCCACCATGTGGAAATCCCATCTCTACTGAAAATACAAAAATTAGCCAGGCATGGTGGTATGCGTCTGTAGTGGTAGCCTGAGTAGCTGCCTCAGGAGGCTGAGGCAGGAAAATCGCTTGAACCCGGGAGGCAGAGGTTGCAGTGAGCCGAGATCGTGCCACTGCACTCCAGCCTGGGCGACAGAGCAAAACCGTGTCTCATAAATTAATACAATGCCAATGTCAATGTTTTAGCTTTGGCAAATATTCCATGATAATGTAAGATATTAACAATGAGGGAAACTGGGTGAGAGGTATAAGGGAACTCTCTGAACTCGCTCGCTTTGCAATTTTAAATCATTTCAGATCATTCCAAACTAAAACGCTTATTAAATATAATAAACAAATGAGAATGACCTGCTGGTGCCTGCAGGTCTCCCAGGCGGGTTTATTTCCGATCCCACCTCTTCTTCAGGCTGTGGCCTCTCCCGCAGAAGCTCAGCCTCCATGAGTTGGAGATTCTCTCGCCGCAGCATCCCTCAGGATGGAGTTTCGGCTTTCCTTCCCTCGGGGACTTTTTATACGCAGCCCGTGCGTAATCATTGGTGCACGTCCAGGCTGCTGCTTCTAGCCCCTGCCCCGCAGCTCTGTCTCCTGGGAAACCATTTCCATCTGGTTAAGACTCCAAGATTGAAATCATGTGGAGTTGATTTGCCTACATCTAAGATTTGGCTTGAAATGTATTTCCTCTCTATTTATATTCTTTGCGTATATGTCTACCATAAGAACCACACAATATAAAGCACTGTGGGGAGGAGGTGTTAAAGAAAGATCTTTGGGCTCGTCGACTTGAGTTGAAATACTTCATAAGAGCACAGTTTAATTTTTTTTGGAAAGTAGGTTTTTAAAAATTATTTTCCACCGTGCTTATTTTCAGAGGTAACAATTAAGAGGGATACATTTTTTTTTTTAATTTTGAGTGTTGGACCTTTTAAAAACTCCCTGTTAAAAGAATATGAAGGAAGTAGGGGGAAATGTTCTCTTTGTGAACGAATTCTAAATGGAGTGCATTGTGTGAAGCTAAAGGAAAACTTCATTTGAGTAATATTCTAATTGTATTCTTCCGTATCGTGCAGGAGAAGATGACAACCTGTATTTTACTGCTCAAAAAAGAAAATACAAGGCTCAACTTGTTTCTGATGCAGAACTCAGGAGCTCCTAAAAGAGCAAGTGGAATGAAATGTTTCCTTTTTGATTTTCTTCTCTTTTGAAACCATTCACCCATTGTTTATTTGGAAATAGCTTATGTGGCATGCAGAATCCATGAACACAAAAACTGAACATTTATTTATCCAACATATTACACATACTGTGATTGCTTCAAGCTGTGTGAGGCGTGGCCTGTGCCAATGCAAGATTCAATTAGAATTCTGAGATATGTTAAAATAGCTTTGGTATAAGGCAGTGGAACTTAATCAGGAGTGATTTTGTTCCCCCTTCTCCCCCATTTGGCAGTGTCTAAATGCAATTATCATTGTCACAACTGTGGGTACAGTGATGGAAATGGTGCTAATGGCATCTAGTGGGTAGAGACCACGGATGCTGCTAAACATCCCACAATGCACAGAGCAGCCCCCCGACAACGAAGAATTATCCTACATGAAATGTCAACAGCGCCAAGGTGAGAAACTCTGAGTGTTATTAGTGTGGTGCTCTCTGTGTGATACAAACCAGGTGCTCTGGCAGAGCAAAGAAAGAAAGATCACATCCACTCGGGATGATCAAAGATTTCAAGAATTCTTTAAGTGGGTTTTTCTGTGGTCCAGAATGCCTAATTTTTCTGAGTCTTAGAGGTCCTCTAGTGTCCCTAAATATTGTATTTCTGTATGTCAGTCACTACGTTGTCAGTGAAAAGCCTTGCTTGGCCCAGTAACTCGACATCTCTGTATTTCATTTTTTTCCACTGAAGAGTGAGATTTGATTCAGAGGCCCGAGGTCTCTCCTGGCTTTGAACAAGTGACAGTTCTCACTGTTTAAAAAAATTTTTTTTTAAATAGAGACAGGGGTTTCACCTTGTTGTATAGGCTGGCCTTGAACTCCTAGGCTCAAGTGATCCTCCCACCTACAGCCTCCCAAAGTGCTGGGATTATAAGCATAAGCTACCACACCTGGCTGAGAATTCTCATTTTTAACTTTCTACCTGGTGGCCCTATGTATGGCAGATGCACCTGACAGCAATAATTTAACTTAAGCATACTCTGTATGGCAGATGCACCTGACAGCATAATTTCACTTATGATATGAGGGTTGCCATGTGGAGGTTGTGTGGAAGGAGGTGGGGTTGGGGGAAGGAGTGTTAAGGAAAAATGCTATATAAACAGCACGCTTTTTTAAAGTGATGGTTGTTCTTCTGACCAGCCCACTGCCACTGGACTGCCCTGTAAGTTCCCAAATAAATTCTATGTTTCACCTGCTGGCTCCATGTCTCTTCTTCAGTCTTGTGAACCTGGTGCCATCCCTATTGAAGTTAATAAGGGTCATATAATCCATAAGGCAGGATTCTCAGTCATTTGTGGGTAATGCTCTCCTTTGAAAATCTATCACCCCCTAACATGCATGTAACACAACATTTTGCTTATAGTTTCAGGAGATCTATAGGCCCCTGAAGCCCATTTCTGGCCCTTCTAAGAGAACGTGAACTCCAGATTCAACATTTCTGTTCCAAATGTTCCTGAGCAACAAAATTTTCTAGGTCTACCTCATCCCTTGGAACCTGATCCAACTGTGTTCCCAAAACTACCAGACTCTCTCTTCCATGCCACATTCATCTGTTTCTTGTTTTTCTATCATGAAATTTTGTATTTTGCTACTGCTTTTTTACCAAAATTCCTTTAGATAATCTCACGGCTTTGCCGAAATCCAATTCACAATGCTCTGTCTAACCCACGAGGATGGACTATAACTACTTCCTCCCAATCCTAGACAATGTTTCTGATGTGTTCCTTTAAGCTCCGGGAGCTGCCAGTGAATGTGTACCTAAGGCCCTAGGGAAAGAATCCCTGCTTTAAAGAGCTTAAGAAAGACCATGAGGGAAGTCTTCTCTTAACCCTCAGTGACATCAAGATGCACAGAAAATGCTGACACTACCCAGAAAAGAGTTGCCAAGATCCCCTTTGCTCCTGTGAACAGACTCTGAAGACCTTAGAGCTATACAGTTCAATAAGGTAGCCACTAGCCACACATGGCTCCCCAGCACTTAAAATGTGACTAGTTGGAAGTGAGATGCGCTCTAAATATAAAATATCACCAGATTTTGAATACGTTGTATAACAAAGGAATATAAATATTTCACTAACAATTTTCACATTGATTATGTGTGGGAATGATGATACTTTAGATACAACTGGATTAAATGAAATATACTATTAAATTTAACTATTTCTTTTGCTTTTTTTGGCTACTAGGAAATTTCATATGACCAACCAGTAACGCTGCAGGCACACATAAATATGCTTTTACTGTTAGCCACAGTGGGCCCCCCCAACAGGAGTTCATTCTCAATGGTGGAATACGTGTGCTGAGACTATGTTGATATCAAAATTTTACCTACCAGTTTTATCATCCATTGATATTTCTTAGCTCAATTATTACTTTGGTGGTTGCCAAATGGTGATTTCCTAATTCCTACATTCCTTCTATTTATTAGTTGGAATCCTACTGCAAGGGAAAGAAACCTTTTCTTCTCCCCATGTATTTATTTATATTAGTATGGACTTGTAGGTTACTAGTTTATGCAATGGGATATAATCTGTTACTGTCATTATTTATTTTGAAGCTAAATTGTCCCAGATTTCACCAATGAAAACCTCATTAAACCTAACTCACTCCCATGTCCTTTTGACTTGATCCCATCATTCTTTGCTCACTTTCTCACTTTCTGGCACAAGATGTTCCAGGATCACTTTCCCTGTGACTGTCTTGAGATCAGCCATTTCTCTAGAAAGCCCTGGTTCCTTTTAATGGAGTGTGATATTTAAATACCTATATCTGGGTACCTGGTGTGCTCACGGCTATTGGAGTGTTGCAGATACTCCTAGGCCCTCTCAGTGGACAGAGCTGAGGAATATATGTATGTATCTACATATAGATTCATCCCTCAGTATCTGTGGGGCCTTGGTTCCAGGACCCCTCCCCAGATACCAAAATCCATGGATGCTCAAGATTCTTATATAAAATGGCATAGTGTCTGCATATAACCTACACACATCCTCCTGTATACCCTAGATTACTTATAATACCTAATATGGTGTGATATGATTTGGTTCTGTGTCCCCATCAAATTTAATGTCGAATTGTAATCCCCAGCGTTGGAGGTGGGGCCTCGTGAGAGGTGAACGTGATCATAGGGGTGGTCCTTCGTGAATGGCTTAGCACAATCCCCTCAGTGCTGTTCTCATGATAGGTACTAAGTGAGTTACTATGAGATCTGTTTGTTTAAAGTGTATAGACTGCACCTCCCCACTGTCTCTTCCTCCTACTCTGGCCAGGTGAAGTATTTGCTCTCCCTTTGCCCTCCACCATGATCATAAGTTTCCTGAGGCCTCCCCAAAAGCTGATGTCACCATACCTGTACGGAATCATGGGCCTATGGAACCGTGAGCCAGTTAGCCTCTTTTCTTTATAAATTACCCAGTCTCAGGTATTTCCTCATAGCAGTGTGAGAACAAACTAGTAAACAGTGTAAATGCTTTGTAAATAGTTGTTAGTTAAACTGTACTGTTTTGGGAATAATGACAAAGAAAAGAGTCTGTATGTATTCAGTACAGAGGCAGCCATCCATTTTTTAAAAATATCTTTAATCCACAGATGCAGAACCCATGAGTGTAGAGGGCTGGACTGTATACATGAATACATATTGACATCTTTATTTCTATATCTATATATCCAAATATATTTTGAAAATCATGAGTTTACACTGATACCTCTAGTTTGAATCCGATAACACAGGTTCATTCTAGTTTACTCCCTTTTCATATTTATACCTTTCTTCTCTGACAGTGAGAAATCAGGCTTCCTTTATCCTCAGTATATTCACTTACTGGCTAATTTCCCCTCCCCATTGCCTATAAACTACTCATCTCCCATTGGTGCTGCCACCACAATCCCTCAATCTCATATGCATATGGGTGACCTCCTCACTCCACTTGGTCTCTGACATCCTGTGTGAGCTCCCTGTCACTGCCCTCCCCCCCATATGGGTGCTCTTCTCACCCCTCTTTGGCTTAAAAACCCAATTCTGGGTTGCTACTGATACACCCAAACCCAGACACAGATGCCCTCCTCACTCCACTGGGGCTGCAATCCCTCAGACTGGGCTGCTGCCACTCCTGCCCAAGACCTACCTCACTCTGCCCTTCTTAATGACTTTGAACTGAACTAATCAAGGAGGAAGGAAGGAAGGCACGAATCAACTAAAATATCTTTGAGACAATTTGGAACATAAGTAAATCTATTTTATAGCTCTTTAGAACAGCTAAAATGTTCTTCATGATCTCACCTGGTCTACTTATGGTGGAGTCAGGTGAGTGCGCTGGAATAGTGTGCTCTTAATGTACAAGCATATGCTTTCAATTTACAAGAGGAAGCCTTCACTGAAAATTCCACTGTCAAGCAGCACTGATACATGGCCTTGTAAAAAGAAAGCTCTGTTTATTGGAGTCAACACAATTATTGTATCCAGGGTAAAGACTTTTTTTAAATGAAATCTCCTAAAATGATCTTTGAGTTCGAGTCATAGTAAGGAATTGATGAGTCGTGCCAAGGAGGCCTATAATGTTATAGAAGACAAGCTGGGTAGAAAGTATTTCTCTCTCAGAATGAATTGATACCTGTAGCAACACCACATCTAATAGAAAAACAATGTTAAAGCATCTCAAAGCACTACTGAAAAATGAAAAACATTACTATAGTGAAAAAATATTGAAAGAATAATTAGAAATACAAGCACCAGCACATATAACTACTTCTAAATAATGTATATAACAATTTTTGGTAATGGTGGCCAGTCTACTTATGTGTAGACTGAGAAAGAAATATAAATATATGTATCTATGTACATCCTTCAAAATATATAGAAACTGTGACTATTTTAACTATTTGTGTCCTAAAACTAAAAGGTACAGCATTAAAAATATAGAATTTTTTTCTATCAAAGTGACATATAATCACTATAATAAATATGATACAGGAGAAAGAGAAAAATGCAATCATGTATTGCATTTTTTAATTAAATTAAACTTCTGCCACCCAGGTTTAACTCTATCTAATATTTTGGTATATTTCCTTTCAATCATATTGTCTGTTTTCAGAAATGGGATCATGCTATACATACTGCTTATGTTTTGAATTTTTTCCCAATGACACATCATAAACATTTTCCCATCACCTTGGATATTTGATAACATAATTTTAATGGCTATGTAGTATTTTGTTGTATAGACACACCATAATTTATTTAACCAATTTTCTATTGTCGGGTATTTAAGTGGTTTCTAATTTTGGACATTACAAATGATGTGGGGGGGGGGTTGGGTTATTTTATTTTATTTTTTTCTGAGACAGGGTCTTGCTCCATCACTCAGGCCTGAGTGCAGTGGTGTGATCTAGGCTCACTGCAACCTCCACCTCCCAGGCTCAAGCAATCTCCAAGTAGCTGGGACTACAGGCACATGCCACCATTCCCAGATACATTTTTCAAAATATTTTTAGTAGAGATAGGATTTCACCACGTGCCTAGGCTGGTCTCAAACTCCTGGGCTCAAGCAATCCACCTGCCTCAGCCTCCCAAAGTGCTGGGATTACAGGCATGGGTCACCACGCTTGGTCAAAAATGTTTTAATAAACAACTGTATATAAATCTTTGCTTGCATCTATGATTATTTCTTCAGAATAAACGTTTAGTAGCAGAAATTGAGTTGCTAGAGCAAATAGTGTTGTGCAAAATTATGTTAACAGATCAATAGGATATGCAGAAGAGTAATATACTTTCCTAAAGTATGTGACAGTTGTTGATAAATATAATTAATTTGAATTGTCAGTGTTTTGGTTGAATTGTGTGCTTAACAATCTCTAGGAAAACTAAAGAACAAACTGTCTGCCAAAAGTCTCAGAGAAACAGGATTATTACTTTGATGCTGGTTCCAAGGGCCTCCCTTAGCTTTCCTGGTAATAAATTATTGTCTCATATCACACTGGCAGAGAAAACAGTAAAATATTTATTTTGGAATATCTGCTTTCTATCTGGCAGGGATTTGACATTTTAAAACCTTTTCAAAATATTTTAGAACCACAAAATACAGTAAGCTTTGAATTAAGAATTAATTAGGGTTTTCTTTATCCCTACTGTTTGATCAATTTTTCAAAAGCCAAAAAAAAAAAAGTGCTACACAGAATACAATTAACTGTTAGTTTTCAGTAATTTTAAAGTGTGCTGTTGCTTAGAAGGCAGACTGGATCAGATGACCTCTTGGGATCCTTTCGAGCTCAGTAATTCTAACTTTTATATTCAATGAGTTTTATCTTGCACTTATCACCCATTGCTCAACCTGGCCCTTTCCTCTTTACCACATATTTTCTTTATGTCTTAATTTTCCTTTTATACTCACAGAGGGTGTCTAACCCTTTATTGGTATAATTATGGAAATGTTTTTATGTGAACATTAATCTAACAATGAAGGAGACAAGAGCAGAATGCCAGGTTCAGTAATGCTTATGCAGTCATGAGCATGAAACACTCTTAGAACATTTTATTTTATTTATTTACTTTTTTAAGACAGGGTCTTACTCTTTTGCCCAAGCTGGAGTGTAGTAGCGCAATCTCGGCTCACTGCAAAACCCCCTCCCCGGCTCAAGGGATCCTCCCAAGTCAGCTTCCTGAGGAGCTGGGATTAGCATGTGTTACCACACCTGGCTAATTTTTGTATTTTTAGTAGAGCTGGGGTTTCATCATATTGGCCAGGCTGGTCTCAAACTCCTGACCTCAAGTGATCCATCCATCTCGGACTCCCAAAGTGCTAGGATTATAGGCATAAGCCACCATGCCTCTTAGAACATTTTAAAAAATTAAGTCTTGGCTTGAAATCTGATGTAGTGTGACTATACTTGAGAATAATAGGAAATTTCCCAAATGCTAAAGACTTAAAGTACAAGAGAAAGTCAGTGTTCTTTTTTCATACATAACTTTCTACAGGAAAGATAAAAGAAAAACTATCACAATATTATGTATTATTTATCCTCGCTAGTTTATCAAACAACAGTTTTGTAATTTAATGAAATTCCTGTTTTCTATATGAGTATATTGCTCTAACATATGCTGTATATGATTAATGTTTCATTTGTTTGGCTAGTTACTGCTCATTGCTCTGTGTGTGTGTGTGTGTGTGTGTGTGCGAGACAGAGAGAGACCATGTTAAACACAGTATTATTCACCTGTTGTTCGCCTGTTGGTTAACGCTCTGGTATCCATGTCCCACTTAACCTTTCCCAACAGTCTACACTTCTATTGGAAATTTATTGTTACTCTACCCCCAACTATCCCATTATTTCAGGGATAAAATGAATGACATGTACTGCGCCCAAGAAAGTCTTATTGCCCTCATTGCAGTGATTAGATCAGTCATGGGTCTGTGGTCTAAGTCAAGTGCGAATTTCAGGATTTTTGCTGACAATTCTGGAACACATGTTTCTTTCTTTCTGTGTAGTGTGGGATGTGGATGTGAAGGGAGAACTGCTATCCTCACTTTGCCACCATATAGTATGTTCACCTCAGAATGAATCGAACACATTTTCTCTGACTTTACAATACAAAAAAATGTTTTTGAAGAATTGCCAGGCACTGTGGCTCATGCCTCTAATCTCAACACTTTGGGAGACCAAGGCAGGGAGATTACTAAAGGCCAGGAGTTCAAGACCAGACTGGCCAACATGGCAAAATCCCATCTCTACTAAAAATACAAAAAAATTAGCCAGGCGTGTTGGTGTATGCCTGCAGTGCCAGTTACTTAGGAGGCTGAGGCATGAGAATTGCCTGAACCTGGGAGATGGAGGTTGTAGTGAGCCAAGATCATGCCACTGCACTCCAGCCTGGGTGACAGAGCAAGACCTTGTCTCAAAAGAAAAAAGAAAAAGCAAACAAAAAAGAAGAAATTGGGCAGGCCCAGTGGCTCACACCTGTAATCCCAGCACTTTGGGAGGCTGAGGCAGGCAAATCACCTGAGGTCAGAAGTTTGAGACAAGCCTAGTCAACATGGTAAAACCCTGTATCTACTAAAAATACAAAAATTAGTCGGGCGTGGTGGTGCACACCTGTAATCTCAGCTACTTGGGAGGCTGAGG
The DNA here is from genome assembly GCF_000001405.40 of Homo sapiens. Classification (NCBI taxonomy): domain Eukaryota; kingdom Metazoa; phylum Chordata; class Mammalia; order Primates; family Hominidae; genus Homo; species Homo sapiens. The sequence continues at coordinate 25,241,456 of NC_000006.12, forward strand.
CAGGAGAATCACTTGATCCCCGGAGGCAGAGGTTACAGTGAGCTGCGACTGCACCACTGCACACTAGCCTGGGTGACAAAGCAAGACTTGTCTAAAAAAATAAATAAATAAATAAATCCAACACACAAGAGGCAAAATTAAAGAGAAATTTAACCCTGATTGATCTGTACCTAAAAGAATAATTTCCCTCTATTGTATAAGGAAGTTTGAATTAAGCTTTTGGTTACTTGCAACTGAAAATAAAACTACTGCAGGATCTCAGACGTGGATATGGCCTTGGAAGCACAGAAGAAGACAAATGGTTCTGGCCTTCTCCAGAAACAATACCTTGTAAGAACTTCTTGGTTTAGGAAGAGACTAAGGAAAGTATAAGAAGAGGAGATCTTTTACTTTCATTCATTGTTACTGACTTTTTGCTTAGTTGTTCTGTTCATTATTGAGAAGTATGTTTAAGTTTCCAACAATGATTGTGGATTTGTCTATTTCTGTCTTTAGTTCTGTCAGATGTTTGCTTCACACATTTTGAAGCTCTGTTAATTAGGCACATATACGTTTATAATTGCTCCATTTTACTGATGTATTTGACTTTTTTATTAGTATGAAGTATTTGTCTTTGTCTCTAGTAATACTTCTTTATTGAAGTCTATTTTGTTTAATCTTAATAAAATCACTCCAGTTTTCTCCAGTTTTCCATGCTACATATTTTTCTATCCTTTTACTTTTAATCTATTTGTGTCTTTGCATTTAAAATGCATCTCTTGTAGACACCTTATAATTGGTTCTTGATTTTTTTTTAATTCAGTCTTACAATAATCTCTGCCTTTTGGTTGTTTAGTTCATTTACATGTAATGCAGCAAAGGCCAGGCATGGTGGCTCACACCTGCAAACCCAACACTTTGGGAGGCTGAGGCAGGCAGATCGCTTGAGCCCAGGAATTTTAGACCAGCATGGGCAACATGGTGAAACCCCATCTCTACTACAAATACAAAAATTAGCTGGGCATGGTAGGATGCACCTGTAGTCCTAGCTACCCAGAAGGCTGAGATGGGAGAATCACCTGAGCCTGGGCAGCAGAGGTTGCGGTGAGCCAAGATCATGTCACTGCACTCCAGCCTGGGCCACAGAGTGAGACCCTGTCTCACAAACAAACAAACAAACAAAAACAAACAATATTTAATGCTACAAAGAAAGTTAACACAGCAGATTATTTTTATTTACTTCTTGCTTATTTCTGTAGCTATAACAGTGACTCTTGGTCTAATGCTAAGAACTAAAGTACTGTAATGTTTACCTCGTACTAGGTAATGATGTCATTCTATACACCCAATCCAGTAGGTCAATATGAACCAGGTGGTCAGCAGATTTAAAGTAAACATGAAGATTCATGATGTGCACCTGGTACCTGCTTTGGGGTATGCACAATGGCTACTGATGTGGCAGTTATGTATTAATGTGACACGCTCTCTTCAAGAATCTTGGACTCCAAGCCCCAAATGGGCTTTCCTGAATATGGAAATCTTGTATATGTCTTTACAATTTGAAGCTGGAGAGAGGATTACACCAGTGTGATAATCTTAGAAAGGGAGGACTCAGGAACCTGCACATGATCTCTCTAGCCTTTGCCTAGGTATATATTTTTCCTGCTGTTCCTGCTCTGTTATCTTGTGCTATGATAAACTTCAGCTATCCGGTTTAACTTCATGCTAAGTTGTGGTGAGTCCTCCAGTGAATCACCCAACTAGTGGGTGATTATGGGACCCCTGAGACAGATATAATTATTGAGATGGTGGTATTTATTTATTTTTTTATCTTTACTTTTATCTTTGAGACAGACTCTTGCTCTGTCACCCAGGCTGGAGTGCAGTGGTGTGATCTTGGCTCACTGCAACCTCCACCTCGTGGGTTCAAGCAATTCTCTTGTCTCAGCCTCCTGAGTAGCTGGGACTATAGGTGCATGCCACTATGCCTGGCTAATTGTTGTATTTTTAGTAGAGATGGGGTTTCACCATATTGGTCAGGCTGGTCTCGAACTCCTGACCTCAGGTGATCCACCTGCCTCAACCTCCCAAAGTGAAAGTTCTGGGATTACAGGTATGAGCCACCGTGCCTGGCTGAGATGGCTGTATTTAGATCTGCCATTCTGCTATTTATTGATTACTTGCTCAGTTATTTTTTGTTTCTCTTTTCATGCTTTGGTTTGTGTTAATCAATTATTATTTTATTTTAGTGTTTAATTTGTTCTTTTCTAATAATTTCTATTATTCTTTTGAGATTTCCTATCTGTTTACTACCTTTCATATTTTCCTATAATTCTTACAATATATTTTCTTTTAATCTTTTGACAATTTTAATAATAGCTACTTTGAAGTCTTTTTATGTTAAATTCAACGTCTGGGTCCACTTTCAGTCAATTTCTATTGATTGTCTTTTTGCCTATATATGGATCACACTTTCTTGTTTTTTCAGATGTCTAATACATTTTGGTTGAAAAGTGGACATTATAGATAACATGTAGTAGCTTTAGAATCTATTGTGTTCTGAAGATTATTAGTCATTTGTTGTATTAGGCAGTTGGAAGTTAACTCACCTGGAATCAAATTGCAAACTTTGTCTTCCCTACTATTCAAATGCTAATATCTTTGCCTGTTTTTATAGTCTCCAGCTGCTGCTTTTTTTTTTTTTTTTTTTTTTTTTTTTGAGACGGAGTCTCGCTCTGTCTCCCAGGCTGGAGTGCAGTGGCGCGATCTCGGCTCACTGCAAGCTCCGCCTCCTGGGTTCACGCCATTCTCCTGCCTCAGCCTCCTGAGTAGCTGGGACTACAGGCGCCAGCCACCACGCCCGGCTAATTTTTTTGTGTTTTTAGTAGAGACTGGGTTTCACCGTGTTAGCCAGGATGGTCTCGATCTCCTGACCTCGTGATCCGCCCGCCTCGGCCTCCCAAAGTGCTGCGATTACAGGCGTGAGCCACCGCGCCCAGCCCAGCTGCTGCTTTTTTAAAAAACCCTGGCCATTTGGGAGGTTTCCTCTTTTCCTGCATAATTTATTAGTCAACCAAATATTTGGACAGAGAATATACTCAGACTTTATGGCTTCTCTGTGACTTACTTGCTTCTAAGGATGCCTCCTCAATTCTAACTTCTTTGCCAACCTTGGACTCTGTTCTCTTACCCATCAAGCCTGCAAGGCTTTAGCTTTCTGCTACCTGAGCTGCACATTCTTGGAGAATAAATACACTCAGCTGAAAAGCAGAAAACTCATTGATCTTACTCTGGGTCATTCTATTTTTTGAAAGTAAATTTCTCTCTGGTTTCTGCCTGCTTTTATACTATGTTCTTTAGGTCTCCCACATGCATGCTCAGTATAGCAGGTGAATTGATCCAATGAGTTTTTAATTTCAGATATTGTATTTTTCTCTTCTAGAATGTCTAGTTGGTTCTTTGGTTATGAATTCAAATTTTCTTTTAACACACATCTTATTCTTTTTTATCAACTTTCATACATTTTTGACATATCAATCATGGTTAGTTTCAAATCATTGTCTGCTAAATCCAACATGATGTGTCTACTTCTATTTTCTGTTTTGATTTTTAAATCACCTTTTCCTGTGTTTTTGCATATCTAGCAATTTTGACTGTATTCTGTAGGATATATATAAATGAATCATAGAGGCTCCAGATGGCATCTTACTCCACCATGAGTTTCTCTTTTCTTCTGTAGATAGGGTGAGAGATTGATTACCTCAATCCAACCAGGGGTTTAGCTGGATTGGGACCACATTGTAATTTCAGTAAGCTAGGTCTTCTCTGGTTCACCCCTATTCCTTAGACATGTTCCTCCAAGGCTGTCGATTGAGACCCTAGAAGTCTTTGTCTCTTTAGTCCTGAAAGAGTACAGCACATTCTATTCTGCTCTTTGAAGATTCCAAGCTTCAAATGTGGCAGATTGTCTTGAGGTAGAATCCAGTTATGTGCTTGAAGCAGGCCCCTTCTCTCTAGTAGGATTTTGTCTCCTAAAGAATGCAGAATTATTGATTTCGTTCTACTTCTTCAAACACAGCCTCTTAGCTTCTTTCTAATAACCCCAGAATTCAACTAATGTTTCACAGGGACACTAACCACATTTGCTGCTCTCCAAATTTCCAATCTGTCATACCAGCCTTGCACAGTTTTATTGGTTTCTCTTTTCTCCGGCAGAGTCCCACTGCATAGCTAAGCCTGATGCTCCCTCAGTGCTTAGATTCAGCAAAGGGCTCAATGAAGAAAACAGCAGGTAATTATCAACTTACTCCAGAAGGACTTCCCATTCTCTCTGGAATTTCAATTCATCTAGTCTGTGTTGCTCTCACAGCTCTTTGATGTCTAAAAAATGTGATTTTTGTAATTTATCCAGTTTTCTGATTGTTGTACAGGAGCACTATGCAGCTATGACCTACTTCCACAAGTGGAAAGCCACTTATGGGCAACATAATCAAATTGGTGTCTATTGGCTGGGCACTGTGGCTCACGCCTGTAATCCCAGCACTTTGGGAGGCCAAAGCGGGTGGATCACTTGAGGACAGAAGTTGAAGACAAGCCTGGCCAACATGGTGAATCCCTGTCTCTACTAAAAATGCAAAACTTAACCAAGCGTGGTGGCACATGCCTGTAATCCCAGCTACTTGGGAGGCTGAGGCACAAGAATCGCTTGAGCCTAGGAGGCACAGGTTGCACCACTGCACTCCAGCCTGGGTGACAGAGTGAGGCTCTGTCTCAAAAGAAAAAAAAAAAAAAGCCCAAATTGGTGTTATTGCAGCCAGGCATGGTGGCTCATGCCTGTAATCCCAGCACTTTGGAAGGCCAGGGAAGGCAGATTGCCTGCCTGGGCAATATGGCAAAACCCGATCTCTACAAAAAAATAGAAAAATTAGCCCAGCATGGTGGTATCTGCCTATAGTCTCAGCTACTCAGGAGATTTAGGTGGGAGGATTGCTTGAGCCCAGGAGGTGGAGGTTACACTGAGTCGAGATATTGCCACTGCTCTCCAGCCTGGGTGACAGAGCCAGATCCTGTCTCCAAAAAAAAAAAAAAAAAATATTTTTTTAAAGGAAAAAAATTGGTGTTTATTGCAGTGACACAAAAACTGATCTTGATATTAGATCATACTAGCTATTTGACTCTAGATAATTCACTTAATATCTCTTAGGGATAATAGTGGCTACTTCTCTGGGTTCTTATATAGGTCAGGTGAAATAATATTTATATAAAGCACTTTCAAGATGCAAAGTGCTTTACATAAAAAGCAGTCCTTTCATTCATTCAAAGTCACTTATTGAATACTTAATATATGCTAGACACTTTACTAGGAGGTGGGTGGGAGAAATGAATAAGATTGGAAAACATGGTCTCACAAGAAGCTCGTAACTCTAGCAGGGAAGAATAATACATAATTAAATAACAGCATTATATTTTTACTATTGTAGATGTAGGTATAAGGTAAAATGGCACCATAGAGAAAGGAGTAACTCAGTATACTCTGATAGCGAAGAGAAATTATAGGACACTTCCCAGAGAAAGTGAGGATTTAGCCAAATCTTAGGGACTTCCAAGTGAAAATTAATTCATTGTTGTAGAGACTACCTGTTGTCTACCTGAATCCATTCTCTATCTGTTCCATAGAAGACAGTCATAGTTGGTTAAATAGCTATGCAGCTAGAGAATATAATCTCATCCTGCCTTGTACCTAGGTATGATATGGCCATATCAAAGTTCTCACTTAGATGAAAATAAGTAAACTTTGCCATGTATGGATCCTGGCCTTAAAACTATATATATATATGTATATTATAGTTTTAAGTTTTAAACTATATATATATATGTATATTATAGTTTTAAGTTTTAAACTATGTAAATACACACATACACACACACACACACACACACACACACACACACACACACATTCTCCATGCTGCTTCTCTCTTTAAGAGCTAGAGTACAGGCAGTCTTATTCTTAACTTCGCCATGCAGACAAGGATAGCAACCTAGGAGACAGCTGAGCAGCAAGATGAAAGAAACTCCAGTCCCTAAAAGGTCATATGCGTCAGAGACATCCTACTAACTCTGACTGCTCACCTCTAAACTGTTTCAAGAGAGAAAAGTAACTCCTGTTTTATTTAAGCCACTCTATTTTGGTAACTTTTTGTTACAGTATCTCATCTGTACCTAATTGCCCTAAATAAATACTTACAAAAAACAATCAGAAAAAAGATGAACAACTCAAATGGAAAATGGGTGAAGGCCATGAACAATTTATGTAGATGGCCAATAAACATATGGAAACAAATGTTCAAACTTACGATTAAAGAAGTACAAATGAAAATAAGATGTCTTTTTACCTATCAAATGATTATATGTACATAATACAACCTAGCAATTCACTTCAAAGGGTATTTATTTTAGAATATGGGAATATGTTTAGAGTTACTATAATTTATATAAGTCAGAATTCAGAAATAACTTATATTCTCAATACCAGGTTACTGAGTTAAATAAATTATTGTATAGTGGAATGATATTCCATCATTAAAAAATAATTTGGTATAGGCCCAAATAAGAGTAATCCCAGCTGACTGGACAGTCATGTTTGAATGACTATATTTGTAGACCCAGATTCTAGATACAGAAATACACTTTAAGAGATTGGGCCCAATGCAAGGATCAAAAAAATAATTGTCATTCTTTTCCAAAATCTTATTAGAGGGAAAAAACATCCCTAGAAGTTATGACTGTAACCTGGCAACTAAAAAATTACATGATTTGTGCAGGCCCCTGCCTGAGAAATTATTCCATGAACTGAAGTTTAACTGAAGTGGTTATGATTCATCACAGAGGACCCATAATAAAAACATAGTGAGTATTTTTCTGAGGCTTTTCATAACCATGAATCAATGACACAAGTTCTGGAATTTAACTTTGAATGTGGCTTCAAATTCTAGAGGACAAGAAGTGTAAGTGAACTTTGTAGCGCCCTTGGTGTTGTGTTGGTTTGTTTTCTCATGCTCATCAATAATCCACAGAAAGAAAAATAACAAATCTCACTTTGCTGTTGTGTTGAGTTGTTGCCTCTTATAAAGTCATTACCCAAAAGTAAATGGAGAATATAAGATAATTGGTCTAAATTTATTTTAAACTGTTATTTTTTATAAGGCCAAACCAAATGTGATGAAAATGATAAGATTTTAAAACAATTAAATGAAATATGGAAATGGGAAGACCATCTTACTTCGGTTTCAGAACATCCTAGTAAAATGGCTAAGTATGTAGAGGCATGTTTATTGTGGTTTCATTGAAAGGCTTTGCCTACTAAAGAGTGTTTGATTATTCAAAATATCTCAAAATATATAGTTTACAGAAAGATTCGGAGAACTATGAACTGTGGAGGGAATAAAACCTTTTTTTTAAAGCCACATAATGAAACCACCAATGAAACAACAATCTACTTCACAGCAAAGTGGAAAAACATCTGAAAGAACATTTTCAAACTCAATGGGGTGACAGTGCACTGTGAAAAATTCCTCCAATGAAATTTCTAACATTGTTTAAGAATGCTTTGTGTTGGCCAAGCATGGTGGCTTATGACTGTAATCCCAGTAGTTTGGGAGGCCAAGGCGGGAGGATCATTTGAGACCAGGAGTTCAAGACCAGCCTAGGCAACATAGTGAAACCCTGTCTCTAATAGCTGGGTGTGGTGGCATGCACCTATAGTCTCAGCTACGTGGGAGGCTGAGGTGGGAGGATCACTTCACCCCAGGAGGTAGAGGCTGCAGTGAGCCCCATGATTGTGCCACTGCACACCAATTTGGGTGGCAGAGTGAGACCCTGTCTCAAAAAAAAAACCCACAAAAAACAGAATACTATGCCTTCATATTGCACAATAACATAATTTATACTTCCAGAAAGACAGCATTTATTATTAAAAACAGCAAATGACAATCATCATTAATTTGTTTTACTATTATTTTATAAGAAAATATTTAAATATGTATAGCTATTTTCTTATGTTGAAAAATATTTAAAATATTTTTAATAGCAAATAATCAACATTAATATTTGTTCTCAGTTCATACTGAGATATTATGTAAGAAAAATACTAATGGCATTGATTACGATATTATTAATAAGCTAATATATGCTATTAGATAAATAACTATTAAAAATTAAAACCATTATGCTTCTGACAAGATAAAGTACATCTATGAAATATTGGGGTTTTATATTCATATAGAATGTTGCTGTTGAAACTAGCTTCACAGAGTTTATGAACTCAAGAATATTTTTTATTTCTCTGATTTTTGCCAGAATCAACATGACATGAACGTGTACATTGTATCTCTGTGAAAGAAAAGAGGTGCATATTACTTTGCAGATACTTAAGTTGAAATGTTTATGGAATTAGCTAATTTAGATTCACCTTTTTTACTGCATGCAGATTTCTAATATCTCTAGTTCTATGTCTTTCAAGTTTTATTTGAGTAAATTCATTCTTTCTAGTTTTTGCTTTTAAAAATTATTTTATGGAAGTTCATTTATCTACATTAGAGGATCTTCACAGTATATTAAGGGGAAATGGCAGGCTATGAGCTTATTTTGTGCAAATATGATATAAGGATAGAAAAAAGTCTATAGCGGATACTGGTTGCACAGTAAGGACCACTTGAGGAGCTTTTTTTTTTATTTTTGAGATGGAGTCTCACTCTGTCACCCAGGCTGGAGTGCAGTGGCACGATCTTAGCTCACTGCAACCTCTGCCTCCCGGGTTCAAGCGATTCTCCTGCCTCAGCCTCCCGAGTAGCTGCAACTACAGGTGCGTGCCACCACGCCTGGCTAATTTTTTGTATTTTTAGTAGAGACAGGGTTTCACCATGTTAGCCAGGATGGTCTCAATCTCCTGACCTTGTGATCCACCCGCCTCGGCTAAACATCCAATGACCAAACCCTACCTCAGCCTGATTAAGTCAGAATCTCTGAGTGGGTGTCCTAGACATCTGCTTCAATAGCTCCCCAGGTCAGCTAAGGCTGAGAACTACTGATTTAGAAGCACGCACACAGCCTCCCTGAACACACACACAGAGTACATCTACCTGTAATGTGGATCACAGGAAGTTTTATATTCTTCTTTTGGCTTATCTGCTTTGTCTACAATAAACATGTACATTTTCCTAAAATACACATGTACTTGAATGCACGTAGATGGAAGGGAGGGAGAGAAGGTGAAAGGAAAGATTTTTAAATTAATTTTAAAAAATTTTTTGTAGAGACAGGAGTCTCACTATGTTGCCCAGGATGGTCTGAGACTCCTGGCCTTGGAAAATGCTTCCACCTCAGCATCCCAAACTGCTGGGATTACAGATATGAGCCCCTGCACCTGGCCAATTAAAAAAAAAACTGTTTTAAACAAATGAACCCCACGTCAACACAGCAAGGATGCAAGACAACAGTGGGGGAAACACACATGGTGTCTTTCTGCCGTCCTCACAGGTGGCTGAAAAAAGCTTCAGGAGCAGAAGAGTGAGTCAGAAGGAGCTCACATCTGCTGAGTTTCTGTCATGTGTCATTGCTTAATTTTTCACTGCCTTTAATTCCCACACCTACCTCGCAGGGTTGATAGATGATTTTTCTCTTATAGATGGGGAAATGGGCTCTCAGACAGATGAAGTCACTTGCTGAGTCGCATGGCAAGCACTCTGACATACGAACACTGTCTGAGCCAAAGTCACTACCTGACTCCTAAAACTCACCTTCTGTGGTGAGGAGGAGTGGTGGTTGGCACCAGGGCTCTTTCCTTTTGTGTAACTAACAGAAAGCTGTTAATCTTTCTTGTTTTTTTTTTCACTTTCCTGGAAAATTGATACTTCATTAAAGCTTTCTAGATGCCACTTATTCTACCCAAGACCACCTTCTGCTGCTTATTTTTAGATGACTACAGATTCTTCATTCACTATGGAAGCTTCACAAATCACTTTGTCAGACAAATTGTTTGACCTTCCACTGGAGAGCAGTTGTTACCACTTTCTAATAATGGCCCATAAACATATTTTTTAAAACCACCCGGATTCCTTTGAAAACATGGCCAGGACAAAGTCTTGTCACTTGTGTCTAAATGCACGGTAATTTTGCTGTCAGTCAGCATGATTTGACAGCTGACAGCAGTTGATGATAAACAACAAAAGAAAAGGAGGGTCTAAGTGGCAAAAGCTACAGAAGCCAGACAGAATCAAGCAAGAAGAAGATATATTTTAGAAACAACAGCTCTAATAACTCTAATAAGTAAATTAACCATTTAAAATAGTATGTCAATCAAGTTTTTTAAATAAATGAAGCTGTGGAGTCCAGCCTTCTTTTTCACATGCTTTTTTTTTTTTTTTTTTTTTTAAAGAAAACCAGTTTTGCTCTGTCACCCAGGCTGTAGTGTAGTGGTGTGATTACAGCTCACGGCAGCTTCGACCTCCCAGGCTCAAGTATTCCTCCTGCCTCAGCCTCCCAAGCAGCTGGGACTACAGGTGTGCACCACTACACCTGCCTAATTTTAAAAATTTTATATAGAAATGGATTCTTGCTCTGTTGCCCAGGCTGGTCTTGAACTCCTGGCCTCAAGTGATCCTCCCACTTTGGCCTCCCCAAGTGCTGGGATTACCAGCATGAGCTACCACGTCCAGCTTCACATGTTTATTAATGCCGATGCTGTATATCTACATTTCAGTAATATATATTTTTGATTAAAGGAAACATTTTAAGTTAAAAGGATCAGCCTGAGCAATATAGCGAGATTCCACTAAAATATATATATATATAAACTAGCCAGGTGTGGTGTCTGTGGTCCCAGATACTCAGGAGGCTGAGTTGGGAGGATCACTTGAGCCCCGAGTTTGAGGCTGCAGTGAGCTATGACTGTGTCACTGCACTCCAGCCTGGGCAACAGAGCAAAACCCTGTCTCAAATAAAGGGAGTGGGGGAAGCATTCTGATTTCTTCCTGACCTTGTTCTTTATCGCCTCCCTCAAGTTCACATTATTTATTGGTTGGTGGTCCCAAATAACTTTAGAACAGCATAGTGGAACCCCAAATAACTTCAAAGGCAGACTGGCTTATTTGTTCACAGAATTTCAAATATCTAAGATGGTGCCCTTGACCAATTGCTTTTCCCTCTGATCACATTTGACCTCTGTCTTCTCAGACACTTTTATTGCACATGATGGTATAAAAAAGAGAACATAAGCTCTGGAGTTGGGCTGTTCTGGATTTGAATCCTGGCGATGCAAGTTATTGGTTATGGGAGCTTGACAATAATTGTTTTATTTCTCTAAGCCTTAGTTTCTACATTGTCAAAGTTGAAAGAAAACTTTTTCCATGCACTCCTTAGAAAAATGTCAGACTAAACACGCCAAGTGCCTAGCCCAGTGCTTGGTACAGGGTAGGCACTTAAAAAATGTTAGTTTACATCCCACGCCTGATTAACTTTAATGTTGCTCCCATCCTACTTCCATCTTCAGCATATTATCATTAAGACAGTGGTTCTCTCTGAATGTTATGCTACATCCTCCAAGAGACTACATGCTCGTTGGAAATGAAGACAATGCCCAGTCTTTTATAAAGATCTTGTAAGCCCTGGCTCCAATGATGGACAGTAACTGATATGCATGGCTAACCCAAACTTGTAGCCCAGTGTAATCTGGGTGTATGCCTAGGCTAGCGCTTGTCATATCAACTAGCTATTAATATACTCTGTTCAGAAAACCTGGCAATGGCTGTTACATTTTTTAGTTCTAGCAAGATATTTTCCGATATCCAGTAAAAACATAGATTTTTTAAAAACTATTCAAATCAATACACACTAGGCAGGATCATTTGAAAGTGTGCTCTCTGCAAAGTCAGCAAGTCAATATTTTAAGGAGGGTATTGATTTTTTATTTGTAAACACATGAGCCCAGGCTACTCTACAGGACCATGCTGTGGGCCTGTTCAGAGATGAGACCACATCATTAAAAAAACGAAACAACAACCAAAAAGCTTTGATGCGCTCTTGGACAGGATCCACGGCAAATACACCTTCAAGTAAATTGCCCCGAGTCTCAAAGTGTTCCAGATGCAACATGTTATTTTACAGTCTTGGACAGTTTCCAAACTATCTATCAACTGAAAATGATTCACTGATCTATGATATAAAGTTCTGTGTGCCTTGAGGGAAAAGATCAGGACTTTTTGAAATCTCATCTACCTTTGTAGATCAGAGCATATAGTACCATGAATTAAGTAGGTGTTAAATAACTGTGGGTTGGATTGAACTTATTGATCAGGGGTGATATGTTTGTTGGCAGAAATAATTAGTGAAATACTTTATTTTTATATTTTAATTTAAAAAGTGATGCTCACAATCTTACTGCAGCTGAGATTTTTCAAGGCTGGGGTACTTTCCATAAGTTATAGAGCTTGCTAATTATGTTTGGAGGTTTGAATATAGTTGCACATATTTAGAGTCAAATTCCTTCTATTAATAAATATTCTTGCCTGTGAGTATTTCTCCTTCAAATTCTGTCTTCTTCAGTTTCAAACAGTTTAAAACATAAACGGGCTTAAATCAAGCTACAAAATGTGACTTCTAAGCCAACAGTTGAGAAAGACCATCTTTTCTATTTCTACAAAAAAATAATGAGATGATTGAACATCATTCCAAATGGGAGTCATCACCTGTCCTAAAGATTGCTTTAAATAAACATCTCATTCAGTGAACTGATAAAGTGGTAAATTAGATACATTGCTAATTACTATGTTGTCCTGTAGCTGTAAGTAAAAGCCAAGAGGCTGGGTGCAAAGTGGCTCACACCTGTAAATTCTAGCACTTTGGGAGACCAAGGCAGGAGGATCGCTTGAGCCCAGGAGTTCAACCTAGAGTGAGGGACCAATTACTTCCTATTGAAAAGGCAAACATGTATTATAAAAAGCTTTGATATTTGGCCAGGCACAGTGGTTCATGCCTGTAATCCTAGCACTTTGGTAGGCCAAGGTGGGTGGATCACCTGAGGTCAGGAGTTTGAGACCAGCCTGGCCAACATAACAAAACCCTATCTCTACTAAAAATACAAAAAAGTAGCCAGACATGGTGGCAGGCACCTGCAATCACAGCTACTCAGGAGGCTGAGGCATGAGAATCGCTTGAACCCAGGAGTCGGAGATTGCAGTGAGCCGAGATGGTGCCACTGCACTCCAGCCTGGGGGATAGAGCGAGACTCTGAAAAAAAAAAAAAAAAAAAAAGCTGTGATATTCAATGCCAACGAAGCTTCAGTAAGACCGGTGCTCTGAGGCACTGCTGACGGCAACAGAAAAAGATACTTTCCTGGAAAGAATTTAGGAAGCCACAAAAAAGTTCCTAGCCTCTGATCCAACTTCTGGGATTTCATCCTAAGAAATTTGTCCAAAGAGGAATAAAAGCCATGTGCATGAACATGTCCATTGCAGCACAATTTATACTGACAGGAAATGAGAAGCAACAATATGGCAATGTTTAAGGAAGTTACAGTGTATCTACTCGATGGAATTTTAATTTCAAGAACAATTATCGGCCCCTGTAATCCCAGCACTTTGGGAGGCCAAGGGGGGTGGATCATTTGAGGTCAGGAGTTCGAGACCACCCTGGCCAACATGATGGAACTCTGTCTCTACTAAAAGTACAAAAATTAGGTGGGCGTGGTTGTGCTCACCTGTGGTCCAAGCTACTCAGGAGGCTGAGGTAGGAGGATTGCTTGAACCCAGGAGGCAGAGGTTGCAATGAGCTGAGATCATGCCACTACGCTCCAGCCTGTGTGACAGAGCAAGACTCTGTTTCAAAAAGAAAAAGAACAATTATCAAATCAATTGCAATATAAAAACATGCTTGGAAAATGTCAAACTAACAAATGAAAATTGTTAAATACAAAGGTATGTGTTGTGTTATAGCAACAGCTATGTAATCAATGAATATAATTCAGAAAGATTAGCCAAGGATACACCAGAAGTGATGGCAGTTGCTTTGTTAGAAATATAGCAGTATAGGAGTATAGGTAATTTAAAAGTATTTCTATTTCCCAAATATACCCTACTATGATTATATTTAATAAGTTTAAAATACTACATAAGGCCTTCAGAGAAGGAAATTAAATATCTTTTCCTATTTATTTTTCCAGTGAGCAATAAACTTAACTTTCAGTGAAGTCTTCCTTAAACACAACTTGCATTTCTCCCGCTTTGGCTTAAGTATATTTTATCTTGCTCTGTTGTAAGGATAAACATTTCCATCCTCTCTATTTGTTATTTTGGCTAAGGACACCACATTTCCATGTTAGAATTTCTTCAGTTTTTTTCTATTGCCTTGAGATTGCATGCAGGTATGTTGAGAACTGAGGATTTTAATTATAAATATACATAGATTTAACCTAATAAAGGACTTTCTTTTTGGAGGCATGTTTGACAATTGGCTGGTTAATGTACAATTGGCTGGTTAATAATGCAATCTGATGGTGTACTTATAACTCTAAAATTCTATGGTAGTTTCTAGGCTGTTCTTGAAAGGCTTATCATTTTAAGTAAGAAATCACACAAATAGGCCAGGTGCAGTGGCTCACACCTGTAATCTCAGCACTTCGGGAGGCCAAGATGGAAAGATCACTTGAGGCCAGAAGTTCAAGACCAGCCTGGGCAACATAGTGAGATCTCATCGCTACAAAAATTAAGCAAAGTTAGCTGGGTGTGGAGGGACACACCCGTGGTCCCAGCTACTCAGGAGGCTGAGGTGGGAGGATCATTTGAGCCCTGGAGTTCAAGGCTGAAGTGAGCTCAGATTGCACCACTGCACTCTAGCCTGGGCATCAGAGTGAGATCCTGTTTCAAAAAAAAGAAGAAAGAAAGAAAGAAGAAGAAAAAAGAAGAAATCATGACCGGGCACAGTGGCTGACGCCTGTAATCCCAGCACTTTGGGAGGCTGAGGCGGGCAGATCACCTGAGGTCAGGAGTTTGAGACTAGCCTGGCCAACATGGTGAAACCCTGTCTCTACTAAAAATACAAAAATTAGCCAGGCGTGGTGGTGTGCACCTGTAGTCCCAGCTACTTGGGAGGCTGAGGCAGGAGAATCACTTGAACCCAGGAAGTGAAGGTTGCAGTGGGCCGAGATCATACCACTGCAGCCCAGCCCAGGCAGCAGAGCAAAACTCCGTCTAAAAAAAAAAAAATCACACAGATATATCATTTAAGATTAAGGCAGGGATGTGGGCTTTCTTGTACGTGAGAGCTCTTCTCACCCTCAAACTAAGTAAATTGGTATTATTCAGCTTTCCTCATGTGATTAAAAAAAAATCAAACTTTATGGTTGTACACTGAAACTTCTCCAGGTTCCCTCTTTTCTTTTGAGTTGTGGAAACTTGAACTGTATTTATGCAAAAATAAAATATCCAAGATCGTATTCTTTTGGGGCCAATTCTGATGGTGGTATTTGCTATTGCTGTCTTTGGATATCTCTTTAGTTCTGCAGAAAACTTACCTACTAATAATGGTTAATAATGTGTGCCTCAGCAGCAACAGATGCAATAAGATTATAGTTAAGAACCTGGGTTCAAGTACTAGCTCTTTCATTTACTAGTTGTGTTCCCATTGTTGAACAAATAAATAAAACAATAAACTTATATTTCCTATTACTTGTTAATAAAAGTGAATCAGAAAGCCTAATGAGAATAAATGTTTTAAAAGATGATGAGGGAGCTTTAAAAAAATAAATTTTGCTGCACTCTAAGATGTAAAATATATGTAATTATATGTGCATGTTAGTGTGCGGATATCCAGGACATTGACACTAAGGTGATGGTTATGCAATTGATTGACACTGAAATATGTTGGTTCAGTGCCACTAAGGAGCCAGCCTCAGATCTTAAACATCTCAACAATTACTATGAGTCCATGGGGGCCATACAAGTTGTAGGCTCCTTATCACATTTGTCTTAAATAGTATTTTTTAAATTACAAGAACCCTTAGCCCAGATAATCCATGTTGTCATACAGTGAATAGATATCAGATGTGTTGACATGTTGGTTCTCTCAGCCCACAGGGCAGCCAGGCAGGGCCTGGGGATGTGCTCGATCCCCTGGGAAGACCTCCTTCAGTTGAGAGCTACCTTATCTGTTTATGCTGATGTGCTGAACAAATATAATCATTTTCTATGTGTGCATGTGATAGACTCTGGTCTCACTGCAGATCACGTCTACATTCAAGTAATATACTTCGATTTGTCTTGACTTTTCACACTAGTTCTCATTCTAGCTCTTCCTATTTTGTTTAAATTATTTATGCTTTTCTCACAGCCAGTGCTGCTTTTTCAAATGTGGGATGTCCAAGGACTGGAGCATCTGTTAGTGAGCAGCAAGGTTCCTGGCAATGTCTGTATGTGCTTGGAGGCATCATTAAAATGTCCCCGGAACTGTGACTTAGAGCTGGATAAGACAAGAGGGATATGTGGAATCTAACCAGGTCTCAGTTAGGAGACATGAAAAGAATTTCAGAAAAAAAAAATTAATCTTAAATTATTTTAATATAATCAAATAATAAAACAATCTAGAATGAGTTGCCGAATTAATCCAGCCTTGACACTTACGTAACATGTTACTTGGTTACATGGAGGGCGTGGGCTTGGAAACTTCCACATGCCCGTCATGGCTGAGAGGGAAATTGTCTTAGATGCCTCAGCTTAAGCTCCTTACCAAAATCTCTGGTATGATAGTGGGAAGACTGAATTGTTTTTTTCTTGAAAGTGAATTAGTCCTAAAAAGAGCTAGAATTTAGTACAGGAATGCTTTTTTAAAAGCAAAAAATTAGTTCTAATATTTCAGGTTTATGTTTGTGGATAAACTGTGACTAATGTGGTAGCTTTAAGTAATGTAATGTTTAAGAAATTCTGAATATATTAATTATTCAATAGATTAGCCAAATGGCCCTGAATTTAAAATTTGAAACATCACCATTGATCCAGACTTCTCTTAGGTTGAAAGCCTTAAGACAATTTTATGTAATTTATAAGGGTTCAGCATAAATACAAGATTATTAGGTTTATTATGCTTATTTAAATAACCAGGAAGGTTTCTTTGTAAGTCAGAAAACTAAAGAACTTAAAAAATTTGAAAATAATAAATGTATAAGTTACTTAAAATATTTAACAAAGTTTGCAAATCGGACTAAGCAATAATCAAAGGTCACCTTAAAAATGAATTTTATAATATTACCTTATTTATAAATTGAATTTTTAAATATATAAAATAAACTTAAATGTAAGGGGAAACTGGGCTTTTGCATTTGTTACTTAAATCAATCAAATGTTAATTTTAAAAACCAAAGTGAGCCCTGAATAATTTGGAAGAGGGTTTAGAGATGCCAAAAATTCCTGTTGATCAAAAGATATCACATCGAAAGGGTGATTAAAACATTTATTCCGAAAGGAAAATGTGTGGTATCCATTTTGTTAAAAATGATAAATTATAATGTTTTATACAAAATAAATGAATCTTATCATTGCCTCCTTATGACGAAATTAGTGTTTTTGTCATTAAAAATGAATTTGTTAGGTTTGCAGTCTCATTGATCTCTCAGGATTTAGAAATAATTATTTTTTGCTGAATTAAAGATAGCTCTATTTTTTAATTGTTATTAGCTTCAAAAAGAGTAGCAAATTCACAGGAGGGAAAGTTTAAGCTCATTTCGGATAAAAATTGGGATCTTAAGTTTAAGCATGAAGGACATCCACTCTCCCTTGCTTATTTCAGTCTCTCTCTCAGACACATTTAGAAGCAGAAGAGTTATGTATAGTTAAGTTCAGCCTCCCCTGTTTTCAGTGAGAAAACCAAGGCTAAGAAATGTTACATAATTTAAGTAAAAATATGTGGTGAGAGGTACAATATGGTGTGGTTGATAGTTGACAGGATTTGGTGTCATAAACCCTGTTGGGTTTTTTGTTTGTTTAAGATTTTTGTTGTTGTTGTTGTTGTTGTTGTTGTTGTTGTTGTTGCTGGGCGCAGTGGCTCACACCTGTAATCCTAGAACTTCGGGAGGCCAAGGTGGGCAGATCACCTGATGTCAGGAGTTCAAGACCAGCCTGACCAACATGGTGAAACCCCGTCTCTACTAAAAATACATACATTAGCTGGGCATGGTGGCGTGCAACTGTAGTCCCAGCTACTTGGGAGGCTGAGCCACGAGAATCGCTTGAACCCAGGAGAATTCCTTGAACCCAGGAGGCGGAGGTTGTGGTGAGCCGAGATTGTGCCACTGCACTCCAGCCTGGGCAACAGAATGAGACTCTGGCTCAAAAATTACCATATGTTTGTTTCCTAATAATAAACATTTATTGAATTCTTTAAATATTTCAATATGCTTTATATGTATTTATTTCCCTTAAACACCAGAGCAACCTAGTGAACTAAGTGATATCCCCATTTTATAGATGGGAAAACTGAGACTCAAAGCGATTAAGATAATGAGAGGATCACGTGAGCCCAGGAGTTTGAGGCTGCAGGGAGTTGTGACAGTGCCACTGTACTCCAGCCTAGGTGAGAGTGAGACCCTTCTAAAAAAAATTTTTTTTTTTAATATTCAGAAGATCTGATTTTAAAACTTGCCTTCATTACGTGTTTGTTGCCTTGTGACTCTGGGATGTCTTCCTACCAAGACCTTACCCTAGGTTAGCTCAGCAGGTTTTTGTGACGAGCAAACATAAACAAGTATAGGAAAACACTGTCTAAAAGTAATATATTATTCATTCACAATGGGGTGAAGCCTAGAACCCATTTATTCTGACTCAATTTAATGTTATTTTGCTGACTAATTCTTAATCAAGTGTTCTTTACCTTCAAATAATTTTATTTTCCATCTGTGCCCGCTTTTGCCTATAGTGATGAATATTTATTGAGTATGCATCTTGTTCTTGGCACCACGTAAGTATCACACACGTCAAGGTATATGAAAACTTGGCTTATGTTATCAAGAGACTTCATGGGATGATGAGAAATGCAGAAAAAAACTGAAATCCTGATCTTCTCTTTTTTCCATCACTTCTCTGCACCTCATATTTTCCATCTATAAAATAAGTGATAATACCACCACATGAAAAATCATAGAAAGAATTTAGCAACGTAACTAGTAAAAGTGAATACATACAAACCATATGTGATAGAATGGATGAATCCTACTAAGAACAGTTACCAGGTAACTGAAGCTAAACAACTCTCAGAGGACTGAGGGATGTTACATTTCTGACCAAGTAGAGTAGAAACACCTTGCTAAATACTTATGTATTCACTAAAGGCCCCAGAAAAGCTGCACCTTTGGAGCAAAGCTAAAATAGGGTACTCCACACCGACCCTAACAAAGATTAACAACAACCTTTAAGCCGGTCATGGTGATGCATGTCTGTAGTCCCAGCTACTCAGGAGGCTGAAGCAGGAGGACTACTTGAGCCCAAGAGTTGAGCCCAGCCTTGGCAATATAGCAGATCCAGTTTTTTATAAAACAAACAAACAAACAAATCATTTGAAAGAATCAGTAAGCCTGCTAGAAAAAAACTCAAAATAATATTGTTATGTTTAAAGGAAGATTACAAAGTCTAGACACTAAATGATACAACCTTCACCATGTCCATCATCTAATCCAAGATTCTAACGCAGAGAAGCAAGAAAATGTGACCCAAAAACAAAACCAGCCTTTTGGCCAGAACCGTCATCTTCCAGTAATTTGCCAAAATGATGAATACAAAGGCAAAAAGGAAAGGCACTGGATATATGTTCTCTAGGCCTTTACAAAAACATGGAGTTGTTCCTTTGGCCACATATATGCTAATCTATAAGAAAGGTGATATTGCAGACATCAAGGGAAGGGGTACTGTTCAAAAAGGAATGCCCCACAGGTGTTACCATGGCAAAACTGGAAGAGTCTACAATTTTACCCAGCATGCTTTTGGCATTGTTTTAAACAAACAAGTTAAGGGCAAGATTCTTGCCAAGAGAATTAATGTGCATATTGAGCACATTAAACACTCTAAGAGCCGAGGTAGCTTCCTGAAATGCGTGAAGGAAAATGATCAGAAAAAGAAGGAAGCCAAAGAGAAAAGTACCTGGGTTCAACTGAAGCACCAGCCTGCTCCACCCAGAGAAGCACACTGTGTGAGAACCAACGGGAAAGAGCTTGAGCTGCTGGAATCTATTCCCTATGAATTCATGCATAATAGGTGTTAAAGAAATAAAATAAAAGACCTCTGGACTATTTAAAAAAAAAAAAAAAAAAAGGCCAGGCGCGGTGGCTCGCGCCTGTAATCCCAGCACTTTGGGAGGCCAGGGCGGGCAGATCACAATGTCAGGAGATCAAGACCATCCTGGCTAACACAGTGAAACCCCATCTCTACTAAAAATACAAAAAATTAGCCAGGCGTGGTGGCAGGTGCCTGTAGTCTCAGCTACTTGGGAGGCTGAGGCAGGAGAATGGCGTGAACCCGGGAGGCGGAGCTTGCAGTGAGCCAAGATAGCGCCACTGCACTCCAGCTTGGGTGACAGAGCGAGACACCGTCTCAAAACAAACAAACAAACAACAACAAAAAAAATTAAACCATGTAACCAATAGAGATGTGTGTGTGTGTGTGTGTGTGTGTGTGTGTGTGTGTGGTGTTGTGTGTGGTTAGGCAAGCAAAAACAACAAAAAGCAAGCAAACAATAAATCTAACATTTAGGATCAAAATATTATTTGAGGGAGATGCAATGGGATGAGACAAGAAAGGCACATGTAGATAAATATAGGTTACTTATTCTGATTGTTGGGTTGGATGTTTATTATATTATTGAATGGTATTGTGAATGGATCAAGGATGATGGCATATAAACACCCAAAGTTTATGGTTAACACAATTCTGTGCATCTGAAGTGCAGGAGAACAAGGTGGGAAGTAAAAAAGAAGAGTAGAAAAGAACACAGCATTATGAAGTCTGTGGCAGAAAACAATATAACTTTCTAGAGCATAAAAAAAAGGCCAATGTGAGCACGGCTGGAACTGGAGGACGTTATGTTAAGTGAAATAAGCCAGGAACAGAAAGTTAAACACCACATGTTCTCACACATATGTGGAAGCTAAAAAAAAAAAAAATGTTGAGCTCATAGAAGTAAAAAGTAGGACAGAGGATACCAGAGGCTGGGGAGGGTCATGGGAAGGGTGGGTCGGGGGCAGGATAGGGAGAGATTTGTTAAAGGACAAAATTACAGGTAGATAGGAGGAATAAGTTCTATTGTTCTATACCACTGTAGGTAATACATAGTTTCGAATAGCTAGAGGAGGAGGAGGATACAGAATGTTCCCAACCCAAGAAATGACCATTGTTTCAGATGATGGATATGCTAATTACCCTGATCTAATCACCATACATTATGTTTCAAAACAATACTATATACCCCCATGAATATGTACAATTATTATTTGTCAGTTTAAAGGTTTTTAAAAGATTAAAATTAAAAAAAAAAAGAAAAAAACCCGGCCGGGCGCCGTGGCTCACGCCTGTAATCCCAACACTTTGGGAGGCCGAGGCGGGCGGATCATGAGGTCCCGAGATCCAGACCATCCTGGCTACTTTCGTGTCTACTAAAAATACAAACAGGGCCTGTAGTCCCAGCTACTTGGGAGGCTGAGGCAGGAGAATGGCATGAACGCAGGAGGTGGAGCTTGCAGTGAGCTGAGATCGGGCCACTGCACTCCAGCCTGGGCGAGAAAAAAAAAAAAAAAAGAAAGGAAAGAAGAAAGAAAGAAAGAAAGAGAGAGAGAGAGAGAGAGAGAGAGAGAGAGAGAAAGAAAGAAAGAAAGAAAGAAAGAAAGAAAGAAAGAAAGAAAGAAAGAAAGAAAGAAAGAAAAAAGGCCGCCCGGTGCGGTGGCTCATGCCTGTAATCCGAGCACTTTGGAAGACCGAGGCGGGCGGATCACGAGGTCAGGAATTCAAGACCAGCCTGATCAACACAGTGAAACCCCATCTCTACTAAAAACACACAAAAAATTAGCCAGGT
Organism: Homo sapiens; assembly: GCF_000001405.40. NCBI lineage: Eukaryota > Metazoa > Chordata > Mammalia > Primates > Hominidae > Homo > Homo sapiens. Next base: position 25,263,534 of record NC_000006.12, read on the forward strand.
GTGGTGGCTGGTGCCTGTGGTCCCAGCTACTTGAGAGGCTGAGGCAGGAGAATTGCTTGAACCCAAGAGGCGGAGATTGCAGTGAACCAAGATAGTGCCACCCCACTCCAGCCTGAGCAACACAGTGAGACTCTGTCTCAGAAAAAAAAGAAAAAAAAACATTTTCTGTGTGCCTGACACATAGAAAATCAGCAAGATGTATCTCTCAGGGCAGACTCTCACTGACTCATCCCATAGAGGCTGTCATTCAAGCATTTATTAAATCATGATGTGAAATGCAACAGTCATAAATTCTGGAATGTTTAACCCATTTAGCACGGGGGAGGGTAGAAAAGTCACATAGTAGCACTCAATAAATGTTAGTTCACATCCCCTTTATAACTGTAAAGTTCTGCAAAGGCAATACTAGTGTTTATTTTCGTATGGAGAAATAAAATAGAACAAGCATGATATCATGAAAACAACACTTAAAATGAGAGTTCTAGCTTTGCCAATAACTAGCTGTATGATATTAGGAAAATTATTCTCACTGGACTCCATCTGTAGTAACTGGAGTTTGGTATATTGGAAATTTCCAAGTGAGTTCCACAAAACACTAATGTCTTTTAGGATGTTAATAGGAGCTAAATGAGAAAGAATCTGTGATCAAGTCCTATTTGTAAGTGGACTGAATGTTTGTGTCCCCCCCAGATTCATATTTTGAAGTCTTCACCTCCTGTATGGCTGTATTTGGAGATGGGGCCTCTAAGGAAGTATTTAAGGTTGAATTAGGTCATAAGGGTGCAGAACTGATCCAATTGGATTAGTGTCATTAATAGAAGAGACATAAGAAGAGCACCTCTCACTCTCTCCAATATCATCCTCCAAGAAAAGACCCTGTGAAGACAAAACAAGAAGGCAGGTATGTGTAAGCCAGGAAGAGAGCCTTCACTGGAAACCTAACAAGTCAGCACCTTGATCTTGAACTTCCAGCCTCCAGACTGTAAGAAAATTAATTTTTCTTGTTTAAGACCCTAGCCCATGATATTTTTTTATGGCAGCCCAAGCTGCCAAATACGGTTTTATGTATAACCCTTCTCAAAGATTTCTAATACTCGGAGAAGTTCTTTTTTTTTTTTTTTTTTTTTTTTTTTTTGAGACGGAGTCTCACTGTCGCCCAGGCTGGAGTGCAGTGGCGCAATCTCGGCTCACTGCAAGCTCCGCCTCCCAGGTTCACGCCATTCTCCTGCCTCAATACTCTAAGAAGTTCTACAGTGAAAAAAAAAAAAAAAAGAAAGAAAGAAAACAAGGGAAATTTATCTAATGTACTGCTTCTGAAACTTATTTGTCTATTAAACACTTTTTTAAAATCACCATCTTTTGAAACAGGGCTTGGGAAACACTAGCCAGGATTTTTCAGTTCTGTCAGTTCTGAAACTAGGATTCCTTCTAAAACCTATACGATGTAACTGATAAAGTTAGATTTAAACATGAGTGAGACTCCACTTATAAACTAGGTTATAACAAGGAAATTCAAAGGAGATTGTAAATGCAGAGGCAGCACAGTGAATGAAGTAAACACTTGAAAAACAGCATCATATGTCATGCGTGGTGGCTCATGCCTGTAATCCCAACATTTTGGGAGGCTGAGTTGGGCGGATCACCTGAGGTCAGGAGTTCGAGACCAGCCTGCCCAACATGGTGAAACCCCGTCTCTATTAAAAATACAAAACTTAGCCAGGTGTGGTGGCAGACACCTGTAATTCCAGCTACTCGGGAGGCTGAGACAGAAGAATTGCTTGAACCCAGGAGGTGGAGGTTGCAATGAGCCGAGATCGCACCACTTCACTCCAGCCTGGGAAACAGAGCTCCATCTCAAGAAAAAAAGAAGGAAGGAAGGAAGGAAGGAAGGAAGGAAGGAAGGAGAGAGAGAGAGAGAGAGAGAGAGAGAGAGAGAGAAAGAAAGAAAGAAAGAAAGAAAGAAAGAAAGAAAGAAAGAAAAGAAAGAAAGGAAAGAAAGAAAGAAAGAAAGAAAGAAAGAAAGAAAGAAAGAAAGAAAGAAAGAAAGAAAGAAAGAAAGACCATCACTGCTTTGTGTGGAGACAGCTTCTGTGTTCTTTCAGGACAACTTGAGAAGTTTTACCAACAAAAACTCTCCTGGGATCTCCATTTGTTCATTCCATAAATATTGAGTGCTTACGGTGTGTCAGGGACTGTTCTAAACACTAGCATGATAGATGGCATCATGAGACACCAACGTGTGTCAGAAGAGAGCTCTCATTGCAAACACTAATTTGTACAGATTTTTAATTGCAGCATGAGCAAAAGTAGCTAGCAACTCTGCTAGTTACCAGCAGATGGCAGTAGCAGTCACTTCTTTACTGGCATTTTAGATTGGGAATGTGTAGAAGCACCACAACCTATCATCAGAACTACTCTGTGGTGTCAATGTGTGACTTAGGGACAGTTATCTAACCCGTCTGGAGTGAAGCTTCCCTATTTAAATACTAGAGATAATAAAAGCACCTACCTCTTAAGTTGTCTCGAGAGTTACATGAGATAAAACACTTGAAGTGCTTTATCTTCAACATGAAGGAAGGGTTAATAAATGCTAGTTATTACTTAGTATGGTTGATACTGTTTTTTTGCCATTTGACAAAATGTCAATTATCCAAAAGAGGAAGAGAAGCAGATGGCTAAAAGTTGTATTGCTTCATAGAGCAATAACAATATCAGCAATAAAGGAAAAGAAAATCTAAATATCTAAAAATATAACAAAGGGTGCAATACAATCTTAAGGTAATCGCTAGAAAGAAAGCAAAAATCTGAGCAGGTTTTTAAATTAGTACTTTTCCAACAGGTCACTTTTAAAGTATTTTGACTGTCTGATAACTCCCTACCTGCGCTGACTCAACATAATTGTGAATTATTTGTAAATTTCCTATTCATCAAAGATGCAGCAGATTTGCGAACAGAGTTTCTAGCTAGATAGCCAAGGGAATCATGGGGCTATTAGACAGCTAACTTTTTTTCTTAAGCTTATTGTTTATTGGAACCAAAGATAAGTTGTTTCAAGGCTAGGACCTCCGGAATGACTCAGTTAAAATGAGCCAGAATTCAGAATTTAGAAGCCTCAGAGCCAGCTTACCTCACTTCTTAAAAATATTTGGAGGAAAACACTAGGGAACTGAGTTGTAATGGGGAGGTGGGTAAGAGGAGTAAAACCCTCTTATATACCCTTGAGAGCTGTTTGAACAGCAAAGATTCCCAAAACAGGGACAAACTATTTCTAGGGATAATCTATATATGCAAATATAACTGTTTATTGAATGAATTCGTCCATATGGGAACGATTATGATGCTTCAGGACATGGATGATTTCACTACAATCTCAAGAGTTCAGTTAAAGAGGAAAACTTTCCATCTGCAATCCAAAACATCCCACACTTTTCTCTAGTAACAAATAGGGAGGTCTCAAAAGACAAGTTATCCTTTTTAGGAGATCTCCACAGCCTGAACTAATGAGCAACTGAACAATAATAATCTCATTTTTATGACAATTCATGTGACGACATTGAACAATGGGAAAATAGGAGATAAGCAATGCTGATGAAATGTGTCAGTGGCTTAGCATCATTGATGGCTATTATTATTTTTACTTCTTATGTGGCCAGATTTTTTAAACAGAAAATTTGGAAAGATTTCTCAGACTGCTATTTTCTCTTTTTAGGTTGACTTATTTATTGCCCCCACTTCAGAAATTACTTTTTGAAATTGCCCCAGATATCAGGTTCCAGAGGACAGAAGCAAACAACAAAGGTTAATCCTGAGTATACAGATATTAATAAAAATAGAAAAGAAATGTGAAAAATAAGTACATTCACTAATAAAAGTAGTTTAGTATTCTTTTTGTGATTGATCAATATGCTAAAAATACAACACACACACACATACACAACAAAGTTAGTAAAACTAAACAAAAACACGTATCGCCCATCATTCAGCATTCACAATACAATGATTTGCTGAAATTTCTCTTAATTTTTTCTATGTTTTATGCCAACTTTATTGTGGTAGCAGATTGTGGTATATTCCCTCCCCTAGAGCATGGAAGGGACCTGTAAATATGATGGGATCTTTCATTATTAGGTTGTGTTATATGTAGTACAGATGACTTTAAGAAAGAGGGACTAGGGTGAGGAGGAAAGGGAGGGAGAGAATTAACCTAATGCATGCAGGGCTTAAAGCCTAGATGACAAGTTGATGGGTACAGAAAACAACCATGGCACTTGTATACCTATGTAACAAATCTGCACGTTCTGCACATGTATCCCAGTACTTAAAGTTAAATAAATAAATAAATAAATAAATAAATAAAGAGAGAGAGAGAGAGAGAGAGAGAGAGAGAGACTAGCCAGGTGCAGTGAGTGGCTCACGCCTGCAATCCCGCACTCTGGGAAGCCAAGGCAGGCAGATTGCTTGAGTCCAGGAGTTTGAGACCAGCCTGAGCAATGTAGTGAAACCCTGTCTCTACTAAAAATACAAAAATGTTAGCCACGCATGGTGGTGTGCACCTGTAATCCCAGCTACTCAGGAGGCTGAGACAGGAGAATCACTTGAGCCTGGGAGGTTGAGGCTGCAGTGAGCCAATATTGTGCCACCGCACTCCAGCCTGGGCAACCACAGTGAGACCCTGTCTCAAAAAAAAAAAAAAAAAAAAAAAGAGAGAGAGAGAGAAAGAGAGACTATACTTGGTGGTCCTGACCTGTCCAGGTGAGTCCTTAAAAAGGACAAGTCTCTTTCTGGTGAAAGAGGTTAGAAGCATGAGAGGAGTTTGATGCAAGAGAGATTCTAGCTTTGCTCACTTTGAAAATGGAAAGGGGCCACATGCCAAGGAAAGTAAGCTGGCCCTCGGAGCTGAGAATGGGCCCTGAGTGACAGCCAGCAAGGAAACAGAGATTTCAGTTCCATAATCACAAGGAACTAAATTCTGTCAACATCCTGAATGAGGTACAAAGCAGATTCTTCCCAATAACCTACAGAAATAAACATTTCTAGTAATATATATATCATTCTGAGAGTTATTTTATCTTTTCTGATTTCCAAAAATAGAATCCCCATGGAATCTGAGGTTAGACAACTGTATGCCTCCTGTTACCACAAGTACACACTCTTTTGTGTCTAGATTTCTTTTTCTTAGCATAATGTTTTTGAGATTCATCCATATTGCCATATATAATATTAGTTCATTTCGTTTTATTGCTGAGTGTTTCTCTCTCTTTATTTTATTTTATTTATTTTTTTGAGACAAGATCTCACTCTGTCACCCAGGCAGGAGTACAGTGGTGGGATCATGGCTCACTGTAGTCTCGACCTTCTGGACTCAGGTGAGTCTTCCATCTTAGCTTCCCAGGTAGCTAGGACTACAGGCACACACCACCATGCCCAGCAAATTTTTTTTTTTTTTTTTTTGAGACGGAGTCTTGCTCTGTAGCCCAGGCTGGAGTGCAGTGGTGCCATCTTGGCTCACTGCAAGCTCTGCCTCCCAGGTTCACACCATTCTCCTGCCTCAGCCTCCCGAGTAGCTGGGACTACAGGTACCCACCACCACACCTGGCTAATTTTTTGTATTTTTAGTAGAGACGGGGTTTCACCGTGTTAGCCAGGATGGTCTCCATCTCCTGACCTCGTGATCCGCCCTCCTCGGCCTCCCAAAGTTCCGGGATTACAGGCGTGAGCCACCATGCCTGGCCTGCTTAGGATTTTCTATGTATACAGTCATGCCATCTTCAAATAAGACAGGCTTTTCTTCCTTTCTGCCCATTATGTCTTTCATTTCTTATTCTTGCCTTATTAGTATTGCTAAGACTTCTAGCATAATATTGAGTATAAATAGGAAGAGTAGATACTCTTGTCTTGGTTCTGATTTAAGGAGGGAAGCATAAGGGGGACTAAATGCTTCCACCAGTAAATATAACATTACTTATAGGTTTTCCATAGATTCAATTTATTAATTTGAGGAAATTCTCCTCTATCCTAGTTAATGAGAGTTTTTATTTTGAATGGATGTTGAATTTTGCCTTATGGTTGTTTGTGTGTGTAAAGAGATAATTGATGTGACTGTTTTTCCTTTTCTTTATGGGATGGTTTTTATTTTGAAATTCAAATGTCTTTCGTAGATTTAGGGCTTTTCAGATTTTTTCTATTTCTTCTTGAGTCACTTTTGACATTTTTATCTTTCAAGGGATGTGTAGGTTTCATTTAACCTGTAAAATTTATTGGCATAATGTTCTTCATAATATCTCCAATATTATCCCTTTTAATATTTGTAATCATGTCCCCCTCTCATTCCTAATATTGGTCATTTGTGTCTTCTATCTTTTTGTCTTGATCAGTCCACCAAGTGTTGCATAAAATTTAATAAATTTTTTTGCAAAGACCCAGATTAAGTTTTACTAATTTTAAAAAGTTATGGGTCCAATTTCAATTTCATTGATTTCTGCTATGACCTGTATTATTTTCTTTCTTCTATTTACTTTGGATTTTATTTTCTCTTCTTTTCCCAGCTTCTCAAAGTCTCCACCAGATGCCCAAAATGAGAACAGATGACTTCCCACTTGGACTGGTCAGAACTCAAATATCTCTCTGCCCTGTGTGAGCTCTAGAAGTAGTTCACCTTACAATTCTCCAGTGGTTTTTGCCTGCCCTTGTGGAGTTTCACCTTATTCCTGTCTGGCCACATACACAGCAAAGACTCAAAGAGACCCCTATGCAGATTTTTGGAGCTCTTTTCAGCACAGCTCCCTCATCTCTAGAACTCTACCTCGTAACATTCAGCCCCCTTGGCCTCTCTGATCCCTACATCTGCTTGACTCAATAGACTCTGTTTAGGATCCCCCTCTTTGCATCTACAGTCTGGTTATTTCCAGGAAGATATCAGGGGCAATCATAGTGATCACCTTGTTTGTTTCAACTTCTTTTAGTGATTAAATCTTGTCCTACCTGATGTCCAATGTTTGAAAAATAAAAGCTTTTTACGTTCTGCATATTTTTCTGGGTTTTTGTGGGAGAGAATGTCCAATCCTTGCTATTCCATTGCAGCCAGAGGCAGAATTTCTCTCACTACAGATTTTTGAAGTTTTCTTTTACTTCCATGCTCTTCTATGTCCCTTGTTGGGGTTTGTTTGTTTTGGTCTCTGGCTTTCATGGTAGAGGCTTTCCTCAAATGTCAGTGTGCCTTTGATGTCTGTATTTACAGTGAGGCATAACAAAGCTGATCTGAAGCTTTACATGAATGGGCAGGCTTTGTCAAATGGTGGGTCTCAATTGAGGGGGACAGGTGGGGACTTGACCTATTCACTGGCCAGTCCCTGTAGGTCAGTATCTCATAGGTTTTTCATTTAAAGATGATTAATAACATAGGAGAGGAATTCTCCAATTCTCTGACTGGAATTATAAGCCTTGCTGCTAGACTTCTGATAACTAAACAGAGAATGAATTTTTGAGGGGCTTATATTTAGGAATATTTCCCTTTCCATATGGTATGGCTTCTCACTTTCACCCTCTGCTGTTCCAAGACTAGGTCTTTTTTGGTTTAACCTCTCCAAAGAGTTAACTTCCCATCTGAGGCAGCTGTGCAGGGGGTGCATAGACTGGCTGTGTGAGGTAGGGGAGGGAATCTATGGAGTGTCTAGAGCTTTTAAAATCTGTACCAATCCTCCTTCATTCTGTACTTCCGCATTTAGAGATAACTTATGTATCTAGTTCCTGAGATTTTTCTTGGATTCTGCTATAGAAATTAACTTGCTTTTTATTCACTCTCTCCCCGGAGGGTTAGAGTTTATCTTTCACTAGTCTGCTAAGTCAGCTACCATGCATCTATTAGCTTTCTCAGATCCAAAATGTTGAATTTTCTTGTTTGTTACTATCTCCTATTTTCTTTGTCCTTGTGGCTTTATGCTTTTTTTTTTTTTTTTTTTTTTGAGATGGAGTCTCCCTCTGTCACCCAGGCTGGAGTGCAGTGGCATGATCTCAGCTCACTGAAATCTCTGTCTCCCGGGTTCAAGCAATTCTCTGCCTCAGCCTCCAGAGTAGCTGGGATTACAGGTGCCCACCACCATGCCCAGCTAATTTTTTTTTTTTGTATTTTTAGTAGAGAGGGGGTTTCACCATCTTGGCCAGGCAGGTCTTGAACTCCTGACCTTGTGATCCACCTGCCTCTGCCTCCCAAAGTGCTGGGATTACAGGCATAAGCCACTGCACCCAGCTGCTCTATGCATTTTTATATAAATTATTAGGCTTCTTTTTTTTGAAAAGTTAAAAACTCTTTAATTCTTTATTCCTGGTACCACTATCACAATTTACAGGGCCATACACCTGATGTAACGAAAAGAAAAAAAAAAGTTACAACAGATAAAAGACTTCAGGAATGTACATCTAATTGACACTACATTGCATTAATCAATAGCTGTATTTTTTGCAAACTGTGGTTATGACAGTCCTGAACAAGAAGGGTTTCCTATTTAAGCTGCAGTAACTTTTCTAACTATGGATAATTGTTCCTTTTATGGCAGATTTTTCCAGTTCCTCTAATGCATTTGAGACGACTGTCTCAAAGTAACCTGCTGCTTTCCTGGTAACTCCTCACTTTAACTCCTGCTAGGAACTGAAGCCCTTTTTTGCTGCTTTTTAGAACCTTCTGTTATTATATCCACCACTTTTACCACCAGATCCATAATCACCACCATAGGGACTGCCCGAGCTTCTTCCACCCAGAAAGCCTCCTTTCATGGGTCCATAATTTGATTGCTGTTGTCCACTATAATTTCCAAAATCACTATACTTCCCACCACCATCATAGTTACCACTGTCAAAATTTCCTCCTTCATTGCAACCATCACATCCTCCACCATTGCCACCATATCCACCACCTTGGTTTTCATGTCCTGGTCCACCACCACCATAGCCCCTTATTTTACTATAACCAAGACCACCACCATAGTTGCCACCATCACTTCCAAATCCATTATATTCACCATCACCTCCTCTGCAACTATCTCTGCTTCCAGCACCTCCATCATAGCCTCCTCTTCCACCAAAGTTTTCACCACAGCCAAAATTACCTCCACCGCCTCCAAATTTTGCTCTGTGACAATTACAACTTTATCAACTGTATTATGATCCTAAAAAGTTATGGCAAAGCCAGGTGCAGTGGCTCATGCCTCCCAAGCACTTTAGGGGCCAAGGTGGGAGGATCGCTTGATCCAGGGAGTTTGAGACCAGCCTGAGCCACATAAGGAGACCCCATCTCTACAAAAAATTTAAAAATCAGCTGGGTGTAATGGCACATGTCTTTGCTCCCAGCTACTTGGGAGGCTGAGGTGGGATGATTGCTTGAGCCCATGAGGTTGAGTGAGCTATGATCAGGCCACTGCACTCCAGCCTGGGTGATAAAGTGAGATCCTGTCTCGAAATAAAAAATAAATAAAAGTAAATTTTAAAAAAGCAAATCCCCTCTTTTTTCCACTCTGCCTGCCTTCCATAACATCTATGGTTTAAATAGTGCCATACTTTTCTTTCCTCTCTCTCTCTCTTTCCTTCTTTTCTTTTTTTGAGACAGGGTCTCTCTCTGTCACCCAGGCTGGAATGTAGTCGTGCAATCTTGGCTCACTGCACCCTCTACCTCCCAGGCTCAAGTAATCCTCCCATCTCAGCCTCCCAAGTAGCTGGGACCACAGGCACGTGCCACTATGCGCGGCTAATTTTTGCATTTTTTTGTAGAGACGGGGTTTCACTATGTTGCCCAGTCTGGTCTGTCCCAAACTCCTGGGCTCAAGCAATCCACCCACTTCGGCCTCCCAAAGCATTTGGAATTACAAACGTGAGCCACTGCACCTGGCCTTGCCATGCTCTTCAAATTACATTCTTCTCTATCTTCCTTGATATCACAAACAAAGATTTTCTTCATGGTTAGATGGGCACCAGGCCTTATAGAATCCTCTCTAGAAACAGCTCTCTTTGGTTCCAGTACACACCTGTCAGCCTTGTGTGTCCACCTCTTTAACACGAGAGTAAGTCACAAAACCAAAGCCTCTGGAATGTGTTGTTTGGGAGTCTCTCATTATCACACAGCCTGTGAGTATGTGCCATTTCTCAAACTATCGTCTGTATTTTCAAAGCTGTGAACACAGTAAACAGTTTTCTCAAGTGCTCTGGTTCCTTTGGATCATGTGCCTCCATTTTGAGCCCGGACTCGCCTTTTCCAAATTGAGTTCAATTTGGGACTGAGAGGAAGAGCAGTCTTCTTTTTTAAGAATAGTTTTAGGTCTACAGAAAAATCGAGCAGAAAGCACAGAGAGTTTCCATATGCTTCCTACCCCAGCGGTGTCCCCTATCATTGTTTTGCATCAGTGTGGTACATTTGTTGCAAGTAATGGGCTAGTAATAATATTGATACAACATTATTAAAGTCTATAATCTACATTAGAGACTTGATGCTGTTTTATTCTTCTCCTCTCATTGGAAAGTGGCAGAAATAAATGTAAGTATTAAATCTTCGAGGGTTAACAGAAAGTCTTCTATGTAGGCCTTTGGCTACTTCTCTCCTTTTTGTCACCCTCAAAATTCTAGAGTCATATGTATTCCCTTTTTCCCTTCATCTTTTCCATCTCTTCATTATGCTTCAACCCATTGTACTTTATCTTCTCTGTCATTTTACTAAAATATATCTTTCCACAGAAAACAATACCTCCTTTATTACTAAGTTCAAGTATGCATTATTATTCCTTATCAAATTTAACTTTGTAGCAGCACAGGACACTGTTAACCCTTTCTCCCTTCTTGAATTATTTTTTACTTAACTTCCCAACTTGGTATCTTACCTTCCTGATTCCCAGCTACTCTAATCATTGATCCTTTACTTTCTCTACATTAGCCCCATTCTCTCTCTCTCTCTCTCTCTCTCTCTCTCTGCTTTAGCCAGTCTCTAAGATGGTCCTCAATGATTCCCAACTCTTGGTATTCACATTCTTGTGTGTCACCTTCCTCCATTGACCTGGGTTGATCCATGTGACCAGTAAAATAGAACAGAAGTGATGGTATGTCATTTCCAAGATTAAGTTATAAAAGATGTTGCATTTTTTTTTTGTCTTGGTCTTGCTCTCTTTCTCCTCTAGACTGCTCCATGAGGGCTGCATGAAGCAGCCACATAATTTACCATTACAACCTCTGGCAAATAGTAAGTGCTCAACTCATATTTGCTGAGTCAATTTATATAAGAACCTTTCCACATTTTATTGCTTCCTCTCTCCCCCTCCTACGAATTTCTATAGCACTTACTGAACGCATTTTGACATCTAGCACATTTTGTATTTATTATTTTATAAAAGGGCTTGGCTCAGTTGAGCCTTCTGAAGGAATGTTCCCTCACCTACTATGTGGCTGGCACTGGGCTAGTTGCAGGTCAATCGAAGCTCATCTTGATCATCCTCCTAGAGAAGGAGCTCCTTGTAGGTGAGTGGGGCCAAGCCCTGGTCACCTGTATGCTTCCCAGGGAACCTAGCCTAGGAGCCTGTAGAGTAGCATAAAAACGATATTAAAATGGGTTGGGTGTCGTGGCTCACACCTGTAATCCCAGCACTTTGGGAGGCCGAGGCTGGCGGATCACTTGAGGTCAGGAGTTTGAGACCAGCCTGGCCAACATGGTGAAACTCCATCTCTACTAAAAATACAAAAATTAGCCCCATGTGGTGGCACACACCTATAGTCCCAGCTACTCTCCTTGGGAGGCTGAGGCAAGAGAATCACTTGAACCCAGGAGGCGGAGGTTGGAGTGAGCCAAGATCGCGCGCCACTGCACTCCAGCCTGGGTGACCAAGCAAGACCCTGTCTCAAAACAACAACAACAACAACAACTATAGTAAAATGAACATTTACCTGGAAATCTCAAATTCTGAGTTCAATCTTTGACCCTTAAGGCTGTGACTCTGGGCAAGTCACTCCACAAATGTGAACTTATTTCCTCATTGTGATAAAGATATAGTAATTATACTTTTTACCCAAGGAGTCACTGGGTAGCTCAGATATGTCAAACCCTTATTTCCTCACTTGTCATAGGTCACTTATTGTCAGATGAATCATGGATTTCATAATATATTTTGCATTTGTGTTGGGAATGGGGTGTGAAGAGCATGATTTTAACCATCTATATCAATTATAAAACATTCAGATTTCAGTAACTTTAACATAAGAAAATGTTTCTTTGAATCAAGACAACACGTTATCTATTGAAGTGTTCAAGTGTTCTGAAGTTGGAAAACCATTGTAAAACTGGGAGCTCTAATTATGTCACATTCAAACAGATGTGTTCTGAATTAATGACTGAGTTGATTTTCCTCTTTTTTGTTCAGTCATGTGTTAAGGATTCGTTCTGTTTTATTATTGTTATGAAACATTGCAAACACATACAAAAGTGAAAGCAATGCCTTCCCATGGATCTGATATCCAGCTGCAACAAAAATCAACACAAGGTCACTCTGATTTCATCTATATCTCTACTCAATACTCTCCACCCCCCACCATCCCTATGGGCTATTTTCAAGCAAATCTCAGGTCTCATATAATTTCATTTGTAAATACTTTAAAGGAGTATTGTTTAATAGCCATTTACCTTCCACCGTCTTCTAGTCAGAGATAAACTAAGTTTTCTTAGAGGTGTTTGCAAGCTTAGTTCACATTGCCTACCCTCCTGAAAGATCTTTATTAACCAAGTTGAAAAATACACCTTCTTAAGAAGGCCCCTTCCCCAATGGTTACTGGGGGTGGAAGGTAATCTTAAAATCATTACTTGGGGAGTAAAATGCTGGTGGTTCCCACATTTCTGAATACCTTTCCATTTTAAAACCAGTTCTTAATGCAGTAGACGAGATCAGAAACTGACCTACGTAAGTTTGTGATTTTTTTTTTTGTTAGAGTGCTGATTTCTTCTTAACTTTTTTGTTTGCTTTATCTCCATGGGTTTAATCATTACATGATATGGTTCTAATGATAGCATGTTGTGTCATTTTAGGGACACTATTTTCTGCAAACTTTTTTACTCAGAGTGTTTTCTGACCATAATGCATTACAAAATGTACTATATAGATGTGAATATATGCTTAGAATTAAAAATAAAAATCCATGGATAAGTTTTCAAAATAATGTTGCCACTCACTGTATGTTTCAAAAGAGATGGGGTTTCACTATGTTGCTCAGTCTGGTCTGTCCCAAACTCCTGGGCTCAAGCAATCCACCCACTTCGGCATCCCAAAGCATTTGGAATTACAAATGTGAGCCACTGCACCTGGCCTTGCCATGCTTTTCAAATTACACTCTTCTCCATCTTCCTTTTCAAAATAATGTTGCCACTCACTATATGTTAAATGTTAAACATTTTACAGATTCAAATGCAGTAGGGATTCTCTGAAAAAGTTTTATCTTACTAACAGCTTTCAGATTATCAGTACTAGTTGTATGGCTTAAACACAGCCACATGTAAATACTTACTTAGATGAAGCTATGGCTAATCACATATGTAACACAATCAGTTTCATGTAGTGGTTTGATCACTCGTGTATTCAAGACTATATAAACAGGGATGAATTTGAGGAAGTTGGAGTGATGGAGTGAGAAAAGTTTGTTTTTGCAGCAGTAGCAGTAGAAGGGGCAGGCCGATTCAGTAAACAAGCACACATTTCAGAATGCAAACTGCATTCTCCAAGCTGGCACCATGGTTTTACGGTGCTAGGGATGTTTACTGCTTGTTGGGTTTGCAGCTTTATAAACAGTGCTCCTTGGAGTTCTCTGCTTGCTATTCTGAAACATATTTGAGTTTTGCAACCGAGAAGTAAATGACTTTGATTTCCAAAATCAGTCAGTCATTTTTCAGTGTTGTGATAGGAGATTCATTTGAATTCACTTCTTCAGAGATGCAGGAGCCAATCAGGATCCTGTTGCAGTGAAAATGATTCTTTTATTGAAACCCCAGCTTCCTTTAAAAGAAGCCAAAGAGTACTGAATTACAGAACTGCCATACAGCCTTCCCTTTATTCTTTCCATCACCCAGGCCACAGGAAAAAAAAAAAAAAGACAAACTTTTGTTCTTATTTTCACAAGTTATCACATGGTTTGGAAACTTCAGGGCATTTCTGAAACTTCATTGGTATGTGCCAGAAAAGTCCTCTTTAACACACCAGGTTGAATGAAAGACAGTTTGAGATGTTAATTTCCATTTACTGCAGAAAAAATATATTTAATGCATTAAGGAAATGTCTAGCTTAAAGAAATTGCCCACTTTTGAAACAAATGGTTGGAGGCCTGAGGTCCAAAGCTCTAAAATCAGTTAACAAATGTTTATTGAACACCTATTTTGAACTAGGCTGTTGAAGAAGTTCAAAAGTCTAAGATAAATTCCCACTTTCAACTCACCTACAGTCTAGTTGGGCAGAAAAAATCCAAACTCAGGGGACAATGCAAGAGTTAGATAGTAAAACCAGACAAATACACAAGCAATGAAACACGACACCATATGGTTGGGTTTAGAAAAGTGTTTCAGGCAATACATATTGTAGAGGCTTAGGGATCACAGTAATCTGAAAATCCCTGGAAAATATTCACAAAGAAGGTAGACCATTGGGATGGGTTTGAAAACATAGATAAGAATCAGATAACCTTAAGAGGAAGGAGGAAGCAAACAGTGAGTCTGGTTGTAATAGAGAAGGGAGTGGGAGAGGTTAAGGAGGGTGGGAAGGGGCCAGGTTGGCAAATCCTTAGTGGTAAGGCCTGGCTGTGGGGCTGAAGATGATTCTAAGGGGTCCAAGGTCAACAGCAGTGTTTAAAATTAGATTGCCAAGTGCATGGATTCCCTTTCCTTTCCTCCTTTTCTGTCCTTTAAAAGCAGAACCTGATTAGACAGTCTGGGACATTCCCAGCCCTAGGCTAAAAAGCAGCGATTGAGGCACAAAGTATTCTTGGCCCTGAAGTTGAACCTCTGGGGATGGAGCTCAGGGAAGTCATAGGGAGTTTGGGCCCAGGTAGGATCAGACCTATCCGCAGGCTTACATAGGCTCCAGTGATTAAAGCTCAGCTTCCTGAATATGCCCCGAGGATAAAAGAGACTTTTCCGAGTGAAAGGCATTTTCCAAGGCGCTCTCAACGGGAATGTCTGAGATAGCGAACTGCGGCTGCAGAGCACCAGCTGAACGCACACACACAAGTGTCTTCTCACGGTATGATTAGTGTTCACAGGTTTCGTCTAGCTCATCAGAAATGAAGAATAGCGATGATGAAGTGACATGTCACCGGGAGGGTTGAAAAAGAAAAAGTGCGTAAGAGGGTCCCAAAAAGAACCAGCTTCCGTGTAGACGGGTCTGCAGAATCTGCCGTCTCCCGTCTTCTGGGTCCCCTGGCCCGCCCGGAGTGGGGACAAGGAAATGGAAAGCCCGGCTCACCCGGCTCTCCTCCCTCGCAGCCAGCAGATGGCTCCCGGGCTCTCTCGCGAGCCCGCTCGCCCCCTCTCCAGACGCAGGGCTTTTGCGGTTTGGGAGGGAGGCTGCGAGGAGGGGCGCGGTGCCCGCCGCCGCCACCGCAGCACCGCACAGCGTCTCTCCTGGGGGTGCGACCTACGCCGGGGACCCAGCGCTCGGGCACCGGAGGCCGGCCTCGCACCGGTGCGGAGGCCGGCTCTCGCGAGGTGAGGAGGAAACGCAGGAGGAAGAGGAGAAGGAGAAGGAGGAGAAGGAGGAGGGCCGGAGCTGCCCCCGCCCAGCCGGAGCCCGGCAGGAGCGCGAGGAAAACCTACTCCCCCCGCCCCGCGCCGCTCTCCCCGCCCTCTCCCACGCCTTCCGCTTTCACCTAGGGCTGTAGGTGCGGCGCGGAGGCTGGGCGGGAGCTACGCCGGCCCAAGCCCCGCCGGGGACCAGCGAGCCGGGAGGAGGAGCAGGCGCCACAGCCGCCCCGCGCCCCGCGCCCGCTTGTAATCCGGTCCGCTCCTTATTCAGCCGCCGGGAACTGCGAGGAGGCGTCATGTAGCAGCAGCAGCAAATCCGCCTCGCATTTGCAACTCTTTTTTTTTTTTTTGGTGGGGCGGGGGGCGCGCGGCAAAATTCTGTCTCCGCCCCCCCTTTTCTTGCCCACTTCCATTTGCAAGCTGCATCTGCCTCTCTAAAAAAATTGAGGAGTTCGGGGAAGGGCAGGGGGCCATAAATCAGAGTTGGACCTGCAATAACCCCCACACCTACAGGGCAACCATGACCGAGGAGAGCTCTGACGTTCCCAGGGAGTTGATAGGTAAGATTCACGCGGTTGTTGGTTTTCCACCTTCCTCTGCGTACTCCTCACCTCTCTCTCCCTTCCCACCTCTGCTTTCCCGCAGGTCTCGAGAAGTCTTGGCGCCCCTTAGGGCAGAGTGGTGTTGGGCAGGGTCACTGGGGGTGCCGGGAAGTTTGTTCCCATCCGACCGCCTGTAGAGCCAAGTGCAGAGAGGGAAGGCTTCGGGGAGGAATCGGGAGTCCTCGGGAGGTGGGTGGGAGGAGGGTCTCGACTGTGAGCCCTGGGCACCTCCTCTTGCCCGGAAGCGGGGATCCAGGTTGGCGAAAGAAGGGGGCGGGCCATCTTAGACTTGGGAGTTCTGCAAGCGAGGGGAGCCCTTTACAGCTCCCAGCCCACTGCCCCAAACTCGGGAAAGTCCGGGAAAGCCTATTGGAAGGACAGGTGGCGAGCGCACAGTAGGTCGTCTCCGGCACGTGTCAGGCGCTTTCCTGAAAATGCCCCGCGGGAGGTGATCTTCTGACACGCAGACTTGGGGGAGTGGGCGCTAGTCTGGTAAAATGACTGGGCTTGGCAAGGTGTGGCTTGGTGTAGCCAGCTGGGAGCGAAAGGGTTACAGGGCTGACGCAGACTCAGGCCAGGAAATAGAGGGTTAATGATAAAAGCCTTATTTTAATAATGATTAACCTACCGATTCTCCCTATAGGGGATCTCTTAGGGAACCCGTGTGTGTTACGCTGTGCAAGGTGACCCATTGTTTGAGTACCTTGAGGTTTTTTTTTTTTTGGTGGTGGTGGGGGCGGGGCTGGTTAAGTCTTGGGGTTTAACTTAATTATCTGGAGGGTTAAAATGGCAGAGCTGAAATAGGATGGGAGAGTGTTCTGAAAACCTAGCGTTTAAGCATGTATATGTGTGTAGCATGTTATACTGTAACAAGGTATGTGCGTCTGTGTACAGATGTGTTTTGAGCCCTAGTGACCTATATTCCCTCCTGTACCATTCTTGGCACACTACACAGCCTACAGCTCACAAAGATGATGTTTAATCGGCGCTGACAACAAGAGGAAGTTCTGAGCACCCGTTGATCTCCATGTGTGGAATTTGCCCCTCTGTTGTTTCTTTTAGCTAATAATACTTTGGAGGAATTTGTGTATGCCCTTCCGTTGGTGACTGTTAACTCAGCAGGTAAAACTTGATGTAGAGAGGCTGTTGCTAGGTTTGTATGGAAGCCCCTACTTCTGCTGAATTACAGACAAACCTGATCTTTTACCAGAATTTACAGTATGAAATTATTCACAGACGCACGCGCGTGTGCGCGCGCGCACACACACACACACACACACACACACACACACGCACCTCTCATCATGATCCCAGCAGATCCTCTTCTCTCTCCCCAACCCTGTGGAGTCTGCATCTTTTGCTGGAGTGAGTGACACATCCGGTTCTGGGAGGCTGCGACCTTTCCAACACCCCAAGCAAACGCCAGAGGCTCTGAAGACGCCTCCAGAGGTCCTGAGAATGAGTGTAGGGCAGGGCTTGCCTGGCTGGTCAGGGGATAAGGATGGCTAAAGTGGGTGGCAGATTTTTACTTTATATAAGGAGTTGTCCTTAAGTCTGGAAATGGAAAGTGTAGGTAATTACTTAGGCCCAAGAGAAAGAGTGAAGGGTAGAGTGGAAATAAGGTGTCTGGGTTTCTATTCATGGTTCTCAAAAGGAATAGTTTGTATATTTTAAAAGTTGAGTTTGACCTTTATCTTGAAATGGAATTTTTGTTTTTATTAAGTATTGCCTATCTCTTTCAAGAGAGTGACATATTATGCCCGATATGATTTTTCTGGGCCTTTCAGTGGTCAAGTTAGGCTGGGATAGAATAAATACCTGCACCTGCTTTCCTCTAAATTCAAGTGCTCACAAGAGTTCTGCTCTGATCAATTCAAAATGGCGACCGACCACATGAAAACCTCTATATATTCCCTTAAGATTCCCTCAAGATATTTAAAAAGTGTTACAGACTTGGCTGAGCGTGGTGGCTCACCCCTGTAATCCTAGCACTTTGGGAGGCCGAGGCAGGTGGATCACCTGAGGTCGGGAGTTGGAGACCAGCCTGACCAACATGAAGAAACCCGGTCTCTACTAAAAATACAAAAATTAGCTGGGCGTGGGGGCACGTGGCTGTAATCCCAGCTACTCGGGAGGCTGAGGCAGGAGAATCACTTGAACCCGGGAGGCGGAGGTTGCCGTAAGCCGAGATCAAGCCATTTCATTCCAGCCTGGGCAATAAGAGTGAAACTCCATCTCAAAAAAAAAAAAAAAAAAAAAAAGTGTTATAGACTTTATGTAGAAACAATTTAAATGTAGAGAAGAATAAGAAGACTATATGTCACTCCTGTTACCACTTAGAGGTAGTTATTTTAAAGGGTATATGATTTTCCAGTCTGTTTCCATGTGTATATGTTCTTAAGTCAATTTCAGATGCCCATTTCCCGCAATTCTTTTTTAGGGGAGGGAGGAGTGGCCTGTGCTTGTTTCTCGAGTTCTGATAAGATAGGAGCTTTGTGAAGAACTCATAGTGCAGTGAGCTCTTCTACATGTTCCCTTGCCCCAAACATTCCACCTCCTTGCTGTTCCTTGAACAGGCTGTGCTTTCTCAGATTTCCATGCTGTTCTTTATGCGTACACTGTCTTTTTCTCCCCGTTTTCACTCTTTATCTCAGCAGCTCTAAACTTTCATGGCGGTATTTCCAAGAAGAAAATTTTGATTACCCCTTATTAAACATATATTTGTTAAACTACATGCTCCATTTAGTGTGTATAATCTAAAACACAAACTGAAACACACATTGTAAGTAGAAATGAAAATTCTATTTTCTTCTTTCATCTCAATGGATTATATTGTACACTCTACTTTGGAAACCAGTGATCTTATTTCCTATGCCTTCAAGATTCAGCTCAGGGATCCTCTCCTCCCTGAAACCTTTGCGTGCTTCCGAATCCATGATCTTATGCATTGTGTGTGAATTTCTTTTATGACATCTCTCAGTGACCTCCACTAGATTGCAAACTCCTGTGAAATGCAAAGACCATCTCTATCTAGCACCTAGTAGAGTACCTGACATACAAGAGGTACTCCTATGTACATTTATTTGTTGAACATGTGAATAGACCAAAATGATTATAATACAGAATACAGAGGTATGGGAGCATAGAGGAGGGGACTGTATTTTGGAGGATAAGTAGAATATAACCAGGAGGACAATAGGGAAAGGGCATCCCAGGAAAGAGAATAATAGATACACAATCCTAGGGGTGTAAAAGATGAAGATATTAGGAATAATTGGATGTTTAGGTATGTGCTGAGAAGTCACACTGAAAATAAATGTGAAAGACCTTGAATGGCATGCCATGAGTTTTGGGTTTATTCAAAAATGACTGCAACTCGTAGACTGGGAGGGACGTGATGAATCTCACAGTTTTGGAAGAGTCACTGTGGTTATGGAGGTGACAGTGGGCTGATGGGTTAGAGGCCATGGACTTAGTCTTGGTGAGAGATTCTGAGGCCCTTACTGCAGTCATGCCTAGGTAGTCAGGAGCCGTGGAGGAGGTAGATTTTAGGAGACTGACTTTCTGTCTGAGAGAAAGGAGTTGGACATAAGCATTTTCCAGCAACATTAGTGTCCAGAGTAGGAGATAATGAGTTTGATTTCAGACGTATTCATTTTGAGGTACTCATGGGAGCCCTAGGAAGACTTTTCCACCACCATCTGAAATGTGAAGTCTCCAGATTTCTCCTTCTATTGCCTTTGACCACTTCTTGGGGGTATTGTGCTGTCATGATTTTGGAAGGACAGATGGCTGGGAGTGCCTTTGTTTGAGTAAATCATCTGGTATAGTTCTGGCTTATTTTTATTTTTTTGAGACAGAGTCTCACTGTGTCACTCAGGCTGGAATGCAGTGGCACGATCTCAGCTCCACTGCAACCTCCACCTCTCGGTTTCAAGCAATTCTCGTGCTTCAGCCCCTGGACTAACTGAGATTACAGGCACGCACCACCACACCTGGCTAATTTTTTTTTGTATTTTTAGTAGAGGCAGGGTTTATCCATGTTGGCCAGGCTGGTCTTGAACTCCTGGCCTCAAGCGATCCACCTTCCTCAGCCTCCCAAAGTGCTGGGATTACAGACGTGAGCCAACGTGCCCAGCCCGGTTCTGTTCTGTTTTGTTTTGCCGTATTCCCCAAACATCATGTCAAGACTTACTCATAGAGAATGCTAATATTTGTATGACACTATGGTGAACCCAGAGGCTGCTGGGCACCAGAGGTAACCAGCCAGGGGCAGAGGGAATTTATGAATTCCTGTTGTGTTCTGCATGCAACGTAGTGTTTCATCATACTGCCCAACTTCACTGTTTGCTGTTCTTTGTTTTTTCTTTTATATGTATCTTATTTTCCAAACAAGATTATGTCATGCCTTGCATGGGCTGGTATTATGTCGTGCTTTTGTGTTTGCCTCAGCATATCAATATACAGTACGAGGTACAAAGTAGGTGTTTATTAAATACTTGATGGGTGATAACCATCCAACTTGTTAAAACAAGTAAAAAAAGACAAACGGTCGGGCACGGTGGCTCATGCCTGTAATCCCGGCACTTTGGGAGGCCAAGGCAGGCGGATCACTTGAGGTCAGGAGTTCAAGACCAGCCTGACCAACATGGTAAAACCCCATCTCTACTAAATACAAAAAATTAGCCGGACCTGGTGGTGTGCGCCTGTAGTCTCAGCTGTTCGGGAAGCTGAGGCAGGAGAATCACTTGAACCCAGGAGGCGGAGGTTGCAGTGAGCCAAGATCTCACCACTGCACTCCAGCCTGGGTGACAGAGTAAGACTCTGTCTCAAAAGACAACAACAGTAAAAACAACCAAATATACTCCTCCAAATGCTTACTCCTCCTCAGTGCTTTTTTTCTTATTAATAACATAATTCCTTTTTTTTTTCAGAAAGCATAAAGGATGTTATTGGCAGAAAGATAAAAATTTCAGTGAAGAAGAAAGTAAAGTTGGAAGTTAAGGGAGACAAAGTTGAAAACAAAGTGCTGGTAAGTATTGCTGTTTATTTTTATTAAATGTTTGGAAATGAAAGTGTGTTTTCATTGTTTAGATTGCTTAATTTTCATGCAGCATTACTTCTGTGTTTTATATATTGTTCAAAAGTTCTGATGACCATTTTGTCTTAGGTTAATTGGAATATTTCTTTGTCAAAAGTTAAAAATAGGGTAATTTGAATTTTAAAGATCAAAGGCTTTTAGATTGTATTTCTCAAAGTTGTAATTGCTGCCTATATTTAGGTAATCTCTTAGAGCCTGTTTTCATAATATTCAGAGTTTGATGTTAAATGGAACTTTTTTATTTGGTGTGTGGTGGGTGATCCTATGACTTTATTCATAAAGTCTTATGGAGGAGTTTAAAAAGTTCATCTCATGTTGGTTTAATTACTTAATTAGATTTTCTCAGATGTTATATATGAGTCCATCTAAGGGGTGATGAGCTAACAAAACATTGTCATTTTACTTAGGGTGTTGGTGCTTTGGAGGGAAACTCCTGCTGAAGGCAGTATCTGCTAGTGTTGCGACTGGACTTGGGGTTCCTTCTAGTTTGTGAGAGGAGATGCTGAGGGATTGGGCCCTGCTGCAGAAAACTTCTTAGAGAGGTGTCAGTGACAGAGTTGTACCTTTAGAGAGGTGAAAACATTTTGTGATATTTTAATGGTTTCTAGGTTGAGATTGTGGCAAATCTAAATTTAAGCTTAGGTGGAAAGAATATTTTGATGGAGAGAATACTGTTTAACTTTTTATCATGGATATTTTCAAACATATGCAAAAAGCAGATAATAGTATATCGAACTCTGTGTACCTGTCCTTCCCAGCTTCAACCATTTTCAGCATTGTACTAATATTAAATATCTTCCCCATGGTGTTTGTTTGTTGTTGCTGTTTTTTTTTTCCTCTGGAGAATTTTAAAACAAATCCCAGGTATGTTATTGAAAGAGTATAATTTCTTAATTTTTTAAAGTCTTTTTGAGACAGGATTTCAGTCTGTTGCCCAGGCTGGAGTGCAATGGTGTGATCTTGGCTCATTGTAGCCTCAACCTCCCAGGCTCAAGCGATCCTCCCACCTCAGCCTCCTGAGTAGCTGGGACTACAGGTGTGAGCCATCATGCCCAGCTAATTTTGTTTATTTTTTGTAGAGACAGGGTCTCCCTGTATTCCCGAGGCTGGTCTCAAACTCCTGGACTCAAGCGATCTGCCTGCCTCGGCCTCCCGAAGTGCTGGGATTACAGGCATGAGCCACTGTGCGTGGCCTGAAAAAGAATATTTTTAATATTCCATTGCTTCAGTTAAAGTTGCCAAAGAATTTGAAGTGTCTTTCTGATCACATCTGTCTTGAGAATCTTCTAAAATATCTAACTCCAGGATATGTGATTGTCTTTTCTTGTTAGTAAGGATTATGCTTGTGATGGATGACTTCTGTTTCTATGTTGTCTATATATACAAGTCGGGATGGTAAAGGCATTGAATGGGAAAACTTGAATGGCTTTTGCCCAGCAACAAAATGTGCTTATGTAAACTGCATGATTAAGTTATCAGTAGAAGAAATGATTGGTGCCATTGTTCTGTTGTATTTAACTTCAGTAAAGGTGAGATTTCCTTAAGTTATGTTTTTCTTGATGTTGTTCAACAATGATTGTGCTATTTTTTGGAAGTGGTAGTGTAGAGAAGAAATATTGTTTCTGTCATTTGCTTTTTTACAAATTTAAAGTAAGTTTTTAATAATGTAGTAACTTTATAAGATGAATCAACTTCTCTACAACTTAAATATAAGGTAGTGGTTGCTATGACAGTCTAAAAAATTGGGGCTTGGTATTATTTGATATGGAAATTATTATTATGCTAAGAACAAACCCACATCATGAGTGCAATTTACCATGTTAAAATTTCAAAGACAAATTTAAATGTCCAGTATAAAATTAGCACTATTTAAACATGCTTATGATTAGTACTTAATTGTAAGTTTTTTTGGCCTCATCTAACAGCTGGAATTGATTAAAGTTGTAACCAAATTAAAAATGTATTTGAGTTTAAGCATTTATCTCCCCAAATATGGAATCTAAGCAGTTTCTAGAAGCATGGCCGGAACTCATTGTGGCTGTTACTTACTTGCATGGGCAGGAATTATTAATAGAAATACTCAAGGTCTGGCTTTCTTTGACAGGCTTCAAGTTAGAACAAGAAGATGTATGAAGTAACCTCAAAGTTGTGGATTTCTGAGTTTCTGAGTTTAGAGAAATTTAATTGCTTAATCCATTGTTAGCCTACTAAAATGGTTCATAAATGAGTTGGCTGAATATCTACAGTACGCTTTTTGAGTTGTGCTTTTGTTACTTCCCCCATTGCCCACCATTCACTCCTTTTCTTCTTATAAAAGTAGGAGTGTGCTGTATTTTACGTGGTTCTTTCTTCTTACACTTGAGACTTTATACTATTTCTAGCTTATCTTTTGTAGAGGGCTTATCTTCATCTTCCTATAATCATAATAGCTAATATTTCTAAAAATCTGTTTTTGAAGTCTAGTCAAGTGAAGCAATGGGATTGGAGGAAGAGCAAAGAAATCTATAATGAGTTGTGATCAATTAGTTGTAAACACCCCTACACTCAGACCAGCCATGATCATAATAGCTAATATTTATTAAACACTGGCCAAGTGCCAGAGACTGTGCTGAGTACTTAATTACGCATTGCCTTGTTATATCCCCACTACAACGCTATGAGGTAGGCACTTTTTACATCTCCATTTTACAGATGAGGAAATTGAGATTTGGCGAGGCCAAAGTAAATTGCTTCACATCATTTGGCTAGTTAATAACAGCTGGGATTCGAACCCAGCTCTGCCTCACTCAGAGCCTATCTGCTTTGCCTTTGTGGTCAAAAAGAAGGCAGCTGTTACTTTGTTCCATGGTTGCTGACTTCAAACAATGATAGGGGAGATTTGGACTTTAGAGTCTCTCTGTCTTTGATTGATTGATTTATACACTAGTTTTATATTTATTGAGAACCTGCTGTGTCCCAGGCACATGGTGTATACAAAATAGTCCTAGTCTTTGACTTCATGGGACTCGAAGCTTACAGTCTAGTTGGGGAGGTAAACATGTAGCCAGGCAGTGGTTTCAGATGTGCTATGAGTGGATGAATCGGGGCTTCAGGAGCACGGAGAGGAACTCCCAACTCAGGCCTGAGAATCAGGGAAGACTTCAGAAGGAAGATAAGCTTAAGCTGGCGTTCACTGGATGAGTAGGAGTTAGCCAAGCGAAGAGAGTGGAGACATGTTCTGGACAAAGGGAACAGAATACGTCTGGAAGCCTGAGAGAGCTTATGTTAGAGAAACATACTAAGGTACAGCTGGGGTAAGGCATATACAGGGTAGAGAATGGGCAGGTGTAAAGCCTGAGTCCTGTCCTTGCAGTTGGGATGTCAGGTGAAAGTTAGGACTGGTTAAACAGGTCTCTTCTTGCCACCTGTGTATAATGAAATATTAAGGCTCAGTGGTTAAGGGCCCAGATTTTGGGTTCACACTGTTGCTCAGTAACTTTGTGACAATGTTAAGAATCAGGTTTTTTTTTTTTTTTTTTCCGTATGGAAAAAATCTTATGTTATAACAGTATCTATTGGTATGTGGTTGCTTTGCATATCAAGTGGAATTTATTTAAATACTGCATAGCACAGTGGCTGCATGCAGCAAACACCCAAAAAATGATAAGGCAAGAGGAACAAAGGGGTCCTGCATTCTGTTTTCTCCGTGGTGCGGAAAGTGCCATTCCTTCTGAAGCCCAAGTATCTGCTGCCTCCATTGACAGGTTGAGGTCAGTTCACCATAAGGCCAAGAGGGTTTATTCACAGTTTGTGGCACCTTATTAGCAGGATAGAGGGCAACAAGCTGGATCTAAAATTCCTAAGGTATGCTCTCCTCAAGTGAAATCAGAAATGCTAGATGTTCTGGGGCAGGAGTGTTCTATTCTCAAATAAATTTGGCAGAGTGTTAAAGATAAATCAGTTTCTTTACTGCATGAGTTTTCAGAGCCATTAATACAGCCCTGTGCATTGTAAATTTCTAAGAATTGGATAAAGTATGCTGTTTTTTCCAAACTTATTTAGCCAGAGACCCTAATGACCATGGGCTAAGAAGGAACAGGCCAGAGATGATGCCTCTTGGGACAGTTAAGAAAAGATAGAACAGGCTTGAATAGGCTCTCCATCATTAGGAGTGTTCTCCTGAGGAATGGTCCTTTAGCCATGTTTTTTAAAATCTACATTGTGAGTAGTTCCACTCTGGGCTACGTTGGCTTGACATGTCATATGTTGTTGAAATACCTTTCTCTGTTGTCTTTAGGGGATGTCATTAGAAAGTGATTCTATGTTTATTTGACTCTAATTCCCTTCTCCCATTTGCTAAATGAATCTTCACCCAATTTTTATAGTACTTGGAGTGTAAAAAATGTATTTTAACTTATGTATTTTTTAAAATTAAACTTTTTCATTTTTAAATAATTGTAGATTTGTCTGCAGTTATATCAGATAATTCAGAGAGGTTATCTTATGCCCTTTATTTAGTTTTCCCTTTTTGCAAAATTACAGTATAATGTCACAACCAGGATACTGACATTGATTGACACTGTAAAATGCAGATTTCCATCACCACAAGGACCCCTAACATTGCCTTTTTATAGCCATACCTAGCATTCCCCACTTCTCTGATCCCTGGTAGCCACTAATCTGTTCTCCATTTCTATAAATTTGTCATTTTAAGAACATTATATAAATGTACTCATACAGTATCCCCTTTTTGGGATTGGTTGTTCTTGCTCAGCATAATTCCCTGGACCTTCATCCAAGTTGTATCAATTTAGCTAAGGAGTACTTCATGGTATGGATGTACCACGTTTGGTTTAGCCATTGGCTAGTTGATGGACATCTGAGTTGTTTTCAGTTTTTGTCTATTAGGAATAAAACTGGTGTAAACATTTGTGTACAGATTTTTGAGTGAACATACTTTTCCTTGCTCTGTGATAAATGCCAAGGAGTGCAATTGCTGGTTTGCATGGGAATTGCGTGTTTACTTTTATAAGAAACTGGCAAACTGTTTCCCAGAGTGGCTGTACCATTATATGGTTTTACCAGCAATGTATGAGTGGTCTAGTTTCTCTAAATCCTTGGCAGCATTTGTCATTGTCTGGACTTCTTTTTTTTCTGAGACAGGGTCTCACTTTATCACCCAAGCTGGAGCACAGTGACATGAACACAGCTCCCTGCAGCCTCAATCTCCCAGGCTTAAGTGATCCTCCCACCTCAGCCTCCCAAGTAGCTGGGACTACAGGCGTGTGCCACCACACCCGGCTAATTTTTGTACTTTTTGTAGAGATGGGTTTCACCACGTTGTCCAGCTGCTTCTTGAACTCCTGGGTTCAAGCAAGCTTTCTGCCTTGGCCTCCCAAAGTGCTGGGATTCTTTTTTTTTTTTTTTTTTTTTTTGAGAACTAAGTTGAAGGAAAAACAATGTCTGGCAGGAGCAAGAGCCCTGATGACCTCTTGTTTCCCACAGTTCTGCTGTTGCCTGTTTGGGGGAGAGGAATGTGGCACTCCTCTCTCCAGGATGGTGGCCTTAAAGTGTATGAAAAGTCATTCCTAGTCTCCACTTTGGTTTCTTCTGTTTGATTTGGAATTTGGGTTACATCATCTTTGCCAACCCCTTCTTCTTCCACACCCTTTGTAAAATGGGTCAGAAGCAGGACTTCTTTTCTTCTTAAACTGAGCAAGTAGGGGAAGTGGCATACAAATCGAACTATTCTGTTTTGTTTACCTATTCTCTTTAAAACTGCCCATCTGTTGTCCATTTGTTTTCTTTTGAAAAGTTAATCTGAAATCCACCCCCCCGGCCCCTGAACGACAGGGTCTCACTGTGTTGCACAAGCTGGAGTGCAGTGGCACTATCACAATCACGAGCCTTGCTCAAGTGATTGCCTCTTGCAATCACTTGAACTGAGCCTTGCCCAGTTCAGCCTCTTGAGTAGCTGGGACTACAGGCACATGCCACCATGCCTGCCTAATTAAATTTTTTTATTAATTAATTTTTTTTAGAGACAGTCTCATTATTTTGCCCAGGCTGGTCTTGAACTTCTGGACTCAAGCGATTCTCCCACGTCGGCCTCCCAAAGTGCTGGGATTATAGGCATGAGCCAATGCACCAGGCCTGAAATCCCTTTAACATATTTTTTTCCCCTTGGCTATTTATTTATGGCTTTTGAACATCTTAATTAGACTGGATTGGAGTAACTATAAGTTAACTTAAAAAAATGTCGAAAGGCATAGGGGTATTATTTTGGGTAACGTATCCCTAAAATATTTTGGTGGCAGTGCTGTATTTCATTAACATAAAGTATAAACTCTATTCCACCTGCTTTTTTTTTAAGAGGACATGAAAAAAGAAATATCTCTCATATAGAAGTTTTGGAAGTATTTGACCCACTTAGTCACAAATTATCTTCAACTCAGATATTCTGCAATATGGAAACTATTGTTCTTTTGCAGTAGGCCATACTCATTTTGCATGACCAGTCTGTTTAATGCTTTTCTAGTTTGCCAGTCTCTAGTACCTAACTTGATTCAGCAGTATGACCTGTGCCATAGTCACTTTTCAGACGGATATTCATGCTGAAATTTGTGTTCAGCTTCTTAAGGCAACATCAGCCTTGGCCAGTGGTTTTCAGACTTAGTGCCTGTTTAAAACAATTTTTTTTTTCATGGAACCCATAATGTAGTAATGTTTTGGGATTGTATTTTGGGAGTTCATAGTTAAACCTATAATAGTGTAAACCTAATCACTGATTTCAGTGAGGCTGTTTTGATGAACACAAATTAGAAATAGTAGGGGAGATTTGGTTTTTGCTCTGGTTGCATGGAATAGAGAGACTCCCGATTCACCAGTTAAGCAGTACACATATCACAGTTTTTAAAATAACTAGTCTTGCAATCTCAGGATGCTTTCCAAGTAAATAGAGACGGTAGGGGAAGCTTTATTCTGAGATCTGCACAAAAGTGGGTTATCCTGGCAGCACAGTGTACCTCGTAGTTGTTCTCTGATGTGTAAAACTTGGTGTAACACATCTGAGTGTGTGTGTTGGTGTTTTATTCCAGTAGTTAAAATAGACATAAGACAAATTCATATAAAATGTTTGTAGACTGCAATGTCTTCTGAAGAATGCTGTCAGAAAATCATTATTCTAGGTCCCCAGGTTTACATCCCTCTGTGAGACGCTCTTGTACCAGTTGTTGGGTAATTTGAACAGTTGCCTTTGTGGTACCATTAGGAGTCTCAACTTTTAAGGATCACTTACAGTTCTGTGCATAGGTGATTTTCAAAGCACCTGGGTGAAGTTACATGGCTCTAGAAAATTGAGCTTTAGAAAACAGCAATAACACTGAAACAATCTTTGGGAGTGAGTTATCAGAGAACGTGCATTGTTGCCAAGGATGCTGGCATAAATTCTGGGAACCTCAAAATAAAAGAATCCATATTTAAGCACTTCACAATTTACCTGAACCGAACACTGGAGTCAGTTCCTACCTGTTTCCACTAATCTCTGGGTAGGGGCTGGGGGCAGGCTCTGGCCCTGGGTGTGCGTTTTCAGGAGGCAGTTCTGGCTGACTTGAACTTGTTACCTGAGCTGCATTTACATTCTACTCTCTCCTCATCTGCAACTGCCCCAGTTTCTTCTGTAGTTAGGATAGGCGAGTCAAATGACCTTAGGCAAAGAAGCTGTTGAACATACACCAGGCTCGGTGTAACTTTTCATTGTTCTAAAAAGATACTCTTTTTCCAGTCTCTGGGATTTAGCCACCCTTGGACCAGGGCAATTAGGTATATACCCTGGAGAGGGGAGGAAGGTAAGTGATGGGGGGGAGTAGGAGAGTAGCATGAAAGGGACATTGTGGACATTAAGAAGCCAGGAAATCTAATCAAAATATGGAATGAATAGGGAGAACTCTTCTTTTTTTCATAGTTATAAAATAGTTACAGAGAAAAATAAAGACTTTAGTAAAAGGTTACTGTAAAAACTTTAGGTTTCATTTCATTGGAAACGCTGTTAATATCTTTGTTAAAATAGATGAAAAATGTAGCTACAATCTGAAGGATAAAAGATTTTTGTTCCCTCTCTTATCCCCTCTGCTTTCTAAAATGCTTTTTTTTTTTAATAGAATATAAGAATTTGGATTGGTATATATGGGGTATATCATTGTCTAAATCTTTACGTTACTGTGTTTTATTTATTTTTTTCCCTCTTGATAGACCACTTTCCCCAGCTCTTTGAGGAAAGAGGGGCAAAGAGGGGAAAGAAGGATGCTTGGTGTGTGTGTGTGTGTGTGTGTGTGTGTGTGTGTGTGTGTTTTGTAGCAGTAGTAGTAGTGGCAGTAGGTAAAAGAGTGTTCACTGGGTTATTTTCCTCATCTTGTTTCTTAGGAGAAGGTTTTTCTTATTTATTTTTGAGACAGTGTCTTGCTCTGTCATCCAAGCTGGAGTGCAGTGGTTCAAACACAGCTCACCGCAGCCTCGATATCCTGGGCTCAAGAGATCCTCCTGTGTCAGCCTCTCGGGAGCTGGGACTACAATCACATGCCACCATGCCGAATTTTTTTTTTTCCTAGAGATGGGGTCTCACTTTGTTGCCTAGGCCAGTCTTAAACTCCTGGGCTCAAGCAGTTCTTCCACCTTAGCCTCCCCAAGTAGTGGGGTTACATATGCGAGCTGGTCTTCCCTTCCCTTCCTCTCCTTTCCCTTCCTTTCCCCCTTCCCTTCCCTCTTCCCTTCCCCCTTCCTCTTCCCTTTTGACAGGGCCTCACTTTGTCAGGCTGATGTGCAGTGGCATGATCTCAACTCATTGCAACCTGTGCCACCCAGGCTCAAGTGATCCTCCCACCTCAGCCTCCCAAGTGGCTAAGACTACAGGCATGGGCTGCCCCACCTGGCTAATTTCTGTATTTTTTGTAGAGATGGGGTTTCACCATGTTGCCCAGGCTGGTCTTGAACTCCTGAGCTCAAGTCATCCACCTGCCTTGGCCTCCCAAAGTGCTGGAATTATGGGTGTGAACCACTGTGCCCAACCCAAGGTTTTTCTTTTTTTGAAAGCATTATCACTTGGTGAACATTGGCCAGCAAGTGTCTTGGTTTCTTTAGATATGTGTAGATGCACAGGACGTCCTCTTAGAGGTAGGAAGCAGGCATGTACACATGTCCTGAGCTGTACTTACAGCCTCACCAGCCTTTGGCAAGGGTTTGAGACAGATGTGCTTAGTTCCTGCTAAGAAGGCAAATGTGTCTATTTCTGCTGATCCCTGGGCCCTGGAGTCTCAGGAGACATTTATGGACATTGACTGGGATTAGTAGGTATATCCACCAGACAGGATCTGGTGTAGACAGATTGACTCAAACAGACTCTGGGGAAATTTATTGAGACCTTGCCCTCATTGATTGCTGCCTAGAGGATCTTGGGGCTGGAGGACTCTTGGCAGCCATCTAACCATGTGTCCTAACCTAGGAGAAGTTTCTTCTGTAGCACCTCCGACAGCTAGGTATCTACTTTTTGCTTCACTATTCCCAGTGATGAGAAAAGCAAAAGCCCCCAAAAGCCCTGTCTTCTTTTGAACTGGGATCTGCTTCTCACTCTCCATTTCTTCTTGCATAGTCTACTGGAATATCACAGAACAATTTTTCTCCCTCCTATCCATGAGTGCAGTTCAAGTATTTGAAGAAGGTTATCATACTTTTCTTTGGTCTTATAGTCCTCAGGCTAAATAGGCTCACATCCTGGAGTCTCAGTCCTTGGAAGATGTTGTTTTCAGACTTATCACTATTCTGATCACCTTGCTTTGGAATCACCCTACTTTGTCCATGAACCTTTTAAACAACTGTTGGTGTTTGGGGATCACACATGCTTGGCGAACACCCTTGAACTGAATTAAACAGACTTTCTCAGTCTTTAATGGGCTCCTGTGGATTGTGCCTTTTGAAGAGGGTATGGAGCCTGTGGCATCACAGCATCTGTGTTCCTCCAGGCAGGGTGGGGAACATCAAGCTAAGTGCAACCTGCCTGGTGAAGAATGCTACCTATGCATTGCTTGGACAAAAGGTTTTGTTATTGTTGTTTTTTAAATTTTGGAAGTATCCCTGATATTTGCATTACTAAAACAATAATAAAACATAGGAAAGAAAAAGCGAACATCACCTAATCCTATCAATTTAGATATAATCATTGGAAAAAAAATCAGTATTTTTCATATTTTTCTGTGCTAACTTACATAAAATATATGATATATTTTAAAAAATGGAATCATGAATACTATTTTGTGGTATACTTTTAAAATTTAATTTTTGAGGTCAAAGCTTTCTAGGGCAGTAGAAAGCATGATACTCCATTTACCCACTGTAGAGGAGTACTGTAGTTTATCTAACCATGTCCCTTATTGTCAGA
Source organism: Homo sapiens (assembly GCF_000001405.40). Classification (NCBI taxonomy): domain Eukaryota; kingdom Metazoa; phylum Chordata; class Mammalia; order Primates; family Hominidae; genus Homo; species Homo sapiens. Next base: position 25,295,387 of record NC_000006.12, read on the forward strand.
TAATTTAGGTTATTTCCAATATTTTGCCTTATAACTGTCCATGTCCTCATATTTATTTCTCTTGGATAAATTCGTGGAAGTGGAATCATTGCCATCATTGCCTAATAGGCATTTTGAAGGATGCTTTTTTTTTCACCTGATTGTTATTTAGGAAGTCTCAATAGAGAATAAATCCTCCACCTTGTCAATTTCATTGTCTTAAACAAGAGTCTACTTGGCAGAATGGCTTGTTCTCTTTGCTTGGATCCGTGTATTTCTTAGACCAGTGCTCCTTGGACCCTAGCTCCTGAGGCAAACCTTTTTCATGCAATTTAGGGTTCTTTCAGATCTCCCTGTGTGGAAGTGTTGTCTTCTACTACAGTATGTTTGCTGGAATGAGAAAGTCCTGTGACTTCACTTGTGGTTTCAGAGTCACAGCTTCCAAGTATCATTGTCTTGGCAGAATCAGCCATAGCTTTTTCCTTGGCTGAATCCTAGGTAGGTGTGAGCCTGTATTATATGATTCAGATCTTTGCCCTTGTCGTGGGACTTTCTTACCTTGGGCCTTTGAATGCTCTCATAAATGGTAGTTGAGTAGATTCACAAATGATAAGGCACATGGCACTTTCATTAGATGAAATGTAATTAACAAGAACCATAAGCTAATATGCATGTAGAACTAGTCCAATGTCTTAGAAGATAATTTAGTATCATAATGAAAGGAGACATTGTTTTTCTTCCCAGACAGTTCTGAAGGCAGTTGATTTTATCTGTATAGCCAACAACAATTTCTTAAGTCTCATGGTCCTTCCCCACTCCACTAGAAGCTGCAGAGTAGTCCTTCTCATTCTCATTTACTGTCCCAATTTCCTGACCCTTTCACTATCTCCCTGTCCTGGGAGAGGGGTGTCCAGGTGATGAGGACCTATGGCCTCTTTTCTGCCATGAGGAGCTCCTTGTGGAGCCCTGTCCTCCTTGCTGAGGCCCTCAAGAGTGCAGCCTGCTTTTCTGTGTCCTTTCAAAGCTACCATTGTGTACTATGTTGCTTGTGGCTGTCTTTTCTTTCAAGCCTGGCAGATAGGATGATATTCCTCAGGGACCTCCTTATTTGCTGTCTCAGAAAACAAGCACAGAGGACTTTCTTAGTTACCCTGTAGAACAGACAAAGAAAATCAAGACGCCCAGATGCGGGGAAGTGACTGAGAACCTTGCAAGGTTCTTTTAAGGCAATCTCTCTGCTCTTTGATGCCTAACCTTATGGGGCACAGCCACACTCACTTGCAGAATCTGAGCTAAGGTGTGGCCAGGAGAAGTCCAGGCCAGTGAATGTTATCAGTGGTCATTTCTTGGTTTCCTGAATCCATCTGTCTTAAATCAGCTGTCACTAGCAACCAAAAAAAGATCTTATCATCTGTCATAGGCATGACCTGAAGAGAAGCAGCTGTGCTTTGTTTTTTGCTAAGTCTTGGGCAGTTCAGTTTGGCACTTAGAGTATTCCAGCTCCTTTTCTTATAAGAATATCTATCTTTATCTATCTATCTATCTATCTATCTATCTATCTATCTATCTTTAACTAACTAACTAACTAACTAACTAACTAAAGCATTTTAAAACGTGGCATCTCGCTTTGTTGCTCAGGCTGGTCTCCAACTGTTGGACTCAAGCACTCCTCCTATCTTGGCCTCCTGAGTGTCTGAGACTACAGGCACAGGCCACCATGCCCAGCCTCAGCTCCTTTTCTTTTAAATCTCTTGGTCCAATTTATATTCTTTGCCAGCATCCTTGGGACAGCACAAATGTTGAAGTTTGGGGAAACATTTTGTACAACTTTGTTCACTGAATCACAGTCACTGCTTGTGCTGTTGATAATCAAAACTAGGCTGCACAGAGTGACGTAGTCACATATTTGGCTTGGGTGTACAGATGTTTCCCTTCAAGCATCTTGGATGTCTTGCTCCTTATCAGAATTTTATCTCCCCCAAATTCATTGTTTGTGAATTAACTGTAAAGTTCTGGGAGCGATTTCCTTTTCAACAGTTTGCCTTTCTAGAAAAAAACTTTTGGAGTTTAAATAGCACTTAACCCTCTATCATTTTACTCTCTCTGAAGTGGTCTCTGTGGAGAACATGTTGGGTCTTCTCTGTTCAATATCTCTCTCTCTCTTTCTTGGCAAAGCCTGGATGCGAGAAGTTGGTCCAATCTTTCCTGTCCAGGGTTGCTTGTTAATACAGCATCTGGAGCAAAGGAAAGGCTATTAGCACCTTGTCACTTGGAGTTTCTTAAGCATTGTTCCATTTATGTGTTCTTTCTGCAGAGATTTAATGAAAGTGGCATCTGTCTTTACACCTGACATATGCAGGTTGTCCGCAGAACTGAACAAGTGGTGTCAGCAACACTGTATATGCAGGAAGGCTTCATGCTCACGTCGTTTTTTCTGTGTTCTCTGGGAGTAGCCAACTTCTTTATTCATCAGAGTAGGGCTTTACATTTTAATATTCTAGAGAGAGATGCTTGTGGTGATATATTTAGCCTTAAATTCAGGAATGGCTTCTTTTTTCAATGTCTTTACATTTTACGCCTCCCATTTTCTGTGTTAATAGGTAAGTGTGCCTACATTTAAATTCTGAAATGGCATTTGCTAACATTTAATCTTGGCCAAGTTATTTAACTTCTCTGTGCCTTACTTTCTTCATCTGTAAAATGGGTGTAATAACAAAAAACTACATTGTAGCTTTGTTTTGAAAATTAAGTGGGATATTACATATAAAATATTTCATAATAGTGCCTGGCACATAGTAAGTCATGAGTAAGTCTTAGCTGTTATTGTTAGGGGTAGTGTCGTGATAATGCTAAATGCTTTGATTAAAAGAATCTAATTGTATATTTGAGTCACAGATTATTCAGATATATTTTATATAAATATTTCAAAAGAAATACCTCAACTTTGCATGTCTTCCTGGCCCTGTACAAGGTACATGTTGTTATGTTTTCTCTGCTCAGAGCTATTTTAAGCCAGTACAGACTGTCTACAGAAATGGGTTTAGAATGTTTTTTCACTCTGCTGTTCTTAAAGAGGGTACACTGCTTTTGAGAAATCTTTTTTAAAGAAAGGGTTCAAGTTCAGTGTTGAGAAATTTGTCTCTGAGGACAACGCTGTGCATTTCCAATACGTATCTGTTTTTCATCTTGCTTTCATTGCAGATCTGCATGTATTTAGATATATGCTCAAGTCCCTCTTTCACTTCCCAGTTACTTAGAGTGAAAAAAAGAAAACATCAGTAGTTGGTGCCTGTTCATTCACTTAGGGCTTTCTTGGTCCTTTCAGGGCACTGCTGTCTGTTGCTGTTGCCTCACTCAGTTTGCTTCCTCTTGGATTTCAGTTATGATTGCTTTTTTTTTTTTTTTTGAGACGGAGTTTTGCTCTTGTTGCCTGGGCTGGAGTGCAATGGCGCGATCTCGGCTCACCGCAACCTCCGCCTCCTGGGTTCAAGCGATTCTCCTGCTTCAAATTCCCGAGTAGCTAGTATTACAGGTGTGTGCCACCATGCCCAGCTTATTTTGTATTTTTAGTGGAGACAGGGTTTCTCCATGTTTCAGGGTGGTCTCGAACTCCTGACCTCAGGTGATCTGCCCGCCTCAGCCTCCCAAAGTGCTGGGATTACAGGTGTGAGCCACTGCGCTTGGCCGATTGCTTTTATTTTATAGCCGGTCCTTGATCGGGGGTGCAGGGTGCATTATCTGAGTTCATTGGTGTGTGTGGCTCTGTGTCTCCATAGTCAGAAGGATTCCTGGGCATGCTGGATTCTTTTTTTTTTTTTTTTTTGGGAAAGAGTCTCACTCTGTTGTCCAGGCTGGAGTGCAGTGGTGCAATCTTAGCTCACTGCAACTTCTGCCTCCCGGGCTCAAGGGATTCTCCTGCCTCAGCCTCCTGAATAGCTGGGATTACAGGTGCCTGCCACCATACCCAGCTAATTTTTTGTATTTTTAGTAGAGACGGGGTTTTACCATGTTGGCCAGGCTGGTCTCAAAGTCCTGACCTCAGGTGATCTGCCCGCCTCGGCCTCCCAAAGTGCTGGGATTACAGGCCTAAGTCACAGCACCCGGCCCATGCTGGGTTCTTAATCTCCAGGCTGTGCTGGACTCTCACCTTCTAACCAACCTTGAGGTATTTCAGTCCCAGCACTATTGACATTTTGGTCAAAACAATTGTTGTGGGGGCTGTCCTGTGCATGATAGGATGTTTACCAGCATCTGTGGCCCCTCCCCACTAGATCCTGGCACCATCACCCACTCTTCCCACAGTTGGGATAATTAAAAATGTCTCCAGAGGCTGGGCACGGTGGCTCATGCCTGTAATTCCAGCACTTTGGGAGGCCGAGGCGAGCGGATCACCTGAGGTCAGGAGTTTTTGAGACCAGCCTGGCCAACATGGCGAAAACCCATCTCTACTAAAAATAGAAAAATTAGCTGGGTGTGGTGGCGGGTGCCTGTAATCCTAGCTACTTGGGAGGCTGAGGCATGAGAATTGCTTGAAACTGGGAGGTAGAGGTTGCAGTGAGCTGAGATTGTGCCACTGCACTCCAGCCTGGGGCGACAGAGTGAGACTCCACCTCAAAAAAAAAAAAAAAAAAGTTTCCAAACATTGTCACATGTCCTTTGGATTGTAGAATTGGCCCCCCCACTGAGAATCATTGGTTTAGATCAGTGGGTTTCAAATGTCAGAGAGCAGGTGTGTATTTTATCATATTTAGCTTCTAGAGTTATGTCTAAGTCTCGAAATTTACAGTTTTATGATATAGCCATTGTTGATTTATCTAAAAGTCTATATGCATTTAAAATGCTTATTTTTGAAATATTTAGATAACCAAATCTGTATGTAACAAAAATAACAAATCCCACCACATAGCAATTTGTCTTGTTTTAAGATACCTAAAAGATCAGACCAGTGGTTCTCAATATTTGGTCCTGAGAAACAGCAACATTAACATCACCTGATAACTTATCAAAAATGCAAAAGCAGGCCAAGCGTGGTGGCTCATGCCTGTAATCCCAGCAGTTTGGAAGGCCAAGGAGGGAGGATCACTTGAGGCCAGGAGTTCGAGACCAGCCTGGCCAACATGGCAAACTCCTGTCTCTGCTAAAATATGGAGGCACACACTTGTAATCCCAGCTATTTGGGAGGCTAAGGCATGAGAGTCACTTGAACTCGGGAGGTAGAGGTTGCAGTGGGCTGAGATCGTGCTACTGCACTCCAGCCTGGGTGACAGAGTGAAACTTTTCCTCAAAACCAAACAAAACAAAAAAGCAAAATCAAAGCATAGGAGACCTATCTAGACCTACTAAATCAGAAACTCTGGCAGTGGAGCCCTGCGATCTGTTTTAACAAGCCCTTCAGGTCATTTTGATGCACACTGAAGTTTGAGAAACACTTGGTTAGTTACTTAGGTAACTAGGTAACTAAGTATATTACTAAGTTACTTAGATAATTAAGTTAGCTCCAGTTAGAGACCCATAGAATAAACCTTATTGAGAAATAAGTATAACCTGCTATATACAGAACTTTGAAATCTGCTTAGGAAAATGACTTTTACCAGACAGATCATGCTAAGTGTGTGCTGGTCATATTGGCTTCCCTGCAAGAGCCTGCCATGTCCACAGCTTTCTTTACAGGATTTCCTTTTGTTAGTATCCCCAAGCTTGGTGCATGCAACTTCACAGTTTGGTGGCCATAGCTGCTTGAACTAGGTATGCTTATGCCTGACTCCCAAGGTACGCATCGATAGGCTAACCAGCAGCATGTATTGGGAAGAGATTGATCCTCTTGGGAGTTTGAGACAGAGACAAAGAAATGGGAAGACAGCAAAAGGCATGAGGAATAAAAGCCCTTAGTTAAGCAGAAACCATGAGGAGATGAAGAGGCTCTTAATGAGCCAGTGGTAACAAGAACAATAGGAGGTGGAATTGGGTGACAGAGCACAGGATGGCTGCTTTGGAAAGGGTGACTTTTAGAATCGAAGTTGAGTCAATGTACTTAAACTAATATGTGCACAGTATGTTTTAGTTTTCTAGAAGGCCCAACTGGGCAGCTGCTCATAGGGGTTCCTGTTTTGTACTTCCCTATTTTGCTTGCTTCTCTAGGGAGCCTCATGTTAAATCATCATTAACTGAGGCAATTTCATAATATGTCTATTCCTTGTTGCCTGGATGAACCCATTGAATATATAACTATATTAGAAGACCAAGTGGTTTCAGATGGGTTGCAGGTGGGTTTCATGGCATGCTGCTTCGTTGAAGCAGTGACTCTCAGCCTGGCTGTGCCTCAGAAACACCTGGGTAGCCTCTGCCTCTTTATTTAAAAACTTTCTGTATGTGAGATTCTCACGGGCAGTTGAAGTCTGTATTACAGGAGAGAATGGGAGATAGAAGCTGTTACTTTCAGCTTGTTGATGGGTTGACTTTCCCAAAATAAAGCTGCATAGGGCGTACTTCAGAAAACTTCAGGCCTTACTTCATTCATTTCCTTAGATCAGACCAAATAAGCCAGCTCACCATATTTATTCCAGAGATGTGTTGCTTTGCCTCCAATAACATTTTCCTTAACATTTCCTGTTAGAGCCTCTGGGTACTATTTCTTTTGAGGGAGATGCTAAGAGTTTGAAAAGCCTTAAAAAAATCATTAAAAATACATGGAATAGAGTGTTGAAATCAGCATTGTAAATCATTTTCTGAAAATTCAGTAAGTCTAAAGAAGTTTTTCTGTTTTGAATGATCGGCACTGACCCTATCCAGTTGGTCAGTGCCTCCCTTATCCTGCTAGTCACCTCTTCCTCCTGTCTTTCCTATTAGAACCAAGGAAAGTATACAAGTACCTCCATGCAGCAAATCCACTGGATTCTCTGACACAAATCAATCCAGAGGGGAATGAGTGAAGATACAGAATACTTTACATTGTTGCTCAGATGGTTGGCTGAGTTCCATTAGGGTAATATATTCTGGGAATGTGGTCCAGTGCTTGGTTTCAAGGCCAGCTTAAAAGATTTGGGGCCTGACCAAGAGCATAATCAGGATTCTCTTATTCTCCAACCTAGTATCCTTGAGGAGATTGTAAACTACTCGAGAGTCCAGGACTGTTTACCTATTGTACTTTTATGTTAAGTACCTCTACCCCTAAAAGCAATCTCTTTGTGATATACACAGAATATTTGCCCAGTAAGTCACTCAGCCTTGAGTACAAATTTTAAGCCCGAGCTGCTTTCCTCAGGGGCCCAGCCAGTCTCTTTACTCAGCAGCCTTATCTGACATAGCCCATCTTTAATTTAGCTTTGTTCACGATGCAGGGATCAATAACAGCGATGCTGGGAGGGAGGGAGAATGGCCAACTGCAAACAGCCGCCCATCTCAGCACTTGAACTGAACTCTACTTTGGTCAGGATGATTAGTGCAGTCTGGAGAGCCATTAAGTGCTCTCTGACTAGTTCATCTGAGTTCTGCTTCCCACTACACTCAATGACTAACCCAGGAGATTACAGATGCTTGAGGAGAAAGAGTGTCGTGTCTCCCTGTGTGGTACTGAGTAGTGTTTGTACCACTGTCTCAGGAATGTGAATTACAGTGCAAATGAGCTGCCTCTCTTGTTTCCTTTTCTGCACGTCATTTTAGAGAGAGTGATTTATTTTCTGTTTGCGAAGGCTTGGTCTCATCATTTAGATGAGAGAGAAATTGCATGTACTTTCAACTTTTGGCTGGTTATAGGCATCTCCTTTTTTTTTTTTTCCATTGTGAGAGTTGTTTATGCTGATTGAATGAAAAGATTCGTTTTCTTAGGCTTTCAGTGATGACACTCCATTTCTTCCATGTGATAAAATTATAATGCGTGATTTTATTTTATTATTTTTTAAAAGTAAAACTGTCACCTAACATTTCCTCTACAGTTGGGTAAAAAACTAAGAAAAGCATCTCATTTCCTATTGGTTCCATGAGCAACCCTTTTTAGCATACAGATCAGAAGCCTTGTGTGGCTCTAAGCCTATTTCCTCAATTGGGGAAGTAACAGACTCTGTTCCCAAGATATGAATAGGTGTGCTGGGTGAGAAGTGCTCTGTGCTCAAGGACTTTGACCCTTCATTTTCCAAACTTAAACAAGTTTCTCCATTTCTCTGTTCTTAGAACCTTTGGTATTCATATACTTAACATGTACATTTCTTGAAGCGCCAATTATCATCTCACAGGACACTGGTGTTCCAGGGAACTTGGAGAAAAGCTGACAAGTTATTTTAGTGTGTTATCTTTTACACAAAGGGACTCTGTTTTAGAATTTGCCATATCTGCTTTAACGCTGTACAAATTAGCCAACTGGAGAAATATATGTTAAATAACGGGTGAACAACACATAATCACCCAACCTACTTTTAGGAAGATTACTAAAACATTCCATTTAACAATCATTCAGCACTATCTGTTTGTAAAGGACACGTAAGTTTTAAAGGAAGAAGCTGGTGACTTGGGAATGGACTGGAATAAAGTCAGAGAAGTCCTTTGTCCAGGGAACTTCATCATTGGGTTTGACTTGAGAAGAACAAATCAGATAAGATTAGTCTCCTCATTATAAATGTTTAAGGTAATTTCAGATCACTCTGCTTTAAAAGTCTTGTGAAATGGGGTTGGGAAAGTTTCCTTAAATCATTTACACTTGTTGATTGTGTGCAGTTTATATTATGAGCCTGCTGCCCCCACAGGTGCTGAGCTGTGCTCACACATGGGAGGGGACATCACAGAAAAGAAGACGTAGATTTATTACCTATGGTTCTGAACTGGGACAATTGATAAAAATTACAGGTGCTGAGGATTGGCTTGAAACGCAGAATAATCTTCCTAACAGAGCTGTCCACTCATAGAATGTGCTTATTGTGAGGGTGGGGATAGAGGATGGGGAATTGAATTCCTTGCAGCTGGGTAAGTTCAAGTATAGATTGCTTGCCCTCTTAACTAGGATGTCCTATAGAACAGCCGTCCCCAACCTTTTTGGTACCAGGGAGTAGTTTTGTGGAAGACAATTTTTCCACAGACCGAGTGGGTAGGGGGATGGTTTTGGGATAAACTGTTCCACCTCAGATCATCAGGCATTAGATTCTCATAAGGAGTGTGCAGCCTGCTTCCCTCGCATGTGCAGTTCACAGTAGGGTTCACGCTCCTATGAGAATCAAATGCCTTGGCTGATCTGACAGGAGGCAGAACTCAGGTGGTAATGTTTGGTCACCTGCCGCTCACCTCCTGCTGTGCGGTCTGGTTCCTAACAGGCCACAGACTGGTACTGGTCCACAGCCCAGGGGTTGGGGACACCTGCTATAGAACATTCAAGTAGGAAAATACTTCCTTTGGTCTAAGATTCTGAAATTTACAATGTTCCCTGCTCATATATCAAATGATGTATTAGCTAGAGCTTATTGAATGTCACAGTTTTACTGTCAAGAACTTAAAACTTCTATTATGAGGCAGAGCATTTGGTAAGGATAGTTGAGTCCCTCAGTGACTGTTTGGATTGGTTCTATGTCCTAGGATTGAGTACATGATATCATTTTGATGAGGTTAAAATCCAATTAGGAGGTCTGTCCCTTTGGCTGCTGGCTGGGTTTGTTACTTTTTAGTTCCAGTAGAGATATGTGAAGCTTTTCTGAACATGTTTAGCAAGGTTTGATTTTGGCATTTCTGAATATAACTGTGAGAAGAATTATCTTCCTGCTGTCCTGGTGGCAGAAGACATTGGACTTTGTTTGCTTGTCTCTTTGGGGGCAGATACACGGGCATTTAAAGAGCCATTCTAATTTTAGGAACTTGAGAATCAGGAGTCCTGAGGGTTAGTGCTAATACTTTAAAAGGTTCTTAGGTCTGCAATTTTAGTTAATAGTGTGGGGCTGAAAAAGCCTTTTTCCAGGAATATTGTGAGAGTAAGTGGGAAGTAGAGCTTTTAGAATTTTAGGAGAAAAGGGCATGGCTATTTCAGTTAATAATACATGAAGAGTTTTCTCCTTTCAGAGTCCTCCTTTCTTTGGGTTTCAAAAGGTAAGACAATCCACGGGTTTTTTAGTTTGTCTTTCAGGTGAATTGTAAAGTTTTCCTGTAAATACTGTCATTGCACTGACATGGATATTGCTGAGCAGATAAAACAAATAGCAAGTTGAGGAGGCAGTTAATTCACACTCTTCCTTCTCTAATATGGTCTGCGGCTCTAAGAATTGTTGTCTCATCCATGGCTTTTAGACCCTTAAATTTTAGTGAGTTTCATCACACGGAAACTATTGATAATTTCTTCTTCTGAAGTTTTTTGTAAGTGGTCCCTGCTAGCTAATGGTGCACAAAATGAAGCAATACAACATTTCTCTTATGGGGACTGGGAGAGAACTGACATCCTTTATAAATATGTAGCTGATATATAGGTTACCAGCCTAAGGGCTGCCTGGTGGGGAAAGTGAGGCCTGTGCCTGTCTCTACCACTGAAGACATGTTCATCAAGCCAATATATGCCTCAGACATTAAAAATATCCTTTTTTTCATTTTAAAATAATTGCCATTAAGTATACATAACATAAAATTTACCATTTTAACCACTATTAATAAATATATGTTCAGCGGCATGAAGTATATTCTCAATGTTATGCAACGTATCCATTTCCAGAACTTTTTCATCCCAAACAGAAACTGTATCAAACACTGAGTCCTCATTCCACCTCCCCATCGCCCCTGACAATCACTAATCTACTTTCTGTTTCCATAGAAACAGAAAATATCCCTATTTGGCATGTTTTATATAAATCAATTATATAATACGTGGCCTTTTGTGTCTGGCTTGTGTCATTTAGCAGAAGGGTCCCCAACCCCAGGGCTGCGGATAGGTACTGTTCCATGACCTTTTAGGAACCTGGGTCACACAGCAGGAGGTGAGCGGCAGGTAAGTGAGCATTACCGCCTGAGTTCTACCTCCTGTCAGATCAGCGGTGGCATTAGATTCTCATAGTTACGAGAACCCTGTTGTGAACTGTGCATTCAAGAGATGTAGGCTGTGTGCTCCATATGAGAATCTAGTTGATGCTCGATGATCTGAGGTGGAACTTTTTCATCCTGAAACCATCTCTCCTCCCCCCCACTTTTATTGAAAAGTTGTCTTCCAGGAAACCAGTCCTTGGTGCCAACAAGGTTGGGGACTGCTGACTTAGCATATGTTTTCAAGTTTCCTCTATGTTGTAGCATGTGCTAGAAGTTCATTCCTTTTTAATGCTGAATAATATTCTGTTGTATGCATATACCAATTTTTAAAAAAGTCATTCATACTTCAATGGACCTTTGAATTGTTTTTATTTTTTGGCTACTGTGAATACTATTGTGAACATTACTGTATGGCTGAACATTGCTGTATCTGAGTTCCTTCTTTCAGTTCTTTTGAGTATATACCTAGGAGTGGAATTACTGGATCATATGGCAGTTCTGTGTTTAACCACCTGTTTCCTGCAGTGCCTTGGCTTTTTTTTTTTTTTTTTTTGACGAGTCTCATTCTTGTCGCCTGGGCTGGAATGCACTGGCACGATCTCGGCTCACTGCAACCTCTGCCTCCCCAGTTCAAGTGATTCTCCTGCCTCAGCCTCTGGAGTAGCTTGGCTTACAGGCGCCTGCCACCACGCCTGGCTAATTTTTTTGTATTTTTAGTAGAGACAGGTTTTCACCATGTTGGCCAGGCTGGTCTCGAACTCCTGACCTCAGGTGATCCGCCTGCCTTGGTCTCCCAAAGTGCTGGGATTACAGCTGTGAGCCACCGCGCCCGGTCGCCCTGGTCCTTTTGAAACTGGGCAGTAATACCTGTGCTTGTAAGAGTGTTTACAAATATTTATCAGCCTTTTGGAACTTTAAATTAGAAAAGTGAACAGACTGTATTTGTTAGCACTTTATATACTTACATTATGTCATGGAACTTATTATTCGTGTTTCCTGAATGTCTGTTGTTTGGATACCTGTGTGTGTTTCCTACTCTATTAGAAATTCCTTGACCTGATCTGCAGTTCTCCATCTTTGTCCACCTTTTTTGTACCTTGTACTCAATAAATGTTTGTTGATAAATTGATTAGATGTGCAACATATTCTAAAGTATTATTTTTAAAAAAGAGATCCATTTACAAGAAGCACATTGGAATTATTTCCAGGTTTTGTTTTGCTAAAGTTAAGATCTGACATTATTTGTTAATTTCTCTTGGTTATGGAATGAAAAGTATTCCCACTGTTAAAAATAAATGTTAGATGTAGGAAGTAAACAGAGATGTATTTAGACATTGGGGAAAGGCTTCCACTGGGATCTGAAATATTGTGGGAAGAGAATCGCTATTGTTAGAGTAGTTCTGTGCCGTGTTAGTCTTTATTTTGTTTAGATACTGCTTTTTTGGGGGACCACTCTGCAGGCATCTAAATCTGAAGTGTAAGCCTCTTTTTTGATAAATGAGGGATAGCTAAAAGATGGGTTATTTTGGTTATTGGTTTTGCTTTTAATAGATAACCAGAATTTTTACCTCTTGGGAGAGAATGTTATCTACTTATTTATAGCAAGCAAGTGTTGTTACGGCAGGTGGCTGTGGATGTTGGCATTCAAATGGCACTGATAAGACTTTAAACAAGGTAGCCATCCAGTTATGCTTAGGCTAAAAAATGGCTGTGTGCAGATTAGGCTACATATTTCACATGGATATAAAGTTCTACTTTTATTAACAAACATAACAGTGCATTGCTTTTGTGTTTTTAGTTTCTCTTAGCCCTTATTTCTTGTCTCTTTTGGTGGCTTGCTGTTGTCTATAGCTGAGCTGAAACTTTCTGTGCAGGAATTAAGCTTAAAATATCAGTTTGTAGTCAGCTGTGGAGTATGATAAAACTTTGAGCAACACAGTTTCCAACAACACCCCTTTGTCACTGTGCCTGAGAAAGCTCTTATTAATAGAATTTCATGTGAGGTTCCGTGAGAAGGACTATTGTACAACCATTTTTTTTTTTTTTTTTTTTTTGAGATGGAGTCTCCCTTTGTCACCCAGACTGGAGTGCAGTGGCACGATCTCGGCTTACTGCAACCTCTGACTCCCAGATTCAAGTGATTCTCCTGCCTCAGCCTCCCGAGTAGCAGGGACTACAGGCGCGTGCCACCACACCTGGTTAATTTTTTGTATTTTTCATAGAGATGGGGTTTCACCTTGTTGGCCAGGCTGGTCTCGAACTCCTGACCTTGTGATCCACCTGCCTTGGCCTCCCAAAGTGCTGGGATTACAGGCGTGAGCCACTGTTCCGGCCATTTTTTTTTTTAACAGTGAAACAGGGAAACATAATATTTTTCTTACTTTAAAAAATCCTTCAGTTTATAATCATCAGGAGTATTGGATATCTTTTAAGTGAAGGTGGAAGTTCACTTAATAAAAAAGGAAGCTCATTTTTCCTTCTTTGAATGGTTAACATGGGAGTACCCCAAGGTGGAAGCTTTACATGACTGAGAAAGCCCATCCACTCATTGTCATAGAATCAACTATTAATTCAACAAATACTTATGGAGCCTTTGCCATGCCTATGAGCCTTGTGCTAGAAGCCAGGGATAAGTAAAATAAATTCTGCACCTGCCTCCTGCAACTTAGTCCAATTTCCAGGTCTCCCTTAGATTTTTCTCTGTTTTAATTTTTATTTTGAAAATGGAGACAGGGTCTCACTATGTTGCCCAGGCTGGTCATGAACTCCTGGGCTCAAGTGATCCTCCCGCCTAGGCCTCTTAAAGTGCTGAGATTACAGGCATGAGCCATCACACCTAGCCTCTCTCTTAAAACAACTTTATTAAAGATGTAATTCAGGCTGGGTGTGGTGGCTCACATCTGTAATCCCAGCACTTGAAAATTACTTGAAGTTGGGAGGTGGAGGTTGCAATGAGCTCAGATCATGCCACTGCACTCCAGCTTGGGTAACAGAGCAAGAGTCCCTCTCAAAAAAAAAAAAAAAAAAAAAAGTAATTCACATACCATACATTTCACCTGTTTAAAGTGTACAATTCAGTGGCTATTAGTATATTCACAGAGTTGTGCATCTATTACCAGAATCAATTTTGAGCCTTTTTTTTTTTTTAACCCCAAAAAGAAACCTCTTCCCTTTAACACTTATCCCCAGTCCACCTATCCTTCTCAGCCCTTGGCAACAGCTAGTCTACTTTCTGTCTCTATGGACCGGCCTAGTCTAGATATTTTATATAAATGGAATTATATAATATGTGGCCTTCATGTCTGGCTTATGTCATTTAGCATAATATTTTCAAAGTTCTTCCATGTTGTAGCATGGGTTAGAACTTCATTCTTCTTTTATTATGGTTGAATGATATTCCACTGTATGAATATACCACATCTTTTTTTTTTTTTTTTTTTTGGAGACAGAATCTTGCTCTGTTGCCCAGGCTAGAATGCAATGGCACGATCTCGGCTCACTGCAAGCTCCGTCTCCTGGGTTCAAGGGATTCTCCTGTCTCAGCTTCTCGAGTAGTTGGGATTACAGGTGCACGCCACCGCACCCGGCTAATTTTTGTATTTTTAGTAGAGGTGGGGCTTCACCTCCTTGGCCAGGCTGGTCTTAAACTCCTGACCTCATGATCCACCCGCCTCTGCCTCCCAAAGTGCTGGGATTACAGGAGTGAGCCACCCCGCCGGGCCACATCTTTTTTTAATCTATTCCTTCACTAATAGATTGTGGGTTGTTTCCACCTTCTCACTATGTGAGTAATGCTCTTATGAGCGTGCATACAAGTTTTTGTGTGGGCATATGTGCTCAAGTCTCTGATCCCCTAGATGTCTTGCCTATCCTACAGATCCAGGCCTACCACAAAAAAGTGTAGAAGGATCATATACCATGAGAACATAAAGGAGGGACATGTAGACTTAATTAGGGAGTCAGGGAAGGCTGCCCCTGAGGCCACCATATCCAAGCTGCGGCTTGAGAGATAGGTTGAATAGAAAAGTTTTTCAAACTGCAGCTGATCACCCATTAGTAGGTTGTGAATTCAGTTTAGTGAATCATGGCCAGCATTTTTTAGGAGGTGAACTAAAATAGAATAGTAGATGTTAGAGGACATTCCATGTGGTAAGGGTAAGTATTGTTGCATGAAATTTATTTTCAGTAGCTATATGAGCGCATCTAGCAAATTGTGACGTAAGAAGTATTCTATATTCCGGGTTGCAATCAGAAAAATATGAAAGCCACTGCTCTAGGGATTTTTTAAAAGGAGATTATTTATTAATCTGGAGCTTTAAATATGGTTCCACTAGAAGATTGGAGAGATACAGGAGAGAGAAGAACCTAGAAAGCTGAAGATCCTTTGAAAGCTTAAAGTTCTGTGATTTCTACACTTTTAAAATGATTCATTTATTCAACAAATATTAAAATATTTACCATAGGCCTAGATTGCACTAAATTCTGGGAGCATATGTAAGATTTGTGTGATTTTGTTTTTTTTGTGATCTGGCAGAGAAGATGTACAAGCAATTAAAATGACTTCTATAAAACATGGTGGGTTGAGGCCGGGTGCGGTGGCCAAGGTGGGTGGATCACCTGAGGTCAGGAGGTTGAGACCAGCCTGGCCAACATGGTGAAATTCCATCTCTACTAAAAATACAAAAAACTGGCCGGGTGTGGTGGTGGGCGCCTGTAATACCAGCCACTCGGGAGGCTGAGGCCAGAGAATTGCTTGAACCCAGGAGGCGGAGGTTGCAGTGAGCCAAGATCGTGCCACTGCACTCCAGCCTGGGTGGCAGAGCAAGACTCTTGTCTCAAAACAAAACAAAACACAAAAAAAACCATGACGGGTTGAACGCATAAGTACCTTTAGTTTTTCCAAAATGTCTCTAAAATGAAATAAAATAAATAATGAAATAAAAAAGACACAGGCACCTCAAAGGTAGGAGAATAGGAGAGGAGATCACAGCAGTTAATTGCCATCAAGATGTCTTTGGAAGGAGTCACTGACTAAGCTGACTGGCTTAGTCACTGACTGGCTAAGCAGAGGAAGCTGGACTCTAAGGATCTCAAAGAGGATATCAGTAAGTGAGCCAGTTAGCTCCATAAAACTCCAGAAAAGTTCAGGATTTGGAAGCTCTAGGTCTTGCATAAGGCTGTAGGATATATAGAGCGGGGGAAAAAAAGAGCATTAGATGGAGATCTGTAAAAGCTGTTAAGCCCCAGTTCCCACCCCCACCCATCAGATCCAGGTGCTTGCCCCTCCTCTCACCCTGAAGGTTCTATTGTGAAAAGCTGTAAATCATTAGCCATCCATCCCCCCAACCTGCAAAGGTACACACCTAATAGATATGATACACACCCATCAGAAACAATGGCACACTTAGTTTAGAAGGGAAAAGTGGGCATACCCTTGTGGGTGTGTCATGATCTTAGAGGGCCAGGGGATAAGTAGTTTGAAAGTGATCTCCAAGGTGATTTTGAAGACACAATTCTCCCATCCCACTCTCGATTACTAGCCACTGATTTTGTCTCAGGAGGCATTAGCCGCCTGTCAAACTGCTGGGACATTATTTTTCTCTTAGTCAATAAAAGTAGTTTGACATCCATCACATATAGCATTTGCTAGGTCTTGTGGGAGGCAACGATTACAACAAAAGGGTAAAATATTGTCCTGTGCTCATGGAACTTCAAATCTAGTTATTGGTGATTATATACATTCTAAATTAAACACTTTCAAAATAAGACATCTTGTCAAGGTGAAGGATTAAAAACCTTTTTGTCCTATCCTGTCTATATTTCCTCTCACCCCCTCCCATCTGGGTGTGCTCAGATAAACTTTAGAGCACCCAAGGTTTATAGAACTCCTGACAGCGACCTCACCAAAGGCTGGACTTCCTATTTGTCATAAACTTGTTGAAATTTTGTTTGACTGCTTTAGTACAGGAGTATATTCCCCAAGACAAGAGACCTGAGAGCTTTTCCCTGGTTAAGATACCAAGGATGATTTCCAAATTTTAGACATCCTTCCCCTTGTTCCACCAATTTTTTTTTTCTTCTGGGAAAATAGCCAGGATGATTGCAAAACATAAGCTTGTAAAAAGGCAAAACTCCATGGATGTAAGAAAGTAAATTTCTTGAGGGCCACACCCATGATAACGCTGGAATTTTCATTTAATTCCTAACTCATTTTTTGTTGTTTTTGTTTTTTTAAACTCAAATGTGTCTCTTTAATTGAGGTCACTTACTTGGTTGGGAGATTAATATTCTGGTGGGGAAACTTTCTTTTTAGAGTTTATATTGTTTTATTCCTTCAGTCACTCAGTATTACTAATGGGGTAGCTTTTGGAATTTTCCATCCCCCCCACTTTCAGATTACTTTTGTCTTTTTTTTTTTCCCTGAGAAATTAGTGAAAACAGTTTGAAGTCTTGCCACGTTGTAAGGAGATTTGCATTATTTAAGGAAACAGCTGGCAGATCTCTATAATGCCCCACCTCTGTTCTGCCAGTGCCTAAAATTTCCTTTGCATGACTCAGTTAAAAAAAAAAAAAAAAAAAAAAAAAACCAGAGGAGGGGAACGAGTGGAGAGAAGAAACCCTTGTTTCCCTTTCTGAGTTGTAAAAAGCTTTTATCAAGGTTTACATTTAGTCATGCTTCTGTCCTCTAGTGGATGGCAGCATGTGATGAACTCAGAGAAACTCTTCTCCCAAATTGGCCAGTAAGAACTCTGCAAAAACTGTGGATGAGCTGAGCTTACCTCCCATAATTTTATTTTGAAAATAAAAAATTTTCCCCACATAGTAAACACAGTTATCTTCACGAGTGTGGGAATGATTAAGAAAAAAAAACCAAGCTTAGATTTTGCAAGATGGGTGACCTGAAGTTTTGCCTAGAGGGAGAGAAGGGTCTCTTCCTCCTTTCACTCTGTTCTTGACAGCGCCTGCAGCCTGCCCTGGAAGAACGGGTTTCTTCTTCAGATAGAAAGGAATTGCTGGCTCTTCTGCCAGCCTTGCCCATAGGCCTGGCTGTTTCCCTGATGCACCTTCCCTGCTCAAGTTGCTATCCTTATCATTTTATATTTTTGTGCCAGTATAGATTTGGTCCTATAAGGCTGCAGATACATAGTGGGCAGAAAGATGGGGGGATGAGAGCACTGAGCCTACAACCTATTTGGAGGGACTCTGGGCAGCATGAGGATGAGGGGCAGGGCCAGGGCCACCGCTAACTAGTTAGCAGTCAGGCAAATAGTCAAGGACAGAGACCTTGTATACATTAATAGTGCCAGCATTTTAAAGATCTTTACCCAGGGAAGGCTGTATATATACAGTTATTTGGGAGAAACCAGAAATGGTGTATTTAAAAAAATTGGATGCCTTAAACTTCCAAATAAATGCGTTTTAGAGCTCACTTATCTGGAGGTTGGCCTATAACATTCCCTCTCTGATGTCTTGCCTTTCAACTGTTTTTTTTCACTTCTCAGAGTGGGCATGAGAAACCACAGGATGTAGAAACATGGAGTCAGTTTTGCTAAAGCAGGCCCTCATGAGACTTGGAAGGGAAGAGGTGATGAGTCCAATGAGAGTTTAAAATTAGATGTTCAGTTATTGATTCTATGTTTTCTTTGTAGTCAGTCTTTTTCTAATTAAAGTGGGTAAGACATTTGAATATAGGGAGATAAATGTGCTATGTTAAAGGATATAAAAAAATCCTGGAGGAAGTCTGAACTCTAAACTCTTTGGCAAGTCTTTCTGCCTGAATTTTGAAGCAAACTTAAAGATTATATATGTGGCTGGGCCTAGTGGCTTATGCTGTGGCTCCTGACCTTGTGATCCACCCACCCGCCTCGGCCTCCATCCCAGCACTTTGGGAGGCCGAGGCGGGTGGATCACGAGGTCAGGAGCCCAAGACCATCCTGGCCAACATGGTGAAACCCTGTCTCTACTAAAAATACAAAAATTAGCTGGGTGTGGTGGCACGTGCCTGTAGTCCCAGCTACTTGGGAGGCTGAGGCAGGAGAATTGCTTGAACCCGGGAGGCAGAGGTTGCAGTGAGCTGAGATCACACCACTGCACTCCAGCCTGGGCGACAGAGCAAGATTCTGTCTCAAAAAAAAAAAAAATTATATATATACACACCCCCACACACAATACATACATACACATATATACGTATACATACACATACATATATATGTATGTATACATTCACACATGCACTTATATATTCACAATGATAGTTAAGCTAGTTTTTGCCCTCCTTATCAGTATGTCACATATCCATGTTGTTTCCTGGTATATCCAGCTGTTTCCTTAATGAGACTGCCTCCATCTTTCAGATATTTACCAACAGTTGAGTATATACTTGGCTTTATTGCAGGACCTGGCTATGATACAGATGGATGTACTCTGTATAGATGCCCAAAATAACTTTTATTTTTATGATGGTTAGATTTTGCCTGCATATTTAAGGTTTTGCTGTATATACTAATTTGCTTCAGAGTCAGAAAAATAGCAGCAAACTCTGAGAGGGGACTGAAAAAGTATCACTGACTTAGGGGTTATTATAGTAGGAATGGAACTACAGAGATAGCCTTTGTCACTGCTTTGTGAGAAAGCAGTGGAGAAAAATACAATAGCTCCTATTTATTAAAAGCTTCCTATATGTCAGTACTATATGTATTATCTGTTTTAATCCTCACAGTAACTGTGTGAAGCGGGTCCTAATTATCTTCCTTTTACAGATGAAGAAAGTGAAGGCAGTCTTTAGGTGTCCTCCCAAAGTTGCAGAACATGAGAGGCAGAGTGTGGATGAGGCTCTATGTCTTAGATTATAAGGACAGTGCTCATTTCCATTGCATTAAGGAAAATATCCTAGTCTATCCTGTTTAATCCTAGGAACCCTGTGGTGTGGAGAGGTTTTCTCTTACATACCAATTCTAAGCCTCTGCTTTGATCCTTTGTCTTGGTAGGCATCTTCTCTCCTCATTTACTGCTCACTGTGTGAGGATGATAGGCACTCCTCAGTTATAAACATCGCCCTTGCAAACATAGCAGCTTGGTCGCTCTCTCTGCGGTCTACCCTAAGGGCTCCCTAAATGCCCACACATGGCGGCAGGTGCCAGACTGGGGCCCGAGCAGGGCACTGGCTCTCCACAGCCTCCTCCATACCGCTGCCTGCTTTTTTTCTCTCATCTCTTCCCCCACCCGCCATTGTTTTTTTGTGTTTCCTTCCAGGCAGATTAGTTAATTCCACCTCAGGTAATCTCTTATTCTTTCTATGACAAAATGCATTCTTAGTTTCACACTGTTGTCATATAAATGAAGGAACCCTTTCACACAAATTGGGAATTGGCAGGATTTGATTCATCAATATTCTAGGCTGTTAGTTTTCCTTTTGCTGTGCTCACACAGAACCAGATACAGCAGAATTAAAGAGTAATAGGCACCCTCTAGTCCCTTGCTACTCAAATTGTGGTCCATGACCAGCGTCATTGCCAATACTTGGGGCTTGTTAGAACTGCAAAATCTCAGCCCCTCCCAGGCCTACAGAACCAGGTCCTGTAGTCTAACAAGATCTGCAGGAGCTTATTTGCACATTACACTTGAGAAACACTGTAAGCCTACCCTATTTCTGTCCTTTTCTTCCTAAGCTAAATGTTATGACTTGGTCACAGCTGAAAGCCTTCAGTGCCATTATTAGTAATGACGTTGGTGCTGATAAGGTTTGTAGATAACATTAAACTGAAAATGTTTCTTGACGTTAAACTGAGAAATGCTTCTAATGACCAGGAAGACAGAATTGAAAGTAGCCTTAATTAATTGAAGTGATTACTGTAAAACAGGTTAAAATTGCATAGGGAACACTGCCTGCCTGGCGAAGCATTGCATGGTGTGAGGAGTGGGCACAGGCGCAGCACTCAGGTGTTTTGCGTTTGTCTAGAAACACTGTCCTTTCAGTCCTTAAGCCTCATGGACAGCTGTTTCTCGGGGACTGTCAGGGTCTCAATTTTGAATTGTCTTACTGATTTTAGATGAGATAGTTTATATTCCAGAGGGCTTTTTTTTTTTTTTGAGACGGAGTCCCACTCTGTCGCCCAGGCTGGAGTGTGATCTCCACTCACCGCAACCTCCATCTCGCGGGTTCAAGCGATTCTCCTGCCTCAGCCTCCCAAGTAGCTGGAATTACAGGCGCATGTCACTGCGCCTGGCTAATTTTTGTATTTTTAGTAGAGACGGGGTTTCATCATGTTGGTCAGGCTGGTCTTGAACTCCTGACCTCAGGTGATCTGCCTGCCTCGGCCTCCAAAAGTGCTGGAATTAGACATGAGCCACCACGCCGGGCCATTATTATTATAATTTTTTTTAAAGACTAGTCTAGTGTAATAGAAGAGGGAAAGAGAAGAACAAGAAGTTCTGTCTGTAACTGACTGTGGACAATCAATGGAGATAATTCACAGCCTGCAGATTAGCCAGAGGGCCAATTGTTAAATCCTCATTATGCTGCCACTCTTGAGTCCTGTTAGGTTACTAGAAAGCAGTGCACCTGGAGA
The DNA here is from genome assembly GCF_000001405.40 of Homo sapiens. NCBI lineage: Eukaryota > Metazoa > Chordata > Mammalia > Primates > Hominidae > Homo > Homo sapiens. The sequence continues at coordinate 25,316,917 of NC_000006.12, forward strand.
CTCGGTACTTCTGTCTCAGAGCTGTCTTTCTAAAGTAAGATTTAGCATTAGGCCCTTAGTTTTTAACTGGGAAGTTGAGCAGAGAGGGAATGTTTGAAGACTGTTACTACAATTTTAAAACTAAAAGGTGTCACTGAGGGTACTGAGCGTGCTGTTTATTCTCTAATGCTCAGTTCCATGGGAGAAGTTTCTCTCAAAGTTGAGTTAGGGTGTTTTTTTCCTAAATGCTTTCTTTCTTTTTTTGGGATGGGGTCTCAGTCTGTTGCCCAGGCTGAAGTGCTATGGCTTACTGCAGCCTTGACCTTCTGGGCTCAAACAGTCCTTCCATCTCAACCTCCTGAGTAGCTGGGACTATAGGTGTGCATTACTGTGCTTAGCTAATGTATTTTTATTTTTATTTTTTAAAGATGAGGTCTCCCTATGTTGCCCAGTCTTGAACTCCTGGGCTCAAGCAATCCTTCTGCCTTGACCTCCCAAAGTCTCAAAGTGTTGGGATTACAGGCATGAGCCACTGCACCACCCTAAATGCTTTTATTTAGTGAGAGCCATAACATCATATTGTTTCCATATTCTTTTCATCTTCCAGGAAATTCCTAAGCTTTTTTTTTTTTAAACTATATGTTGGAAGCTTTCCTTTACTTAGGACTTTTTTTTTTTTTTTTTTAATAGAGATGGGGGATCTCATCGTCACCCAGGTTAGAATGCAGTGATACCATCACAGCTCGCTGCAGCCTCCACCTCCTGGGATCAACCCCTACCTCATTCTCCTGACTAGGACTACAGGCACTCACCACCACACTGGGCTAATTAAAAAAAAAAATTCTTTTTTGTAGAGAAGTGGTCTTGCTATGTCACCCAGGTTGATCTAGAACTCCTGACCTCAAGTCACCCGTCCGCATTATCCTCCCAAAGTGCTGAGATTACAGACGTGAGCCACTGCACTTGGCCTATTTAGGGCTTCTAATTCACTTTCCTTTTCCTTCTTGTCTAATTCTTGTGTTTTTAGAATCTGCATTTTATTTTAAGTCATCTCAAATTCCTTTTGGAAGTAGTGAGGGAGTAAATGCTAACCTTGTGTAGAAACCGTAAAGCGTATTCAATTTGTTTCTGTTTTATGAACTTGACCTTGTGTGAGCATCAGCCATATGCAGGACTATTGGGCTTGGAATGTGCCAGACCAAGCAGTCTCTAATTTTGTTCTCAGTTCAGAGTTGAGGGGCTGAGGAAGTTTTGGGCAAGAGTGAGGTCTGCTTGGGAGGATTGCCTTGACAGCTGTGCGCACAGTGGGTTGGAAGGGGAGCAGCAGGGCATCCGTTTGGCAGCTGCCTTGGTGGTCTCAGACTACCGCATCCATGCTGAAATTGGAAAGGAGAAGGTCGGGAAGGGAAAGACTGGGGACAAAGCGGACTGATTTGGGCAACGGGTGAGGTGCAGAGAGTAAGGAACAGGGACGAATATATGTGACCCTGGTTATCAGGCCTTGATGTTGCTTTGAAAACAGTCCTCTCCAGTTTTTGATATTTTTTCTTGTATATGGGGAGCTTGATAAACTAAGCCTTGGACCTTTGTTGTTTTGATCTGAGCTCTTTGTCATCTGTCCTACTCCGGGAAATGTGAAGTGGCTGCAGAAGGCACCTAACCTGTTCTTGTTCCCTTTTCTCTGCCTCGTACCTCAAGTTTTCTACCACTAGAGGAGAGGCGGGCTGAACTTCCTTAGCAAGATCTCTTTCATTTTTTGGGAGTCCCATTTTCTAATACAACTCCAGACCCATCAGCCACCCGGGAGACCCCACGTGGGAGCTGCGTTCCCTTTGCCAGGGAGATGCTCCTGGGAGTTGCATTAGGAAGGCGAGTCAGGAACAGATGGCTGTCCTGGGGGGTCTGGATGTCGGCCCAGCCCCATCTCCTCAAAGCCATTGTTTGCCCTGGTTTGTGAGGTGCTCAACAGCAGGGACAGATGCAATCAGAGAAGGATGAAATGCTCTTTTTCTTTGGACCTGAAATGGGACCCTATACTTAGTGCAGCCTTACTCAGTGACTACCAAAATTTGAAAATTGTGTTTTTCTGAGGCTGGGCTCATTGACTTCCGTGAGCTCTTATTAGCTGTTTACTCATGAATTAGGCAATTTAATTTGGGTAGAGGAGGGCAAATCAAATGAGAAGGAGCTGCCGTGTTTAAAATTACTATGAGGATAGACTGTTCTTAAAGGATCCTACTCAAGCCTATAGAAGCCTTCCTTAGCTTACATGTCGAGTAAATTAATTAGACGAATTGTGAATTATTCTGATTTATTCAGAGAAATCCTTTGCTCTGCAGGCCGTACTGGGCATCATGTGGCTGACTTCTTGTTCTGACTTTCTATGAATGTTTGCAAGTAATAAAATATATTTTTATGATTGAGACTTATTTAGTAATAATATTTAATATTAATATTTAATAATTTTAGGAAAATAATTTAGGTAAGGTTTTGCTGTGTATTGTAGCATGCATTCTTCTAAGCCATGCCCTTTGATATTAAAAGTTGTGCTAGTTTCAAAGGGCTCGATTTCCTTAACAGGAAGGCACCTATAAATCTGGCAGTAGGTAATGAAGGGAGAATGGTGGTCTTTTCAGTAGGGGAGGGCAGTGCACACAGAGAGTTATATGTTTTTTAGTCTAACTGCCCTAATCTAATCTCATGAAAGGTACATACACATTTAATACACATTTTTCTGGGGCCCATAGCTTTTATTACATTTTCAAAGGAGTAGATGACTCCTAGAAGATAGGAACCTCTGCAGAATAACTTCTTGAGTGAGATAACATTGTTGCGATTTGAGAAATACTGAATCTCTACATTTGGTCACTTTTTTTTTTTTTTTTTTTTTTTAAACAGAGTCTCGCTCTGTCACCCAGGCTGGAGTGCAGTGGAGAGATCTCAGCTTACTGAACCTCCACCTCCGGGGTTCAAGCGATTCTCCTGCATCAGCCTATTTTCACCTCTTTAAAGAAATATATTGTTATCGCTCCCTGAAAGTGGATTAGTTAAGTACTGTTTACCCTGCCTATGAAGAAAACTTACTTGCACATGTTATGTTCGGACATTAGTCAATGAAGATTAGTCAATGAGAACTAGTCGATGAACATGGTCAATCTTGCTTAAAGACTCAAAATATGCTGGAGTATGGTGTTAATTGTGGTAGTTTATGGCATTTTTCTGAAGAGAAAAAACACTCCAGCAAGGTAGGTAGGATAGTATATTCTCTGTCTTCTTCCTCCTGCCCACCCCTCTGTCTACATTAGAAACAGGTTTTGGAGGAGTAGTGGGAACATTGGGTGATTTCTAGTGGGGTTAGAGAAAGCAGTACCTGGTTCTTTGGCCACATCTACCAAAGCAAAGACCTAGACTTGTAGAGGAGAGTATTGTTTGCTTGTTTGAGGATTGTATTTCCCAGGTTTGTTCATTTGCATGAGTGGCTGAATAATGTAACAGAGACTTCAGAAGTAAGGAAAATGGTTGTCACCAAAATATCTTGTTTTACCTTTATTTGGACTAAATGGAAAACACATGTTTAATAGCTAAGGCTATTGAGTGCTTATCATTTGCCAGGAACTGTTTCTGAGCCTTTCACATATAACACCTCATTTTATCCACCCTCTACCCCTAACAAATGGTGTGGTTTGAGTTGGCCTTGGTGAGGTATGAAAAGGAAACAAAGCAGTGACCTCTTCCTGCAGGCTGGTCAGATGTTTGGGATAACATTCCTTAGCATTCTTGGTGGAAGTGGTGATTTCGTTGAAAGCTGCTTCCCAGTTGCTCTGGAGTGCAGGTGGGAGGGGTGGACTTTGGCTTTTCCAAAGGATCCCAGGAATGGGAAGGACCTTAAAGATCTAGACCAGGGGTATCCAATCTTTTGGCTTCCCTGGGCCACATTGTAAGAAGAAGAATTATCTTGGGCTACACGTAAAATACGCTAACACTAATGATAGCTAATGATCTTAAAAAATTGCCAAAAAAATCTCATAATGTTTAAGAAAGTGTATGAATTTTTGTTGGGCTGCATTTAAAGCCATCCTGGACTGCATGTGGCCCATGGGCCATGAATTGGACAAGCTTTATCTAGACTGTTCTGAACTACTCATCTGCCTCCCCCAGCCCCCACCCCCACCCCACACATCCAGAATTCTCCACCCATTGGTTGTCTGGCCTCTGCCTGAATAGCTGAGTACCTGTCTTTTCCAAAACTACCCCTTGAGGGGAGACTTACAGCACCCTGTAGCATAGTATATGATATTTGGCTAGTAAAATGTGATCCTTTAATATTTTTCAATCTTTATTGAGCACCCACCCACGGGGTTGGAGGAATTTAGGGGGTTCTGTGGCAAAACAAGAATAGAGTCTTTGCATTTGACTTCTCAGACTTGTAGGGACATACAGGTAAGCTGGATGTTCTGGTGAGCGCTGCTAGAGGCCACACAAGATGCTTCCAAAGCCTAGAGGAGGGTCTGATCCAGCCTTGAGGAGACAAGGTGGCATCTGAATTAATGAGTGCATTAATGGTGAATGCATACTGTTATTATAAAGCTCAGGGATGTTACAGCCTCTGATACTTTACACAAATAGAAAGGTTAAGGTAATTTTCTGTATAAAATAACAAAAATACCATCTAAAAATGATAACGCAGGAAATTTGAATATTCAGTACTGTTTTAAACCTTTCATTCTTTTAATTAATTTTATTTATTTCACTTATTTATTAATTTAATTTAATTTTTTTTTTTTAGCTGAAGTCTTGCTGTTGCCCAGGCTGGAGTGCAGTGGTGCGATCTCAGCTCACTGCAACCTCCGCCTCCTGGGTTCACACCATTCTCCTGCCTCAGCCTCCCAAGTAACTGGGACTACAGGCGCCCGCCACCACGCCCGGCTAATTTTTTGTATTTTTAGTAGGGATGGGGTTTCACTGTGTTAGCCAGGATGGTCTCAATCTCCTGACCTCATGATCCGCCTGCCTTGGCCTCCCAAAGTGCTGGGATTACAGGTGTGAGCCACTGAGCCTGGCCCTATTTATTTGTTTTTTAAAGAGACCAGGTCACGCTGTGTTGCCTAGGCTGCGTTAGAACTCCTGGGCTCAAGAGATGCTCCTGCCTCAGCCTCCAAAGTAGCCGCGATATAGCACGTACCACCATGCCTGGCTCTCTTTCAGTTAACTTTAAAGAAATCTGGTGTTTTTGTTTTTGTTTTTTGAGACAGAGTCTCGCTCTGTCACCCAGGCAGGAGTGCAGTGGCACTATCTCAGCTCACTGCAACCTCTGCCTCCTGGGTTCAAACAATTCTTGTGCCTCAGCGTTCTGATTAGCTGGGATTACAGGCGCTCTCCACCATACCCGGCTAATTTTTGTATTTTTAGTAGAGACAGGGTTTCGCCATGTTGGCCAGGCTAGTCTCAAACTCCTGACCTCAAGTGATCCGCCTGCCTCAGCCTCCCAAAGTGTTGGGATTACAGGCCTGAGACACTATGCCCAGCCTTCACTGCTTTTATGCAAAGGAATAAATAGAGTGATTATTAAAGTGCTCTGGATCACACACATACAAACACACATATGCACATACATACACACACACAAAAATACACAAACTTTAGGTAACATAAATGTGTGTGGCTGTCAGTGAATGCTGCATTTTTCTGAGCTTGTAACCTTCCCTTTACTAACTGTCTCCACATTATGACCACCTGAAAAATGCTACACTGCAGTGGTACATTCTTCAGCCCAACTAGGATTGGATCAGAGGAGTTACTGGGTTGATAGTCTTGGACTGAAGCTCTCTAAAGAGCAGAATTTCTGTGATGTGCAGGTAGCTTACTGTTACCCTGTAAGCTCCATTTTTTATATTTCTTTGCCCCTCCTTCTCAATATTCACACAGTTTTCACAGGACTGATTCAAGTGTGAAGCCAGGATCTCATCTTTTAACAGAGTGGCATTCCGCACAGTCTGAGGCATGATCTCTTTGTGTCTAGGTTGCTCCATTTAGCTTCAAAGGCAGCATGATGATTTATGGTCCATTTGTATTAGGGAAGACTCAGAGGAGGGCTAGAATTGTGATGGTTGGATTAATTCATTTTTTCCAGGCGCACCCTTTCCTCCCTATTCTTGGTTGTTTTGCAGATATCCCAAGTAATTCCAGATTCATTTGGAAGGTTTCTCTCTCAGTAGCCTGCTCTCTAGGTAGTTCTCAAATTCTAATAGACGCACAGACACAAAAATCTGCTTGGTAGGTGGGGTTTTTACTTTTTAGTGACTTTTATCTTGTGTGCCTGACCTGGTGCAGCATCTGGAAAAGTATTGGTAGAAAAGAATATTCTCAGTGAGAAGGAGAAGGAACAAGTAAAACAATGTGAACTAAAGGCCTGGCACAGTGGCTCACGCCTGTAATCCCAGCACTTTGGGAGGCCAAGGTAGGAGGGTGGCTTGAAACCAGGAATTCGAGACCAGCCTAGGCAACAGAGCGAGACCCTGTCTCTACAAAAAAAAAAAAAAAAAAAAGGCAAAAAACCCCCCAGAATTAGCCAGGTGTGGTGGCACATGCCTATAGTCCCAGCTACTCGGGAGGCTGAGGCGGGAGGATTGCTTGAGCCCAGGAGTTTGAGGCTGCCATGAGCTATGATCACACCACTGCACTCCAGCATAAAAAGCTTGGTTATTTATCTTAGTTAAAGCTGTCCTTAAAGAATTTATAAATGGTTGCAAATATTTCTGAAAATCATAGATGTATGGTTTCTATGGTTCCTGGTTACTTTATCCAGTAAAGTAACATGACAGCTTATTTTATGGATAGTCACTAGATTGTAAACCTTTGGAAGTTGGGACTGTTCCATTCATCATCTTCACATTCCCCACTGTGCAAAGCACAGTTTGCTCATTTGTTTTGTTTCATTTTTTTCCCTTTCAACTATAGTTTTCACATGTAAACCATCAAATTATAAGAGATTAAAGATAATTTAGGATTTAGGGTGTTTTGATTTTCTAGCTCATAAAATAAGGATGGAAGAGCAGTGATCAGTTGTGGTAATTGACTGTTATGGCAGAAGGCAAAAAGGCACAGAGAAAAGAGATAGAGGACAAGCCTGTTCTGGTTGGCATCCCAAGTCTAGATCCTCCATCTGGGAGCCCATGGCTCAGATAATACTCCAGGTAATCATGAATTGTGGGAGTTAACCCTGTTTAATGCCCCACAAAGGAACAGACCTGTAGGAACACCTTCTCCTGTCTGCTGCTGCCACAGAGGGTAGCAAATCCCATGCTAGGCGTGGAGAGGAGACTTGGGCATGTCCCTGGAGGGACACTGCTGCAGTCACTTCACTTACAGAGCTGGGGAGGCCCTGAATGGTGTCAGAGTTCACAGTGCAAAGCAGTAATTATGTTGAAGAATGTGACATCTCAAGATTCAACAAGTTTTTTTTTTTTTTTTGCCTTAAACATGAATGCCTATTCATAGAGGGATTATAGGAGCAAAGCTCTCTTAGATATTAAACACCCTGATCAGAAGAAAAAGAGAAGCAAATTCCTGATGTCAGGAAATAGCAGCAAATTTTTACAGAATGCTTAAGCCTGGCACAGCAATCCTAAGAATGTTGTTCAGTTTCATGGCTTTTCCTCTCATATTGGGCTGAATGTAACTTGTCCTTCATTTATGTAACAAAATATTTGAGTGCTTACTGTGAGCTAAGCACTTTCTCAGTGTTGGGAGTAAAGCAACAAGCAAAGCAAATCCCTAAGCTTTGGGGAGATGGAAAATAAATATCTGATAAAGTATATGGTAGTCATAAGAGCTGGGAGGATAGGAGATGGAGTAGGGTGATGGGTGCTGTTGGAGATAATATGTCAGGGAAGGGGGGGTGTTTAGTAGAGGGCTGAAGTGAGGGAGAAGGTGTTCCAGGTGAGGGCACAGGTGTGAATGTAGACCCTAATGTGGAAGTGTGCTTGGGTGGGTCAAGGAAGTGAACCCTAAGAGGACCACTGGGCAGAAGTGGAAGAGCTAGGATAGGGAGGTGGGGCTGAGGGTGACCAGGGGCCAAGCCATGCAGAGCCTCTTAGGTCCTGAGCTTTCTCAGTGGTCTCCCCTTCATCTGCTTTGGAGCTTGCTTTCCTATGTGGCAACATTAGTTCTAGTGTGATGAATATTAGTGGGAAAATAGAAAGTTCTATATAAAACTTACTTCTGGAAACTAAAGGATTCTTGCTTAGACCTCAGATGTTGATGGGTGGTAGATTAAAGGCCGTTTTCTCATTTGTTGAGCTGTGCCCTGAGATGAGTTTTCTATATTCGTGTGGTAGAGAATTCATTGAAACTTGAATACGTGCCATTATGTGAGGCAGAAGTGTATATTCTATGAAAGGGTGTTGACATATTGTCACATACCATGAGCTGCTTAATCTGGGAATATTTGTAAAAGTGTCATCTGGTGTGAAGGCTGATATTTAACTATCTTTAAAAAATACTGGAAAAGACAATTTGCTTGCAGATTTTAGGGTTTTGCTGTGGGTCTGTTTTTGTGGAAATGATTTGTGTTCAGTAGCATTTTTTCCCCTACAGTTTTCATATGGTACTGTTTTGACTTGTTTGGAAGATAATTTGCTTGGCTTAAAGGGAATTATTCGAACAATCTTAGAAGTTTAAAAAATTATGTTAGCTAGAAATCAGAAGTTTTTGCCTTTACTGAAAAGTTCATTATTTATTCATTAATTTATCCATCCATTTATACAACAAAAAGTGATTCAGCATGTAGCGTGTAGCAGACAGTGTGCTGAAGATACAGCAGATGTAACAGATATGGCTTGATTAGTCTTGCTAGGCAGCAAGAGACAAACATATGCATACACTTCCACACTAATTATGGTAAGGGCTAAAACTTATTGAAAACAGTATAGTGATAGGGAATTTGGAGTGGGGTGGGGAGCTGTGTAGGATAGTCAGATGAGACTTTTTTTTTTGAGACAGAGTCTTGCTCTGTCGCCAGGCTTTAGTGCAGTGGCGCAATCTCAGCTCACTGCAATCCCCACCTCCTGGGTTCAAGCAATTCCCCTGCCTCAGCCTCCCTAGCAGTTGGGACTACAGGCGCGCACCAGCTCGCCCGGCTAATTTTTTGTATTTTAGTAGAGACGGAGTTTCACCGTGTTGGCCAGGATGGTGTCGATTTCCTGACCTCGTGATCCGCCCACCTCAGCCTCCCAAAATGCTGGGATTACAGGCGTGAGCCACTGCGCTCGGCCTAGATGAGACATTTTTGAGAAAATAACATTTAAGATGAGGCCTGAAGGAAAATAGTGCCAGCCATTTGAAGAGTGAGGGAAAGGGGTTTCCAGGCAGATTCAATATATTGTGCAAAGGCCCTGAGGAAGTGTGTGGTTTTAGTGGAGAGCTAAAGAACCATGAGGCAAGAGCATCGGGATATCCAAGAAGTCATGCTGGATTACATATACTGGTCAGTAAGGAGCTTGGATTTGATTTTACTGGGGAAATAACATAATCTGATATGTTTAAAATGATTACTGAGGCTTCTAAGTAGAGCATTACACTGTTAACAGTAGTGGGAGTGAGAGGTCAGGCTTGGTCTAGGGCAGTGCTTCTCAATGTGTGGTCTCAGGATCAGCCCTATCAGAATGACCTGGAAACCTGTAAGAAATGCATACTTCAAGTCTTATTATGGACTTGCTGATTCAGAACCTGGAGGTGGGACTCAGCAATCTGCTTTAACAAGTCCTTTGGATGATCTGATATACAGAAAAGTTTGAGAACCACTGGTCTAGGGATTGCTGGAGGAGATGGTAAGCAGTAGATGGATTCTGGTGTATGTTTTGAAGGTAGGGATGATAGGACTTTTGTATATGGGAGCTGAGGAAAAAGGAGAAATCAGAAATATTATTATTATTATTAATGTTTCAAGACGGAATCCCACTGTCACCCAGGCTGGAGTGCAGTGGCATGATCTTGGCTCACTGCAACCTGATAAGGACCTTGTTTATTGTGATGAGGGAGACTGGTGGGGGTAGCAAAAGGACATAACTTTTGAACACATTGCGTTTGGAGTGTTCATGAAATGTCCAAGTGAAGATGTTGGCTGTTGATGGCAAAATGAGCGTACAGTCCAGAGGGAAGATGTAGTTTCAAATACAGCTCAGCAGAAAGATACAGTTTCCAGAAAGGAATTTGGGACTTGCCAGTGTACAGGGAGTATTTAAAGCAATTGAAATAGGTGTGATATCACCAAGGAGAGAGATAGCAAGGAGAGAGGGTGCAAGAGCGGGCAAAGGACCAAGCTGGAAGGAACTCTTGACATTCACAGGAGCAAGAGCCAGCAAAAGAACAGAAAGAACGGCCAGGGAGAGAAGAGAAGAAAACCAGGAAACTGGTTTCATGGGGAAATATTTCAGGAACAGAGTGATCAACTGTGCTTAATTTGTATGATGAAGCGGAGATTTGTAGCATAGAGATCACTAGGCATTCTATTTGGACTGTCAGTGAAATTGAAATAAAAAGTCAAGAATCAACTTGATTTCCATCACAGGTTTTAGATTAGAAGAAACCAGAGAAACACAGCCCCAATTTTCTATTTGCTAGTTTTCCAAACAGTAAGTTTTCATTGATTTCACTGGCTCCCCTCCGGCTACTATTTGCTGTGCACAAACAAAGTCTGAATGAGCATTTTGTAGTCCTGAAAAGGAGTAGCATATGGGCTTCAACAGCCGGTCATATTTTCTTTTATTACTATATTTAAAGCAACATTCAAGATTAAAAAAAAATTCCTGGCAACTAGCATAACAAGCTGCAATAAAATCATTCCTGGCTATTGATATGGGCTACTTTGTGCCTCATGTCATGTTATTGAATCCAACTTCTTGGAATTGACTGTCTTAATCTGTCACTTAGCAAATTTATATTGGTGAGGAAGAACAAAAACAGATTTATAACTTGCATATCTCTTCAAGCTTCTGTTAATATGCTCAATATTAGAATGTTCTACTTTTAGCGTTTTGGGTCATAAGCTATAGAACATTGGGGCTTGGTGAGAGGATATGGGCATGGGGAGAGGAATGAATATTTGGCATTATTTATGTTTGAACCATTGAGCTGGGGTCTTTAGGTTTATTATTTCATTTAATTCCCACTCTGACGTAGGTGGTATTTCCCTCATTAGTAGATAAGGAAATGAGCTAGTAAAGAAAACTATTTAAATCCAGATCTAAAATGGATCTTTATTCTGTGCCAAGCTCTTGGGGGAAGAGTATGTGTGGAGGAGGAGTTGTGGGGACTCACAGAGCAGTGGCAAGGCAAGCCAGAGATACAGCAAAGGGATATCAAGGACTAATGAGGTACTTTAAAGGAGATCGAGTCATGGTAAGGCATTTAAATTAGTTTTGTTAGCAAGTACTGCATGGAACAGGAAGACTCTGTACATGCTCAGTGTAGGGCTTGGTCCGTCAAGACTGGCTAGGAGTTTTCTAGATAGAGCCTTGAATCTTGCATTACAGTCACTACAGAGCATGAGCTCTGTGGACATTTCATGAAAAGCTTCCTTTCTACTTGGATATATTTTTTTACTTCTTGTGTGCATACTTGATTTATTTACTGTTCCTTATAGAGCTGCAAGGCCTTGTTTCTTTTCTATAGAAGTTATATTTCTCTGAGTTCAGATGTCACATCTTCGTTACCTTCTCTCAAGTTTTGCTATACAAGCTTAGGAACGTCATCTCTTTCTCTTCCAGAGTTATCTTCCATCATGTAGGCTTTGGAGCCACTTTCCTCAGAGCCTCCATTTGCCTCACCTCTTCTTGCCTGGGACCTTGTAAAAACAGTGATTGTGGTAATTAAATTGAGATATGAGGAATATATATAACTATTATGTAGTCATAATAATTAAAAATTTAAAAAAAATGCAATGAGAGGGGAAAAAAATCTCCTGGATTGGTGAGCTAGACAAAACTTCATGTTAATTAACATGGATGCTTTAATCCATCTATTCCTGAGTCCAGGACATCAAATCTTGGGTTCTACAATGGGTGCCAGTCTTAGGAGGGTCATATGTATTTCCAGTCACAAAAGATCTTTCTGTCATGTTGGAGAAGACAAAAGTTTATAAGAATCAGTGGGCCATTTAAAATGATAATGAGCAACTTAGGCGTAAAGCCAGATGTCACAGGCTGGTGGCTTGCAGCCTGCTCTACTGTGCTTTAAATACGCAGTATTTAAAAAATTGATGTTGGTTCCCAATATTTATAAATTGGGAGATATCAGCCATAAATCTAGATTCCATCCTCCCCCACCTTTAAAAAAAAGAAAGTTGGATCTGGGAACACTAGGTCTATGTTTGTGCTTAGCAGGAATCGGAAGAGCTGGGTTGTGACCAGGCTCTTTCTTTTAGCAGTGGCAAGCTCTTTTCAGCTTTCTGCCATCCCGAAAGCACCCTAGTGTTTCTCATTGGCCGTGATGCCCATGTTGACTGCAATTTGTCATTGTCCTCAAGGCTGTCGTTTTTTCCACAGAGCCGGCTTTGCTCTTTGACAAAGCTACTTTGGCCTCCTTATACATTTGAGTTCATTGATCCTTAGCCTAAATGATCAGGACATGACACATTCAGAAGTTTGTATTATCTTGTAAAAGCACATGAGCAAAGTCTGTCTAGTAAGTGACATTGCTGGTATTCAGACCAGGATATGGCTGAGAGGAAGCACATATGTAAATTGAATGCATCAGGGATCTTTTGGAGAAGTCAAACAAGAATTCTGATTACCTCATCAGTGATACCTAAATGCAGATTTCTTCTTGCTTCAGACAAAATTTTTCAAAGATACTCAAAGTATCTCAGCTCTTGTTGTATGTGTGTTTTGAAAGATAGGGTTGAAGAAAACAATGAAAAGATAACAGGGATATCTGTCCTCCAGAGTTGTTCAGGGGATTCAGCATATGAGAAGTTATTTGCGAAGTTTTAGTTCCCAGTCTGGGCATCAGCTCATTATCATTAGTCTCTGATATGAGTTGTTTAATGATGAACTTGTGCAAAGCACTTGATCCTATTCAGCGTCAGACATTCATTGTTAAAAGAACACATTGAGGACACTGTTGTAGGTCAGGAAATTGAAGGTAGGGAGTTGAGGGCAAGTAGAAGAGAGTTTCATTCTGGAGTTAGTTCAGTAAACATTGAATGCTCATGATGTGTCAGGCTTTATGCTGCTACCAGAGGCAGGAAGATAAATAAGACAGAACATGCAGACTTGAACAGTACGGTGTGGTAAGAGGTGTGCCCATGGTACTGTGCGATTATAGACTGGCGTTGGCCCAGTGCAGGGCTAGAGGGATGCTCCATGGTGATGACTGAGTTGAGCCTTAAGGCCCGGATGAGCTGGCCAGGTAGTGATGACAAGAGGGAGAGGGATTTAAAGTGTGAAGTTCAATTTAAGGAACAGAGATGATGCAGGAAGGGCTAAGATATGGAAGGCTTTGATGAAGATTTTGGGGAGCCAGGGAAGAAGGGGAGAGATGATCAGATTTCCATTTTGATTGCAGCTTGGTAACTGGATTACAGTGTGGCAGAACTGGAGGCTGGGAGACCAGGAAGGTTTCAACCAAGTTAGAAAATCATTTTTGGTTTAGAAGACAGTGAGGGGCTGGGTGTGGTGGCTCATGCCTGTAATCCTAGCACTTTCTCAGGCTGAGGCAGGAGGATCACTTGAGCTCAGGAGTTCGAGACCAGCCTGGGCAACATAGTGAGACGCACCCCCCCGCCCATCTCTATTAAAAAAAAAAAAAAAAGACAGATGAGGATGGGATCTGGAGTGGCACAAGCCATGATTTACCCCCTCATTAGGTGAGATACTTTTTGGAAGTGCTGACCTTTTGCCATTTTGAAGAACCAGCTTTTAGATGCTCCATTATGGACTTAGATTGAGGAAGATTGATCAATTTTATTATTTTGCTGCTTTACATTTTCAAGAGGTTTTTTTTTTTTTTTTTTTTTGAGGAGGAGGGAGGAGAAGGGAACTTACTGTAATGTAATTTTGCTAAAAGTTTCCCAGAAGTGAATCATGTTTATCAAGATAAATTGTAGAAAGAAGAAATTTGTTTGCTTATAATATTGTTTCTATGGGAAATCATTCTTCAACAACAAGCAGCAAACTTCCTGGGAGGAGGCACTCAGTATATTCTTCTGCCCCTGAGGAAGTTGAGGATTGAAGTATCTCCCTTGCTTGTACTCTGGGACTAGTTGACTCTAAGCCTCCTTCCAGCCTCCTGCTGTCAAAACAACTTTTCTTCTGTTTATTTTCATATAGGAGCTGCACAACTCAAATGTTATGTGTTATGCCAGGACCTCAGTAGCAGGTGGGGGTGAAAAGCCCTGCACAGTATTTACTGGGAAAGGATTGCCTGTTCCTGAGGCACTGCCTCCATGATAGACGCTCCACTGATGCTGCAGCCCATGATAGGCTAAAGAGATTTTGTGGGTACTAAGTTCTATTAAAATTTAGTTCAGGCTGTCATCGCTGTTCTCCAGGAAACCTCAGTACCCTTTTAATTAGCCCCACCCAGGCTGTGACCTCACCCTGATCCATTGTCTGTACAGCTGCCAGAGTGATTTTCTGAACTGCACATCCAAGTGTATCATTCTCCTACTTAAAATCCTTCAGCAGTTCCCCAGAGCTAATCCATGGGAGTGGGAAGGCAAGAATCTGAGTCTCTTGCAGGACCCGTGAGGCATCCGTCCCCCAAGGGAGCCGAAGTTCAGTCCTTCCTATTAGATCTCTAGAAAGCTACGTGACTGGACCCCATTATTCTACACTCCCTGAAGCCCACTTACTTTAATTTTTGATGCTTGTCTTTGGCTTTTACAAATTGATATGAGAAGCCAACTGTGAAGTTCAGGTCCATGTTGTTTGTTAAAGGAATCATAAGTCTGTTTTGCAATTCAATGCTTTCTTTAAGGACCTATGAATACTTGTTAAATGAATAGTTCATATTCTAAATTGCTTTTAGCATTTAGTGCCAGGAAAAAAGAACTTTTCTCATTTAAAAATCTTGTGTGCTTCGTTTAAAGAATCAATTAAAATAATAGGGTGTTTGGTTTTTTAAAAACATAAATTTTGTTTTTTTAGAGATGGGGAGGTGGTCTCACTCTGTTGCCCAGGCTGGCCTTGAACTCCTGGACTCCAAGTGATCCTCTCGCCTCAGCCTCCTGAATCACTAGGACTATTGTGTATTTGCCTTTTGACTTTTGTTGCCAGGAGCCTCAAATCTAAAGATAGGTCATAATAGTCATAAAAGTAGTGATGAACTGGAAATCTGCTGTTTTTGTCTTTCCAGCCTAGGAGCCTTTTCCCCATTTACTCGTTTGTTTACAAATATTTTTTGAGTGGTTGTCATGTGCTGGGCACTGAGAAAGCTGTAGTGAATAAGATGGGTAGGCAAAAATGGAAGTGGTTCGATTGTGCTCATCCAGGTATGAGATAATAGTGGCTTGGGTGAGTGTTTGCAGTGAAGGTGTAGAGAAGTGGGTGAGTTCTGAATGTATTTTTAAGGTAGAAGCAAGTGAATTTGCTGATGATCAAAAGTGGGGAATGAGGGAAAAAGAAGAATCCAGGACGATTCCCAGGTTTTGATTAGGTATGTGATACTGACTTTTGCTGAAACTGAGGGACATGTTGAGGAAGAAGGGAAGGACAGCTGAAAACATTTGGGAAATGTTAATTTGTAATACTTGTTACATATCCAAATGGAGATGTCATTTAGTTTTCCAGAGCTCAGGGTAGAGATTCTGTCTCCATTCCATAGCACCACCCACCATGCAAACATGCATACACACACACACACACACACACACACACACGCGCACACACACACACACACTTCTTTTAGGGAACTTCTCATGTCCACAGCAACCATGTGATTCTACTATGGTTTCAGCTTCTTCAGCCACAAAAGACCTGATACTTCCGTGCCTGCTGGCCTTTGTGCTATAGTCTCCTGGCCACAGTGATTAGTCCAGGGGGTGGACATATGACCCAAGAGTCCTTCATTGGGGTCTAGGGAAATACCGCCTTGAAGAGAGAGGCTCTCTTTTTCTGCTGGAGAGACTAAATGGTTTACACTCAGATGTGATTCCTGCTACGTGGAGGAAGTCCATCTGAATAGTACAGATTGATGACCTTGCCCAGAAAAGCAGAGATTCTACAGAAATGTGGAAAGTCCCCTCCCTGCTGTTTACTACACTGTATCCCTTGGAATGCCAGCGCTTAAAGGTGTTAAGTGAGTAAAACTTCTTTGGTCAAATAAATTTAAAGAAAGAAATTTCTTGACAGCAGAACTTTTCAGATGAGCCTTTGTAATGAATATGCGGCTGGGCATAGTGGCTCATGTCTGTTATCCCAGCACTTTGGGAGGCTGAGGTGGGTGGATTGCTTGACCCCAGGAGTTCGAGACCAGCCTGGGCAACATCACAAGACCCCTTCTCTGCAAAAAATACAAAAAATACAGAAAAATCAGTGATGAGTGCAGCTGTAGTCCCTGCTACTTGGGAGGCTGAGGCAGGGGCATCGCTTGAGCCTGGAAGGTCGAGGCTCCTGTGAGCCAAGATTGTGCCACTGCGCTCCAGCCTGAGTGACAGAGCAAGACACTGTGTAAATAAATAAAAATATGTTTTGTGCTTCTTTAAGAGGAGGATTAGTAAACAGTGTTCCCCAAATCTATTTGACAGTGGAGGGTTTTTTTTTGTTTTTAAATGGGACATCTATAAATATCTCTCAGTTGGAACCCAGCTTGAAATATTGCTTGAAATGCTATAACAGGTTGTCATTTTTTTGTAGTCATAGTGGGGATGGGTGAGTTGTTCTTTATTTCTGGCAAAACTGGTAGGCTCCATATAACTGTCATTACTTCCTGATGTTTTATAGCTTGTTAAGGAGACAAAAGCCTTTTTTCTTCTCCTAGTATTTTAACATGTTAGTACCAGATATTATCTATGCTTAGGTATGAATTTTGGCTCAGAGATTTTCTCAGCATCACACCAATGATAAGTTTCATGATCCTAGAATGTACTTTCCCTGTATTCTTTCTCCTCTGCTGGTGTTCTGTGAGTCCACGTGTATGTGTGTGCAGGACAACACTTAAAGTGGTTATTCTTTCTTCAAAGACTCAGTTCAACACACCCCTGGTGGCTGTTGTAGCTCAGGGTTGAGTAGTGATCCTGGTATTAAAGATGAGAAATTTGTTAGGTAGCCGCTATGAGCTGCAAGGTTTCCTGAGGCAGAGGTATCCGGAACAGAGTCAGGGAGGCCATGGGGCCAGAGGCCTTCCTGATTCTGGACACACAGAGTACCTTGGTTTCCCCACCCTACCTTAAAAATATATTCGGATTCACTTATACCGATTAATTACTTAGAGAGAGTGAATGTATTATAGTTATGTGAACTTGTACTCCCTGGCTGTCTCTCTTCTTATGCCTTGGTGATTTGTCTAGAGGATAAATTGCTTTTTGGCTTTTATAAATTCTGTTTTCTTCTACCAACTGCTAACCATTAACATCTCAATCAAATGGGGGAATTTGCAGTTATCAGCTTAACTAATCTCCATGCCCACATTTCTTGCTTCTCTCCCTGTTACTGACCCAGATCCTTGATGATAACTCATTGTAGATTTTGTTATCATTTAAAACCTTTTCAACTAGGTACTTGATATAATAGTTCTTATTAATTTTTAATTAATTTTATATTATTTAGTCATTTGCTGAGTTGGTAGATATTTATCTTGTGATTTCTTTTAAAAAAGTCTTAGTTCTGAGATGAACCTTTAACAGCACCCTTCTGTGGCAGTCTACTAAGCACAGTGTTAACCTGAGGTCTTTGGAAAGGCCAGCTTCTCACAGATCTAAGGGATGCAATTTGCTGGCAAATCTTTAGTTGGCCAGTCTTGACTACATCTGATCAAAGTTGGGAAGTGAGCTGCTGGAGACGGTGACATTTTCTGAAGCATGAACAGTAACAATCTGAAACCATAGGCCCTTCACACCTCTTCTGTCATTTCGTCTTTGCTACCGTCCTTGGAAATAGCCTGTCTTTACAAAGGTTTCTATATAGGTTAAGATACTTGCTTGAGGTCATGCAAATAAGAGCTAGTCTGGAGGAAAAACTCAGTTTCCTGTCTCTTCTGTTCATTTCACTGTCCTGCATGGGGTTATGCTTTTTTCTTTCAATGAAGCGTAGGAAGTCTCCTTGGGAATCATCTGTGCTGATCTCTGTGTGTGTGTTTTAAATTGCAATTTGTGTTGCAACTGGTAATTCCAGTTCTTGTATATTACTAAGGCTTTCTCTGTAGATGGATAGTTAATCCGTGAAAATCCCGAAAAGCATGCAGCTCTGTTGATTTGATTTTGTTATAAGATAAGGAATGCATAATCACTCTGGGTTCCTGGCTTTAAATTATAAGGATGTGTTAAATTATGAAAATGAAATGAGGTTTCTAAAAATTCTATATTCTGGAAAATGCTATTAAGCAATTTCCATTTTGATGCAATGTATATTTAAAAAGATATATTTTCTGTGTATAGTTGTACTGTTTTTAATCTCCTTGTGATTTTCCTGAAGCTGTGCTTAAATGTGAACAATTGTTTAAAATAAACCAATAAAGGAGAGAAATAGGATGAAGATATTTTACATGTTTTACTAATTCTGACATGTCCCCAAGTGATAAATGGTATTCAGAGGCTGTCTGTACAAGAAGGGTTCTTACAGTCCATTTCTAGACTAATTTCAGAGAACGCAGCACCTGAGTGGCCAGGTGAGCTGTGCTCACTGTGGGGCGGCAGGGTGGGCGCTAAAGCCTTGAGTCCATGCTCAATGCGCTTTCCCCTGCCCCGTGCTGGCATCCAGATTTTTGTTTATTGTCTCTAGTTTCTACATCCTTTGTAGGCAATGAAACTCACCTTATATGGAATTGTACGTGTCTTTTATAGGAAGAGTATGTGTGTCTAAGTTAATCACTCCTGGTGGGATCTCTGTCTGCTCTGTTACTGTGTTGGCCATTGTTACTGCTCTGTTACTGTGCTGGCCCAATGAAATAGTCTCTCGGCCATTTGACTACTTCAGTTTAGGCCCTAGATTGTTTTGCAACTTGCTTCCTAGTTCATCCCCCTTCCACCCATCTTCCATATTTCCAGGAGAAAAAAAATAAAAATAAAAACTTTAATGTCTCCCCCAACCCCCAGATTTTAGGTACTGTTTTCTGCCCCCTGTCTCGCTTTCTAGCTGTTTCTCCTCTCCTGTTTGCATGCACCCTTCTCATTCTGGCTTTAGGAACTACTTGCTGTCTTGACAGTGACAGGTTTCATCCCTCCATGCTTGTAGGTTGTTGCACCATCCTATGACCAGAATACCTTCCTCTCCCCATTTCAGCCATTAGTACTCAGCTTCTGTATGTGCTTCCCTAGGAAGTCCTTCCAGTGACAGACTGTACTCTACTCACCTCCCCTGTGAGCAGCCTAAGGCAGTATGGTAGCGAAGAGTGTGGGCTGTGGTCTCAGGTTGCCTGGGTTCAAACCCAGCTCCTAGCTGTGTGACGTTGGACAAGTCACTTAACTTCTTTGGGCTTCAGCTCTCATCTCTAATTAATAGTATTTAAGGTTGTTTTAGGGTTAAATGACTTAATGGATGTAAATCATTCATGAAAGTGCACATACGAACATCCTGTTGCTCACAATCTAGTATTACTAGCTTTTAAGCCTGGAAAACCAGTATGATTCCATTTTTGTACCCTCAGGCCCCTTTTATAGTACATAGGACATGGTAGGCACTCAATAAATGTTGCTTACTTGAATAAATGAAACAAAAAAGTCAGGAAACACAGAACACTTATTTTAGTGTTTGTTAAGTTATGCCCTGCTTTGTTCCAGAAAATGATTTATTTCAATTAGGGTTTCAGATGTACCCTTTAAGGAGCAATGTATGTATCTGTAAACTTTATATTTTCCTCAGAGTCACAAGCCGTTTGGAATTTCATTTTGAAATTCTCTTTCCACTAACATTTATAGTTTTGGCACAGTTGCCCTTTAAAAAGACAGCGTATCAATTGAACATAAATATATTGTGTTTAAACTATATGCCTGCTTGAATAAGTGCAGTACTTATTTGTCAGGGCATATATTATGTTGGAGTATGATGTCATGAGGCTTAAGGAAACTAATGCTTATCATTTGTTAGTGCTTAAAACAAAGTAGAGATAGCCAAATGCATTTCTCTACTTCCTTATTGCCATACAGCTCTCCTTGTAAGTTAATAAGTATCTTATTGCAAATCAGCCCTGTATCTGTTCCAAATTCAAATGTTGATGGTTGAGCTTCCAGTATTTTCTCCCATATATTCACACTGAATAACATTTCCTGAGGATTGCATAAGACCCATTTAACATTTGTGAACTATGAGACTTCTTTGTACATTTCTGTTTCTTTAGTTGTATTACGGTAATCGGGCATATGTCTTCTAACCTTGATGATCTCACCTCTATATAATATAAGGATGTTGGGAGAAATATGAAATCTAGACCAACTCTAAAAAATTGAATGTCAAGGTAATTGTCTTGTCACACAATGGTGTAACCAGCCAACATCCTCGAACAGATCCGTGTCCATAATGGCATCATTGACTTCTGAACTGTATGGTGGTGTTCTCTGAAAGGTGCTATAGAGAAAACACAAGTGTGAAGGGCGATTGTGATGGTTGTGGGTCAGAGGCTCCTCAAGTGGAGTGAATGAGGCCAGCCAGGAATGAAGACAATGCAGTGAATGATTCTTTTGTTGCATAGTAAAATGAAGTACTAGAAAATGTTCTCTTAACAAAGAATCATGTTTGGTCAGAGTGGACGTGATATAGTGAGGAGTTTTTGTAAATTCTTCATTTAGCGACTAATATTTTGGCTCAGTTAAAGATATGAAAAACATTTTTTAACAAAAAGGTGTTAGTGGCCGGGCATGGTGGGCTCACTCCTGTAATCTGGCTTTAGGAACTAACTAGCTGGTTCTGACTAGCGTATGAGGGTGGGGTTAGGTTTTCCCTATCTTCCCCCTTCTTCCATAGCACTTTGTGAGGCTGAGGCGGGTGGACCACCTGAGGTCGGGGGTTCAAGACCAGCCTGGCCAACATGGCGAAACCCCGTCTCTACCGAAAATACAAAAATTAGCCAGGCGTGGTGGCGCATGCCTATAATCCCAGCTACTCGAGAGGCTGAGTCAGGAGAATCGCTTGAACCCAGGAGTCAGAGGTTACAGTGAGCCGAGATTGCACCACTGCACTCCAGCCTGGGCAACAGAGCAAGACTCTGTCTCAAAAAAAAAAAAATAAAATAAAAGGTGGTAGTATAAAAAAAGGGGCACTGTATTTTATAGTTACAAATACTGAGTCATTAATGTTACAGGCGTACAATGCTCCACTTGCTATGAGAGTGTGCTGCTAAGCTCTGTCTCCAGAACTTTTGCCCCTTGGTAGACTCTGTCTTGCACAGGTTTCTTGTCAGATCATAGTCCTCATTTTCTGTGCATAAGATGGAAATAGCATGCAGATTATACCACAGATTGTCCTAGTAGTTCTTTTATATGTTTTACTCAAAAAAGCTGGTCCTACTTTTTTTTTTTTTTTTATTTCTTGACTAGTTTTGTTAGGAGAATTTACACTTTTGGTAGTAGTTTTGCCATTATGTCATTACTTATGAACAAATGTAGTTATTGCACTTACTTTATAGAGCCAGCTCAGAAAATTTGATTTCAATGAAATTCTTTGTGTTTAGCACTTTTCCAATAAGTGGGCCATTGATTCGGTTATAACAAACTATTTTGATGAATGAGTTGTTCTGTTTATGGAAGGATTTTACACTTAAATGTTGCTTCTTGGGTTGTGCTATTTTTGTACTTTGAAAGTTACATAAAATGAAAAGAACCAGCACATAAGTTTTATATGCTGAGAGTTGAAGGGTGATCCCATTGTTTCTGAATTTGAGTCTCTGCCAGCATGAATCCTCCTATGAGGGTCCCTAAAGGCTATATTATAGTTTCGATGAAATGTATACATTCTATGAATGAAAAAAATATAGAATTTCCTTTTCATGATTTTTTTTCTTAGTTTGTTCCCATTTTTGTCCCCATCAATATAAAATAAATTAAAATGACCACAACAAACTCAAGGAGGTGAAAATCAAGAAATTGTTACCTGTATTATGGACAGGTGGTGTAGCGTCACCTCTCTCATACACACCCACTATCTCCAATAAGCCTAGCCTGGGAAGGAGAATATTTTCCTGTTAGCTATTTGAGTCCTCTTGCGAAGTCATTTGAATATGTGAGTTCTGGACATTGCAGATAACTAGTTGGTTCTGACTAGCGTATGAGGTTGGGATTAGATTTTCCCTATTTTCTCTCTTCTTCCATAGTGAGATTTGTGGAGGGTCAATTAGAGTCTTCCTTGACACAAGGTTATTTCTTTAATGTAGCACAGGGGAAGGACATCTTTTTCCTTTTATGAATTCTGCCCAATCCTTTTCTGGGCTGATCTTTGATTCCTATCATGGGGTCTGTCCAGTTTTCAGTATTCTTCCTTGTTTGGGTATTCAGGTAGTAGATATCTCAGATATTCTTCCTTGAGTACAAAAGTATCTCCCAGCAGTGTGGCCTTAGGCAGATTTGTGGTCTTTTTGGCTGTGCTGTCCAGTACTGGAAAGGATACCAGATAGAAGCTTCAGTTCTCAGCAGGGTCAGGTTGCCTCTGGCTGGGCAGTGGGTGTCCAGATGCAGGGATAGTGGTGTAGATGCAGGGCAGTGATTAAAGGCTTTGGAGTTTGAATCCCAACCCTGCTCAGTGTGACCTTGGGCAAGTTACTTACCTGTGTTAAGCCTCAATAACCTGTGCCATTGGGGCCTTTATAAAGATTAATGAGGTGTAATATAAAATACTTCACATAGTCATTTTCTGGCACATACTCAGTACGTGGTGGAGGTTATGGTGATTTTATTAAAATAGAATTGGCTGTAGATGCCCCTCCCCACTTTCCAAGATCCCAACATCATGCCTAGTCTGCCTGCATTGTTGTCGAGCATGAAGAAATAATCGATTTTGTAATTTATTCGGCTCCTTATTACTTTTCCATTCTTGCAGATCCATTGCCCATATCCTTAAGATGTTTTCTTTAAGCCTTACCCTAGTCAGAGACTATTTTCTAAATAGAACTAAAAGAGAAATTTGATTGAGCATCTGAATCTGACCTTCTCCCCAATTAACCCAGTTGGGCAGACCTTCATTTAGAGTGTCATTTATTTTTCAAGCCACGTGGTAAGGAAGCAGAGGGTTCTCCTTACTTCTAAAGTCAATTTCCATTAAAACCTTCAGTGTTCAGTGTGTAGCTTAATGCCTTTTAAAATGATTGCTATTTTTGAACCAGTGTTTTTGTCACAACGTTTTGAGTGTAGAATATTCCTTATTTGACAACCCTGAGCTTGTAGGAGTTTATAAATGGCTAAGAACAATCTGATTAGAATGTATTGCTTTTGGTTGGAGGCCAAGAATATTGGATCATTGGTTTAGGGTATGACACTTAAAGAGACCAAAGAGCAGAGTACATAATGCCCAGATAGGCCAATTCATGTAGCTTTGTTCCATAATGTAAGATTGAACCCCAAACCCTGGCCACCTATCTTTGAGATATATGCTGTTGGCCACAGGAGCATTAATTACTCCGGGCAGATCAGCAGACCATGAACTACATGCTACGAGGGGAAATCCAAATGCCTCAATGTACAGGATAGTGGGTCAGTAGAAGAAACCTCACAAAGGAAAGCTGGAGAAGGCTGTCAATGAAGGTTTTTTTTTTTTTTTTTTTTTTTTTTTAAGTCGTGTAAGAATTGCTAAGTGACAGATCAGAGTCCAGAAGACAGGAAAGGAGTTAGGAAATTCTGAGATATTTAAATTCTGACCATGTAATAAATGATTCCCTTGTGGAAGATAAGGGGTAAGTACCAAAAGGAAGGAGTGTCACAATGTGGCAGTTTTCTAATGAACTTAGGTCTTAAAAGGAAGCACACACAAGATAGAAGGCTCACAATCAGGAGGGACTGGCAGTGATCTTAGCTCATGTTAATATACTGTGTGTCAGGCAGTGTTCTAAGCACTCACATCCTTGTTTGATCTCATGATAACCTTATGAAGTAGATGGTATTATTATTGCCCTTTTACAGAGGCGTAAACGGGAGGCTTTGGGCGTTTAGGTATTTGCTGTCATTTACATAGCTAGTTAAGTAACTGCGCTGGGATTTAAGTTGAGGTAGTCAGATTCCAGAGAGATCTGAGACTTGCAGAAGGTGCCAGAGACAATAAAAAAAAGTAGTTGAAAGAAGTGTTCAGAGTCATAAGGAAAGAATATATTTGCATCTGAGTGGAACTGATGGTGGCTGTGGGTAGTCATAGAGCATAGCCTTTTAACTCCTGTTGTCTATCTATCTTTTATATATAGAAAACTCAGAATGCCGGCTGAGCATGGTGGCTCATGCCTATAATCCCAGCACTTTGGGAGGCTGAGGCGGGTGGATCACCTGAGGTCAGGAGTTCAAGACCAGCCAGGCCAACATGGTGAAACACAGTCTCTACTAAAAATACAAAAATTAGCGTGGTGCACACGCCTGTAGTCCCAGCTACTTGGGAGGGTGAAGCAGGAGAATCACTTGAACCTGCAGGGCAGAGGTTGCAGTGAGCTGAGATTGTGCCGCTGCTCCAGCCTGGGCAATAGAGCGAGACTCTGTCTCAAAACAACAGCAACAACAACAGAAAACTCAGAATGTCAAAAATATGTTGGAGAAGTAATAAGACAGACATAGTTTTTCTAACTGAATTTAAGCCTCTTAGCCCGACAGAATTTCTCCACAGGGTTCTGAGAACATTTTGGATCCAGATTGTTCAACCAAGTCCATGATGATCTGTGAGGAAGCATGGAGAACAGAAATAACACTGGAAAGGCGGAGGAGGGGGCACAGGTGCACTTTGGTGCGGAAAAGTTTGGGAAGCATTGTTTGAAAGAAGTTGATATCTTTAAATATTCAGGGCTAGTTGCTAGCAACTTACTATGGCTAGTTGTTGAAAGCTGCAGTGAGTCTGTTCATTAGCTAGTGGGCAGCCCACATTTAGAAGAATGTAGGTGTGAGATGGGAGAGACTTTGGCATAAGAATGGTTCAGATGGAATGGGAACACCAGGGGGTGATTCGATCATTAAGCTTTCCTCTGAGAATGTGATTTGGTATCTTTGAAACTAGGCCAGAGATTTATTTGGATCTTTGGTTTTCCATTTGTGAAGAGGTCATTTAGTCTCATTTCCAGATGAAGAAATTTGGGTTCAGAGAGGATGGGAGTGACTTTCCCTAAGCCACTGAGCTGTTTGGTGACCAAGGCAGGCTGGATGCTCACCTGCTTTCTCGCTGCTCTCTTCTTACTGCAGCTCACCTGTGGACTTGTGGACTGGGCCATCAGGAGTCTCTAGGAGGCAGCATTGATTTTGGGATAGGCCTACCTGGGTTCAAATCCCAGCTCTGACACTTAATCTGTAACAGTGTTACATTATTCTGAGGATTAGTGAAAAGGGAACACTTAGCATATAGGAAGGGCTAAGTGTATGTTCTTGCCTCTTTCTAGTTAGGCTTGAAATCTTTCTTTATTTTATGTACTTATTATTACTAAGTTTTCTAGCACCTCCCAACTCATGACCAAAAAGTTTCATTTTCATCTTATTTTTCTCTTTGGATGATTTTTATAAGGGTATTTCTTATAGTTTCTCTATATTTAAATACTTTATACTGTCTAGGGTATTTAGGCAAAGGATTCAACTACAGGGCTTTTAGAAATCCTTTCCAGCTCTAAAATTATAGGATTTAATTGTTTTTGAAAAAGATGCCTTCTACCTTCCTCCTCCTCCAGCTGCACACGTAGTTTACTGGTTACTGTGGTAACTGCACTCTAATAATCCTGTCAGGAAATCTGATGCAACTATCTGTCTAATCTTATTTTCCAGACACAAAACAAGCACACGGCTTCCTTCTAAGAATCCTTCTAAAGCGCTCCAGCCTAAGCATTGTTTCTTCTTGTTCTGATGTTTTTTAAGATTGCACTTAGAGAAGAATGCACCTCATTGGGTGTTTCCTCAATGTGGAATGTTTTATAGTATCCAGTGACCAGTGCATCACTCTAAAGCGGTGTGTGTTTTCATGCACTCTCCTGGAGTTGATGAAATTTTGGGTAGTTTGAATTATAATTTTAAAAAATGCAGAATAGGGATTAGAGAGGATTTAAATTTATTTTGCACATAGAGGATTGAACGTAATTACTCAGAGAGTTAGCTAAAATCAGTATTTTTGCTTTTTTTTTTTTTTTTGGACAAGCCAGTTTTACAAAATGTCCCTCTGCTGATCCATGAACAAGGGATAAGTCTGTACCTTTTCATCCTCCCTCCCTTCTTCAGCCATTCACCTTCCTTAGTAGGGGTCAAGTGGGATCCCTGTGATGCTACTCCTGGCAAGGAACCTCTGTACTCCCAGCCTCTCCACCAATCTCTACTTGACCCTCAGAAGCAATCTCATCACACGTCTTATTCCCGTTTATGTCAGTCACCATAGGAAGCCTGGACTCCCGTGTCATCTCTCACTCCTGTGTCCTGATCCTCATTTGCCTCTTTACTTCAGCTTTTCCAATCCTGCTTCCCTCCCCTAGGGAACTCATGAAGCCCCTTCACTGTGCAGTTTGTGTGCTCACCATCAGTCATCAGCAAACCCCCCACTTCCTCACCTTGTCTGGGAGCATGACCTTCATCTCCTTGCTTTATTGGACACTTGGGTCTCTCCTGGCAGTACTGCCCCTCCTTCAGCTGTCTCAAGTGGCCACCCTTTTTCATCTTTCCCGTACACCATGGGTAGAGCTGGGGTAGCCTCGTCTATGCTATTTTCATAGTGCTGCTCCTCCTTCTCCTGAAACGCCACCTCCTCTGACTTTCAGGTCTCTGCATGGCCCACTTTGCCTCCTTGTCACTAGTCCTCTGCTCTTCCACGTGGTCATTCCCCTCTTTCTTTGAAAAATTTTGTTTCTGGTTCACTGTCCCTGTCTCCAACACTACTTCTGTGAGTTCTCCAGGATTTCAGTCCCCATGTTCACTCCATCCCACGGTCATATCTTGATCCTCTCATCACCGGTGACTTCAGTGCCTCCATCACTCACTTTGAAACATCCCACTCTTATCACCACTTCCTCTTCTCTCGCAAGCCTCATGTGGTACCTCCAACCTCAATAGTCCATTGATCCACCAGGTTTTTCAGTCCATTGAATCCATCACGTCTTCACGGACCCACACTCACCCCATGTCCTCACTTCTCCCCTTCCCCAGCTTGGAGTCCACGATCAACCACTGTAATCTCTACCATGGCATAGATCCTTATCACCCTTGACCCCTCAGGCTTGGTCATTCTTGCTTGACTAAATCACAGTTCTGGTTAAATCCTTCCCTCTCTTCACCTGTTCTGTGCTTGCACCCATGAGGCCAAATGTGCTTGGAGAATACCACAGCACCATATTGTTTGTCTCACTCTAAGCTGATCACAGATCTTAAGTGGGCCCTTGATGCTACCTGGCAGTCTCATTGTGTTTCCACTGTCTCTTCATTCCCACCACTCTCTCAGACAACTGTTGCATACTTTCTACTTGCTGTTCAAACATCCATGGTCTCCTTACACTTGGTTGTTTCCTTTTTCACCAGAAACCCCAGAAATAATCAGTAGAGACTGCCACCAGCACACCCACCACCTGCCTGCGTCTGTGCCCATGCTCCCACCTCCTTGGGCATGATGTTCTATCTCCATCTACACGTACCTTCTCAAGGACATTGCTGTATGAAATTTTCCCTCCCTTTCCTATGTCATCTATTTTCTTCTTTCTACCTGATTCCCACTGGCATATGAGTTATTATTTTTCTTATTAAATAAAAACATCCTCTCTTGACTCTGATTTCTCTTCCAGCTACTAGCCAGTTTCTTTTCTTGCTTTTACTGCAGAACGTTTGAATGAGTCATCTGTATGCATTAGGTCTAACATCTCCCCTCCCATTCTATCCTGAGCCCATCACAGTCAAGTTTGCACCTTAACTCACCGTACTTCACTGGCATTGTGCTTTTCGGGGCCACGGGTAGCATTTCCTTGCCGAAGCCCATGGTCAGGACCCACTCCCTTCTTACTTCATTTACCAGCAGCATTTAACAGTCAGTAAGTCCCCTCCATGAAATACATTCTTTACAGGACTGCTTGGACACACATGCACCTCATTTTTTTGGTTTTCCTGGTCTTTCTCAGTCTCCTTTGCTAATTCCTTATCGCTCCAAACTCTAAGCAAAGTGTTTCAGGGTACTTGTTCCTCATCGTGTCTACTCTCAGTGCTTTAAATATCACCTGTAAGATGACTTCTGCATTCGTATTTGTAGCCTGGATCTCTCTCTTGAACTCCAGACCCCTTCATCTGGCTGCCTGCTGGACATCTCTCCTGGGATGCGTCTAACAGGCATTTCAAAACATAACATGCCCAATCTCCAATCTGCTTCCTCCACAGTCATTCCCATCTCAGTTAATAGCATCCTGCTCTTCCACTTACTTAAGAGAAGACATTTGGTGTCATTCTTTTCTTTTATTTCTTTTTTGAGACAGAGTCTCCCTCTGTTGCCCAGGCTTGAGTGCAGTGGCGTGATTTCCGCTCACTGCAACCTCCACCTCCCAGGTTCATGCAGTTATTGTGCCTCAGCCTCCTGAGTAGCTGGGCTTACAGGTGCCTGCCACCACGCCCAACTAATTTTTGTATTTTTAGTAGAGATGGGGTTTCGCCATGTTGGCTAGGCTGGTCTCAAACTCCTGACCTCAAGTGATCTGACCACCTTGGTCTCCCAAAGTGCTGGGATTACAGGTGTGAGCCACTGCGCCCAGTCTGGTGTCATTCTTGATTTCTCTTTCTCACATACCCCATCAGCAAATCCTATAGGCTCTATCTTCAAAACGTATCCAGAGTTGATTTCTTATCACCTTTATTGCTATCACCCTGGTCTAAGCTGCCATAATTTTTCACCTGGATTAGGAGAGTATCTTTCTAACTGGTCTTTCAGCTTCCAGCCTTATCCCCTTCAGTCTGTTATCAGCTGTGTGCAGATTACGTCACTCTTCTTCCCATCTCATTCAGAGTAAAACTGAAGTGTTTACCGTGACTGACAAGCTGTGGTGTGCCCTAGCCCTCCATTACCCTCTGGCTTCATCTCCCACTTCCCGCCCACTTGCTTCCTTGTTTCCCCCTCTGGTCTTGCTGTTTCTTGAAACAGTCCAGGCCTGAGTCTACCTCAGAGCTTTTTGCATTTGTTCTTCCCTCTGCCTGGAATTCCCTTCAGCTTCCTGTCCTTTATCCATGTCCTCATGATCCCTTATCCCACTCCCTCACTTCCTTCAGGTCTTTCTTCAAATGTCACTTTTTCAGTGAGGACTTCCCTGGCCACCAATCTTAACTTTCCACACCCCTCCTGACACTTTCTGTCTCCTTTGCCTAATTTATTATTCTAGTATTTAGCATAATCTAATAGAGTATATGTTTTGTTGATTTATCTTATTCCTTGTCTCTTTTCTCTCCTACTGGAGTGTAAGTTCCACAAGGCCAGGGACCTTTGTTTTGCTCATTGCTTATTCCTGGGGACTAGGGCGTAGTTTGTGTCATGGTAGGGTGTCATAAGTATTTGTTTAAGAGAAAAATAACTATTTCTGGCTCTAGGCACATTTTGGCTTAAAGTCACTGTAAATCTGCTTGCCACAATGCACTAATAAAGCTAATTATTTTATTTCATGTTCCCTCTTAAAGTATATTTATTACAGGTGTCAAATTAATTTAAAAGCATAATATTAGGCATGAGAGAATACAAATAGAGAAGAGTTCCTGCAGCTTTTCATGCTGCTTTAAGTGAGTCCCATTCATGGTACAGTTCTCTCTACATGCATTTAGAAATATGTCAGCTTATTTATTTAAATGTATCTTGCCTTATTAGAAAAACAAAAAAGATTTAAGGGGGCTGTTTGGAAATGTGATGATGTAAGGATGGGGCAACTTAACATGCTGTTTCAAATGTTTAGACCGTACATTATTGATGTCAATAATCTCCTCTCTAAGAGGCACTGATATCTGTCTATTGTGCAGTTTGCAGCATTCCATGCCAAAGCTTTTGTATTTATTACTTCAGTTCTACCTCTCTTGTTTGGGAAATAATATCTCCAGTCCTCTAAATGTAAGCTAATTTATATTATAGGCAAAAAGCAATTGAATGGCAGTTTCTCAAAGTCAAGTTAATCACAACTACCTAAATTTAGCCATGTGATATTTTACCAACAGCCCATTGATCTCCTGCCCCACTGGCTATTGCATGTAACTATAAAGCAAAGGACAGAACCCAGGCTTGTGCACTCTGGTTTTTCTCTTAGTATTTTCTGGTTTCCCTTAGTGTCATAGTTAACCAGAGTGAAGAAGATTCAGAGCAATTCATATTTCTGCTTCCTAGTAAGTTTTCAAAAACATTTCATTTAAAGAAATACTGTGAAATTAACATTTTTGAGTGGGGTATGGTTCTTTGAATTTTTGAAAGATCATTTTACTTGGAAATTATTTTAGATATATGAAAGAATGGCAAAGGTAGTTTAGAAAGTTCCCATATACCCTTTACTCAGCTTTCCCTAATGTTAACATCTTATTTAACTGTAGTAAATGGATTAAAACTGAGAAATCAACAGTAATACAATACTATTAACTAAACTGCAGACTTTATGTAGATTTTTACCAGTTTGTCCACTAATGTCCTTTTTCCATTTCAGGTTCTCATCCAGGATATCATGTTTTACTTATTCATTTGTCTTTTAGTCTTACAATCAGTAGTAGCACCACTTTCAAACTTACATGGATAGAGAAAGGAGGTTAAGTTAATGCTGTGGTGAAGTCATGAGAGTGTACAGTAAGTCCTCACTTAATGTCATCGATAGGGTCTTGGAAGCTGTGACTTTAAGTGAAACATCATGTAAAGAAACCAGTTTGGCCACAGGCTCATTGATATAAACAACAATTAAGTTCCTACTGCAGATTTCTAGTTACAAAAGATCATCAAACTTCTATACAAACACTTAAAGCACTTCTTTTCTTTTTTTTTGAGATGGAGTCTCACTCTAGGGTGGAGTGCAATGGTGCGATCTTGGCCCACTGCAACCTCCGCCTCCCGGGTTCAATCGATTCTCCTGCCTCAGTCTCCCGAGTAGCTGGGATTACAGGCATGCGCCACCACAGCCGGCTAATTTTGTATTTTTAGTAGAGATGGGGTTTCACCATGTTGGGCAGGCTGGTCTCGAACTCCTGGCCTCTGGTGATCCACCCTCCTCGGCCTCCCAAAGTGTTGGGATTACAGGCGTGAGCCACTGTGCCTTGCTGTTAAACGCGCTTCTAATCTTAAACATAGAAATAAATGTGAGTTATACACACATTTAAGAAAGAGCAATAGGCTGGGCGTGATGGCTCACGCCTGTAATCTGAGCACTTTGGGAGGCCGAGCTGGGCGGATCACGAGGTCAGGAGATCCAGACCATCCTGGCCAACATGGTGAAACCCCATCTCTACTAAAAATACAAAAATTAGCTGGGCGTGGCTGCGTGTGCCTGTAATCCCAGCTATTCAGGAGGCTGAGGCAGGAGAATCACTTGAACTCGGGAGGCAGAGGTTGCAGTGAGCCGAGATCGTGCCTCTGCACTCCAGCCTGGTGACAGAGCTAGACTCTGTCTTAAAAAAATAAAAAATAAAAATAAAAAAATGAAAACAAGATAATTATCCAATTTTTGGTGAATCAGTGAGTGATAGCAGTCATCTTGGTGATGGGTTAAATCAAGGAGTAAATGTTTGCAAAGTGAAAATTGTAGAGTCCTCCCTACCATCACGCGTTTTAAAAACAAATATAGTGAGCTTGCTGAGTGCTTTTGTACCTCATCTTTATTGTTATGTATTTGTATGATTATTGTCTACTTGGTGAATTTAAATTTGACAGTAATTTGTATTAATTCCTTCCTTCCTTCATTCATTTTTCAACTTGCTTGCTTTAGTTCAGGGTTGAAGGTGGCTGGAGCGTATCCTGGCAGGCAGGGCGCAAGGTGGGAACCAACTCTGGACAGGGCTCCATTCCACTGCAGGGTGCACATACACATGCACACACGCATTCTCTCAATCAGACTGGGACAGTTAGGCATGCCAGTGAACCTAATGTGCATGGCTTTGCAATGTAGGAGGAAACAGAAACCTGGAAAAACTCACTCAGACATGGCGAAAACATGCAAACTCTACACCAGACAGTGGTCCCAGTCAGGAATTGATTTCTTTTTCTTCTCATCAGTGTTATTAACCAAATGAAATGACATTATTCACGGACCTGCTGTATAGGTTTAAGGCAGATAGACTGTTGGGACTGGGAGACATTCTGATCCAGGGGCTACAGACGGGTGGCCCTGTGGGGCTCATATACTGTTGGAAATGTGATTTGAATTTGCCAAAATTTAATGACTAAAAGGTTTTCCAGAAAAATTTATGTTTGTGGCTTCTCTTTAAAAGATTGGTAGTTCCCACTGCCTGAGGCCTGTGTTTACCACCAGGGATGATCACATGGCCCTGAGGCGGCCCTTCACCATGGGCAAGGATCCCACCCTCCCAATACTGCCCTGATCTAAACCAGTCCCCTCATTTTTTTTTTTTTTTTTTTTTTGAGATGGAGTCTTGTTCTGTGGCCAGGCTGGAGTACAGTGGTACAATTTCGGCTCACTGCAACCTCCAACTCCCTGGTTCAAGCTATTCTCCTGCCTCAGGCTCCCGAGTAGCTGGGATTACAGGCACATGCCACCACGCCCAGCTAATTTTTGTAATTTTAGTAGAGATGGGGTTTCACCATGTTGGCCAAGATGGTCTCGATCTCCTGACCTCGTGATCCGCCCGCCTTAGCCTCCTAAAGTGCTGGGATTACAGGTGTGAGCCACCACGTCCAGCCTCCACCAGCCCCCTCATTTGATAAATGGAAATGCCTCGGGGGACCAGCACAGTGGCAGAAAGCCACCTCGCCTTGTCTGGCCTTTGTCTGCTCCTCTCGGTCTAAGAGAGAGCTGGGCAGGCATGGTTTTGGCTTCTTTGGGCAGCAAAGATGATAGCTGAAAGAGGATGCAGTATTAACTCCCCTCCAGGTCTAGGCCTATTCTTAGTATTTTTGCTTGTGTCCCTCAAATACTAGAGTTTGCAGACTGGTGCCCGGGGCTGCATTTGCTTTGTAGTCCCTTCCTGTTTACCTGTATGTGGTTATCTAAAGTCTTATAGTTACTAATGGTAAAAATCAAGTGATAAGCCTGAAAATCCAGATTTGTGACTTATTTTGATAAATCAGATGACCTGCAGCACTGGGGCCACCGTCTCACCAGGCATGGGCTCCTGGGCTGGGGTCAAGGCTGCCTCCTCAGATGGGCACAGGCTCATTTGGCCCTTTATTCTCGTTTTTGGGGCCCGCCTGGGTTCCTGTGGGCATTTGAGTTTGCAGTGTTTGCCTCAAGTTATTAGGTTGAAAATCAGAGAAGCCCCAGTAGTTTCCTGTTTGTGTTTCTTGATAATAGTTATTCTTGACAAGGAGTTATTGAAGTAATTCCTTTAAAGTTCTTGAGGAGAGAGGGAATTTGGAACAGGGACTTGTAATAGAATCTGAGATGAGGTTTGCCAAAAGTCAGCCATCTGATTTTTGTCTTCTGTGCCCCTACTGGCTCTCCCTGGATGTGCTGTCAGTTCCCTTCATGTAACCTAAGGTTTAATGATAGACAGATATTAGCTTAGAGTATTCCCCCTTTTGGGGCATTTTTGTTTAAACACAACTTGAAGCACAGTATATTTAAAGAATTGAGTGTAAGCTACCATGGTGGAATTTCAGGCATTCATTGGATGGTATCCCTGTAATTTCATCCCAGAAGTGTGTAAGCATAGAAACGAGAGTAGAGCACTCCCTCTTTGGATCATTATAGAAACATGGAAGAGATTATTAAAGGGGTGTTGTATGTATGTGTAACTCTTAAGGGTCTAGATCTTTGTGGCCCTCTATGGTAGCTGCTAGTCACATATGGCCACCGAGCACTTGAAATATGCTAGTCTACATTGAGATGTGCTGTGAGTATAAAATACACTCTAGATTTCAAAGACCTACTGTGAAACAAAGGATGTAAAATGTCTCATTAATAATTTTTTATATTGATTACATGCTTAAAGGATAATGTTTTGGATATATGAGGTTAAATAAAATATTATTAAAGGTACTTTCATCTTTTTAAAATATGTGGCTACAAGAAAATTTAAACTTCCACACACAGCACATATTCTGTTTCTATTGGACAGAGCTGCTCTAGATTCTGCTGTATTTGATGGTAAGAAAGGGTGAGCAGCCTGTTGTCTAGATCTTGGTAAACCAAAGTACAAAGAACAAATGTGGAGAGACTGAAAATCGTAAATTGTTTTCACACCTCTTGCCTTTAATAAAGTTTATTCTTAACTGCTCACTTTACGGTTTTTGGTGCATTTAGTTGGATGCGAGGTTGCCTTTTCACTTCCTTCATTGTATTCATGGTGTGGCAGTGTTACACAATGGTTCAGAACAAGGGACTTGAAGTCAAACAGTTGCTACTTGGAATTCCAGCCCAGCTACTTGACCTTGGGTCAATTATTTTAACCTCCCTGAGCCTCGTTGTCCTCCTCTATAAATAATGGACGATGATGATGCACCCCAGTGAATGACGATTGTGGAAAATAACATATGTAAAGTGCCCAGTGTTATGATTATTATTCCTGACAATATGAAAAAAAAAATCTTATTCAGCACTTCTCTGTGCTAGGAGTTAAGTCTGCCCCCAAAATCAGGAAACGGCTCCTTTTTGCTTCTGTGGTGTGATACTGGGTCTATCAGAAACCATTTAAAATAAATAGATTTTTTTTCTATTCACTAGTTTCATGGCATAGGTTTTTATTGTATCAGTCTCTTTTTGTTCCTGATGTTCAATATTTATCAAAACCCAGCAAGGACTAAATGTTTAAGAAAACGTTTGGCACCTTGAATTCTCACAGAAGTTGAAAACATGTATTGGATACAGTAAAAAAAAAAAAAAAAGTATTCATCTATAGGTGACTACATAAATGACCCCAGATAACAGGAACTGGACAATGGAGGATGGGAGCAGTCACAAAAACCATGCCATGGGGACCATCAACCTGGTCATCTTGCTCTTTCTCTTTGTGGTTTTCAGGTACTTGTAGGATACTTTTTTTTTTTTTTTGAGGTGAGGCTAAACTTTTATTATGTGTCTTCCAGCTTTTATTATGTGCTGTGGAACTTATTAAACTTAATATATGACTAATGTATATAACTCAGGGGAACGTCTGTGTAAGTTAACTACTAGAGAAACCTTGACAGGAAAAATATGAAGATAGTTTTGAGTGGACTTTATCATTCTCCCTTGATCATAAAAGAATTGAGACTTGGAAGCTGGGAACTTGGGACTCAGAAGGCCCACTGGTGGCCTGCTAACATGTAAGAGTGCACAGATTGGTAAATGTTTTTTAAAGCTTATTTATTTTCTCTGTGTCTATGAAAGACACTACGGGTGTCATTCTCTGCTTCACACTCATGTCTCTTGTACTAAATAGAAGGCAAGTCTTATATTTCCCACTTCCTGCTACTTTGCTTGGCAGTGACTTTTCAAATAATTAAAAAAACTGTCTTGCTGGAGTAGCTCTCTCTTACCCATGGACAGTCTTGTTATATCCAAATCAGTCAGATAGTATATGTAAGAATGCTTTGTGAGCTAAAGTCACTTAATAACTACAGTCTTATTACTAACCTGACCATGGCTGCTGGCCATGAAGCTCACTTGATTTCATCCACAGGTTCCAGTCAACCCCTCCTGCCACTACCTGTTGTAGGTGTGGATGGTGTTTCTGTGTGTCTTCTCCTGCCGCCCTGCCTGGATCTCAGCTGCTATCTTTTGGCCATCACAAGCCTGGCTTTACCCACCAACTGTAGGTCCTGGCTGTCCTGCTCAGGATATGACAGCTGCTCTCTAGTAAGAATTCTCTGATTCCTGATAGATGACCCCTCTTCGTAAATTATGATTATCTTAAATAATATGATATCTATAATTGTAATAATAGAAGCTAACAACTGATTGCTTACTGTGTGCTAGATGCTCTTGTAATTGATTTGTTCTCTTTTGAGTCTCAACAATCCTAGGAGAGATGTGTTATTATCCCTATTATTCAGATGATAAAACTGAGGTGCAGACAGGGTAAATGCTGTCCCAAAGTCTCAGATTAGAACCCAGGTCTATCAGAGTAGGTCTTGAGGTTTTAACAGTGCTTGTTTTCTGATCTTTGTTTATGTTGTTTTCCTGATCTCTTGCCATGTGTCTAAATATTTCTAGTCTTCAAACACAAGTTCTACCTCTGAAGTGACATTTTCATTAAGGACTCTAGGCTGCATGTTATGTGCTCTTATCCCCATTGCTCTGAGCCAGCTGAAGGATGTCTTGCTTGTCTCTATGGCTTAGCTAGCCTTTTATAATGTATTTTTTTCTGATTGTTTCTTGTGCATCAATCTTGATTTTCCAAATTTTATTGTTAGTACTTCTAAGATGAGGGCACTTTGTACGTTTCTCTTAGATTCTTCAACATACTTAGCATGGTAGTGAGTAAGCTCATTAAGAAAAATTTATGAACTAGACATTTAAGAAACAGACATAGAGAATTTGCTACTGACAGTGTCTATTGGCTGACCCTGTACCATTCACTACCCTTTTCATTTTAGCTTCTGGAGGGATTAGTCTAAGAGTGCTTCTCCGTTAGAAGAAGTTTTGCCCTGCAGGGGACATTTGGCAGTGTCTAGAGACAGATATTTTGGATTTTCACAACTAGGAATGGGGTGCTACTGGCATCTATGGGGTAGAGGCCAGGGATTCTGATAATGCACAGATAAAAATAGATAATCCACAGATAAGAATATTGTCTGGTTCCAAATGTTGATAGTGCCAAGGCTGAGAAACTCTGGACTAGAGGTAGCAATATGATATGTTCTGGTCAATTAAATATAAGTGGAAGGGTCTGCTGTGGCTTTCTTTTCTTTTTTGGGACAGTATTTTGTCTGTCACCTAGGCTAGGGTGCAGTGATGTGATCATAGCTCACTGCAGCCTGCAGTTCCTGGACTCAAGTGATCCTCCTGCCTCAGCTTCCGAGTAGCTGGGACTATAGTTGCGTAGCACCACACTTGACTAATTAAATTTTTTTTTTTTTTTTTTTTTTTTTTTTTGTGGAGACAGGGCCTTGCTATATTGCCCAACATGGTCTTGAACTCCTGGCCTCAAGTGATCCTCCCTCCTTGGCTTCCCAAAGTGCTGGGATTACAGGAGTGAGCCACCGTACTTGCCCTGCTGTGGCTTTCTAGGAAAATTATGCTTCCATGAGAGAGGATTGCCCCTTCATGTTTTCAGCTTCTTCTGCTTTCAACATGAGCTTGAACCTGGAGGTAGAATATCCATGCATCTTGTGACCAAGAGGGAACAAACATGAAGATAAAAGTCAGCATGCTAAGGGTGGTGAAGTGAAAAGATAAAAAATGTTTGAGTTTTCTTTTACTTGTAACCAAACACATTCCTGAGCTAATAGACCACAGAAACTTGAGTTGGGAAGGAATTAAGCCCAGCCTGACCTCATCGAAGACTTTTCCAACGTTTCTGGTGACATAATCCACTGCTTTGGGAGGGAGTCTAATTTTGTTGCAGATCTATATCCATTCCAACAGTTCTCTCTTACAGTGAGTGAAATTTGACCCCCAAAACTTCTGCTTATAGACCCAGTGTGATGCTGACCTGAGAGTCACCTGGACAGTCACTCCCACACTTTCATAGATGTCAGTGAAAAGTCATCCTGATCAAGCTGGCGAGTCTACTGACAGAGACCCTCTTCCAAATATTCTGGAGGGATGTACATCTAGAATGTAATACCCTCTCCTTGGGTAGCTCTTTAGAGCCACAGTCCAAAGGTGAGGCCATTAATAAAATAAAAAGATGTGACCTCTGGGACCCCCAAGCCCTTTGGTTTCCTACATAGGACTTTAGAGTCAACATAAATATACTAGAAGCTTCTGATATTATAACCACATGAATGAGCCAAGAAGGAACTCTCAGTGGCTTGACTGCCCTTAATCTTTCCTCTATGTCTTGGGCTAGACACCAGGAATACTACTTTCCTCCTGATTACCTTTATTTTCAATCCAGTTTACAAATAACTAAGTGCCTCAAAACCCCTCAGAGTAAGGACAGGTGGCTCATGTCTGTAATCCCAGCACTTTGGGAGGCTGAGGCTGGAGGATCGCTTTAGGCCAGGAGTTTAAGACTAGCCTGGGAAACATAGGGAGACTCTGTCTTTATGAAAAAAGAAAAAAAATTAATTGGGTGTGGTGGTGTGCACCTGCTACTGCGTAGCAGTCCAGAGTAGTTGCGTAGTCCCAGCTACTCTGGAGGTTGAGGCGGGAGGATCACTTGAACCCAGCAATTTAAGGCTGCAGTGAGTTATGA
The DNA here is from genome assembly GCF_000001405.40 of Homo sapiens. Classification (NCBI taxonomy): domain Eukaryota; kingdom Metazoa; phylum Chordata; class Mammalia; order Primates; family Hominidae; genus Homo; species Homo sapiens. The sequence continues at coordinate 25,355,627 of NC_000006.12, forward strand.
TCGCACCACTGCAACCCAGCCTGGGTGACAGAGCAAGACCCTGTTTGGAAAAAGAAAAATAAACAACCAACCAACCAAAGAAACCTCTCAGAATAAATGCCTGAGAGCTGTTTCTGCTAAATATCTTTCAATTTAAAATTTTTTAATTCTGGTAAAAAGAGAAAACCACATGAAATTTGTCATCTTAACCATTTTTAATTGTGCAGTTCAGTAAAGTATATTGACATTACTGTGCCACAGATCTCTGGAACTTTTCCGTCTTGTCTGCTGACTATCTTTTATGGCAGTGTAGGGTGAGCCATGTCTTTACACAGTTGTTCATTCACTGCTTGCCCTGCTACTTACACTCCTCCTGCAAAATGCCCCTAGCTTATAGTACAAGAAAGAGGTTTCTTTGGCTGGACTTTCCTCCTTCTAAGACTTCTTTTTTTTTTTTTTTTTTGAGACGGAGTTTCGCTCTGTCGCCCAGGCCGGACTGCGGACTGCAGTGGCACAATCTCGGCTCACTGCAAGCTCCGCTTCCCGGGTTCACGCCATTCTCCTGCCTCAGCCTCCCGAGTAGCTGGGACTACAGGCTCCCGCCACTGCGCCCGGCTAATTTTTTGTATTTTTAGTAGAGACAGGGTTTCACCTTGTTAGCCAGGATGGTCTCGATCTCCTGACCTCATGATCCACCCGCCTCGGCCTCCCAAAGTGCTGGGATTACAGGCGTGAGCCACCGCGCCCGGTCCTCCTTCTAAGACTTCTGTGTCAGCCATTCAGTGAGTTTGCTCAAGTCCTCTTACAGTCCTTACCATTTCATTAGTTGAATGCTTAAGTAGAAATGGGTTTAAAAAACCAGAGATTTGGTTTAAAGAGAGGGAATATCTGGGAGCAGCAAGGATTCTAGGTGGGTAGGGTGTAAACCTCACCAAGTAACTCAGCTGAAAATACTTTCTCAATTTAGTACAAGGTCCCAGCACGGAAAGATGTACAAGGTTATTTTTCCTGGCGCTTCTCCCTTCCGTATAGCCCATATGTTAGTGCCCTTAGTTCTTAATGCCCTCTGGCAGCCAAGTTCTTATCTTGGGGAGCTACATCACAGGTGTTGGGTGCTGTTTAATTTTCAGCTAATTGAGCTTTTTTGCTGCTAGAGTCTTGTATGGTGTTTTCTTGAATTCATGAATTAGTCATTAATTTGTGTTTAGCAGGCAGGCACCCTGGCAGTCTGTGGTCTGTCCAGCAGACCTTCTTTTGGACTGGACGGATGCTCTTTGTGCAGTTTTTAGTGAATGATGGTGGGAAAAACAGAATCCTCTTCCAGAACCCTTAAACGGCAGCCTTTTCTTTACTTCCAGCTCTTACCTTGCAGGTGGGTGTGGGTCTTAACTTCAGAATGGCTACTTTTAGTGGGGTTAACTATTGGGGTAGGATGGAGACTGTGTTCTGAGGCTCAGCAGAAGTCATTGTGTTTTTTTTTTTTTTTTGGCACTCTGTAAGGTTTGAGGAAATTCTGTGATTTGAATGAATTTTTTCTCAGGAGGATTTACTTCTAAAATAAACGTAATTAATTAGATAACTGGAATTTCCTACCACTTAGATGGTTGTTGTCAGGTTCTGTTTCCTTGCTACAATTTGAAAGCACTTGAAATTTCAGATTCATGAATTTATACCACAAAAACTCAAAACAGTTGAAAAGTACATAGATGCTCATGCCTGTAAGCCCAGCACTTTGGGAGGCCGAGATGGGCAGATCACTTGAGGCCGGGAGTTCGAGACCACCCTGGCCAACATGGCAAAACCTCATCTCTAGTAAAAATGCAAAAAAATTAGCCGGATGTGTTGGTACATGCTTGTAATCTCAGCTACTTGGAAGGTTCAGGCATGAGAATCACTTGAACCTGGGAAGCAGAGGTTGCAGTGAACCAAGATTGTGCCACTGCACTCTAGCCTAGGGGACAGAGTGAAATTTTGTGTCAAAAAGAAAACAAAAATAAAAAAACACATTTTTTTGAGTGTTATGGAGTTATGATTCCAATTCTTTAATTTTAATAAGCCTTGAAAAGCTGCAGTTTACTCCATCATGAGTAGGGATAAGCTTCTCAGTATAAACAACCTGTAGTTCTGTGGTTAATGAAATAAGAAGCTTGAACTACTTTCTTAAGTTAAAAGTGCCTTTTCAGCAAGTAGATGCTCAATGAAGTTAGCACACCTATTTCAACTTTAATCAATAAGGTGGAAATAATGCAGTATGGCAGGTACATTACTTTCAGTTGCATTTTCTAGGTGTGATTATCTCAGAGTTTGAAATCGTACATTTTATGATTTTATGTTAGTGCAGGATGAATCTTTTCAGTTATAACTGAGCTGGCTGTGAGCATTTAGCCTGACAGGTTGGGCTGCTTTTCTTACTGGTTTTGTCCGTATAAGGAGTACCACAGAAGTACCTCACACGCATTTTAAAATAACTTTTCGGTAATAAAAATTAATATTGGTTAAGAATAAACTTAGCTTATCTAATGCGTGGGCCAACCATTTCTGAGCAAAATTGTGAGCAGAGTTTGTCTTGTGTGTTGGCTGTGGTCTTAAAAACACTAGCAGACAGTGTTATGTTGACTGTAATATTTCTTCTGTAGAGTAAAAGATAGATTTCATTTCTGGGTGAAGCATTGTAATTGGCTTATACTTTTGTTTCTGGTCATATTATGTAGACAGTAGAAAAGAAGTGGGAATATAAAGGTAGGAGAGGTATTACTTGAATGTGACGCATAAAAAGTATATAAGTAGACAGAAAAGAAGTGGGAATATACAGGTAGGAGAAGCATTACTTTTATGTGATGCATAAAAAATATATAGAGTTTTCTATTGTTTTGGGGGTGGGGTTAGAAAACATGCTATAGATAAAGAAGAGTCAAAATTAGAAAATTAAGTAAGATGTTTCCTGTTATACTTAAACATTGCAATACTTACAAAGCATATCATAAGGTATATATAAAGTGGTCATTATGAACTTTCTTTACCCAGGTCAAGCAACGCCTCTAAGGGGGAAAAATAATTTGGTGAATCCCCATACTCTATGATAGGGCATATAGAGCCATTTTATTATAAAGAAGTGATATATTGCTGAAGTGAGTACTAAGTAGCAAGCAGTGGAAATGTGTACCATGCATTTCTGAGAAATAATGCCTGGGAATGCACTGCAAAACAGGTGTACTTGGTGTATATGCAATTTAAGTAACATAACAACTTGAGAAGGATTCAAAGATGGGAATAGCTATCATGTGAATGAAGGCATTGCACTGTAGAAATATCTTACTATAACAATTTTATTATATGATCATTGTGGCCAAGAATACTGATCATTTAGCTTAGTTTTAGAAGCTAAATATGAAGTATCATCATTCTATGTACAATGTATTCTGTGGTGGTTGTGCATTTATTATTGGGATCACAGCGTGTCTTTTTTCTGCCAAGATGGACACTGGGCACCATGGTCACAGGCTTCTTGGGTGCTACTAATAGAAGGCTCTCTCTTGGCTTTCTCTGTTGGGCAGAAGTCTGTGAATGCCATTATAGCTAAGACTCTCCCATTCTGGCCAGGAAAGGAAGCTGGAAGGACTTGGACTCACTGATTTGTGCTGACACCCATTCAGCCCTGCCGTTGGAACTCTTTAATGTGCTTTTCAGTGAGCTAGTGTTTCAGAACCTCATGACAGGGCAGGCTGATTTCTCAGATGCATACTTCTCTGACCTCTGGCTTCCCCTAGCTCACTGAGGCTCGTTCTGCCTGTTGATGAGGCTCTCCTGGCAGATTTGACACTGGACCCAAGAGGGCAGAAGAATCAGCTGTTAAGCTGGTACAGGGCTCAAAGATAAATAAGAAGACACTCAGCAGAGCGTAACTTTGAGGCAGGCACACAACCACTTGGGTCAGTGTAGTATTTGGGGCATGTGGGTTTGTGTTTGGAATTTGAGAGGAAGCACTCTGATGATCCAGCAGCCTTTGTGCTCCAGTGACATGCTAATTTTTTTTTCCTGATATTGGGATTGCGTTCCCTTGACTATTGCAGCAGAGAAACTGAAATGGGAATCATTTCCTGTGGGTGCACTGATGTGCACAGTGGGCGGAACCGGGAAGGCAAGTCAGAGGCATTTTTCTCATTTCTGAATCCATGAGTCTGGCTTTTCCCTTAGGGTATTTGGGCCAATTGTTATAGTGTGTCCCACTGTGTAAATTGAAGGTTTAGCCAAGTCTGGCTGAATGGTTTAGTCTTGCAAAAACTAAAGCACTTTGTTTTTAAAAAAGGAAAAAAAAGTTTAACTTTTTTTATTTTTAACATGGCATTATTGGACTAAATGATGTTAGGCATGTTAACAGAGTAAAAGGGAGAACTTCTTTCTGCAGTTTGGCAGGCCTGTCACTTCACAGGTGTATCACTGTCCAAATGAGGGATGCCAGATAAGACATCATTCAGCCTCCCGGAGGGGTGGGGGAGCAGGTGTGGCACAATACAGTCATTGTTCATTGTCTTCCCGCTTACAGTATTGTAAAACCTGCACTGCATTAAAAATCCTATTAATAGAACATTGGATTAGGAAGAATACTTAGGCTTCTCCCTCCTTCCATCAGTTTTAAAAGGAATTTAGAAAAATCACTATTTCTTGTATGTATGAGTGGGGGAGGGAAAGAAGGAAGAAAAGAGAGACTGACTTTGTCTTTGAAATACAGAAGAGAACATCTTGCAGTGAGGAATGAGAATCTAAAAAGATAACCAGGCTTCTTGTAAGAAAACTTTCATAGACAGTTATTCAGCAGGCAGATTTTTAATTTTCATGTTTCCAGCTTGTTTAGTCTGTGGGGACTTTGATTTCTGGAAGCCCACTGGGATCGCTGCTAAACCTTACATACTTTTTTTGTTGTATCAAATTCAGTTCAACTACCAGAAAATTTTTTTTGGCAATTATTTTTTTCTCTGTCATGTTTTCTGTCCAATGAGAGGAGAAGACTGGGATAGCCAAGGCAAATGCTGCTCAAATTATTGTGCCCAAGAGGAGAGATTTGGCCCTGTGATACTGCAGGGGGACTGTTGAGAAAGAGTAACAGGGACATATTGGGAAGTGTGCAGCCTGGGCTTCCCAACTGATGTCTTAGCTAATTTGAAATGTTGTGATTAGACCTTCCCTTATTCACGTTGAGGAATGAATATGCTGACAGCCATATGCATGTGATTTTAGGATTATTAAGTGTAATGGAATGTCCAAACCATCACTCAGTTTTACATAGCACCCTTCAAGAACTAGAATGCCTGGGAAACATGGCTGTCCCAGTTAAGTTGAGGTTTTATCTGAAACCCATTTTGTTTTCAAACATGTTGGAAATGTTCCTAAAAATGCCTGAGTGTGCTTTGGGGGTGTGCTTGGTGAGTATGCTTTCCTACCCTTGAGTGTTTGAGACTTGTTTTCATTATGTTAGGGGCTTATGATAAAGTCTTCATTTTCAGATCTTTATGTAGAAGATATATATAATTGAGCAGATTTTGAAGTTTCGCTCAAATCTTGTTTGTATTTAAGAATACTTTTTCTTATTCATTATTCTGATTAATTTTTCTTTTAAAACTGGCAACATTTTGCAGGTAGTTTATGGTTTTGCAAATTAGAATATGGGTCATTCCTCTAAATAGAAACAGTGTTTTTGGTCTTGATGGGTCTGTGAATTAGGTGAAACTAGTTTTATCTTTCTCCTTCTACTTCTAGGGGAAAGTCTTTACCTTTCCCCCCCTGCACACTCCTCCCACCCCACCCTTCCAAGCTTGATCTCAGCAAATTCATTGACTTCCAAAATTCATTTATATGACTTTAATCTTAAGTCATCTTTATGAAAATGGCTTATCTTTAACTTACTACCTGTTTCAGGAATAGTTGCAGGCAGAGCTTTTTTCTTATTTTTCTTGGTATGAAAGGCTTTGTATCCTGCTAAAGGAATTTCAGGATTTATAGTTATAAGTAGCTATATTTTTAGTCATGAGCTTTGCTATGGTTTGAAAGTGTCCGCCAAATTTCATGTGTTGGAAACTTAATCCCCAAATCCATATGTTGGTTGCATTTGGAGGTGGGGCCTGTGGGATGTAATAAGGGTTAAATAAGGTCATCAGGGGGGTTCCCATTGATGTTACAGGTGGCTTTATAAGAAGAGAGACCTGAGCTAGCATGCTCTTGCTCTCTCACCGTATGATGCTCTCTACTATGTTATGACATAGCGGGAAGGCCCTCGCCAGATGCAGACTCTTGAGTTTGAACTTTTCAGCCTCCAGAACTGTAAGAAATACATTTCTTTTTCAGGACCCATAAGACAGAGCAAAAAATAAAAAGAAAAAAAGAAATTAAAAAAAGAAAGAAAAAATTTTAAAAAATTCTTTTGAAAAATAAATTACACAGTCTGTGATACTGTGTTATAGCAACAGAAAATGAACTAAGGCGGGTTCCCAGAACCTTTATAATCACATCAGCTTGTTAACTGCTGTTCCACTTGTAAGCAGCTCCCCCTCAGGCCAGATATTACTGGCATAAGTGGAAAACCTAGGCACCTGAAAGTTTCTGACAGCCTTTCAGAAAGTTCCAGAAAGGAGTGCCTTTGTTTTCCTCACTAAGTGAGAGATTAAAAAAGAAAATCAGTAAAAGTCACTTCCCCTAATGCCTACAGTTGTCATCCTGGAATCACACTTTTATTGAATCCAATTCAGCAAACATTTATCGAAGACCAGCTATGTATAGTTAAAACCACTACACGGGCCGGGCGTGGTGGCTCATGCCTGTAATCCCAGTACTTTGGGAGGCCGAGGTGGGTGGATCACCTGAGGTCCGGAGTTTGAGACCAGTCTGGACAACATGGTAAAACCCTGTCTCTACTAAAATTACAAAATTATCTGGGCATGGTGGCACATGCCTGTAATCCCAGCTAATTGGGAGGCTGAGGCAGGGGAATCACTTGAACCCAGGAGGTGGAGGTTGAGGTGAGCTGAGATCGTGCTATTGCACTCCAGCCTGGGAAACAGAGACTCCGTCTCAAAAACAAAACAAAACAAAACAAAAAAACCACTACACGAGCTGTAGAAAAGCCCATTTGTTTCTCTTCTAAAGTATATAATGGGGCTGGGCACAGTGGCTCACACCTGTAATTTCCACACTTTGGGAGGCCAAGGCAGGCACATCACCTGAGGTCAGGAGTTTGAAACCAGCCTGGCCAACATGGTGAAACCTCGTCTCTACTAAAAATAGAAAAATTAGCTGGGCATGATGGCACATGCCTGTAATCCCAGCTACTCTGGGGGCTGAAGCATGAGAATTGTCTGAACCTGGGAGGCGGAGGTTGCAGTGAGCCGAGATTGCACCACTGCACCCCAGCCTGGGTGACAGAGTGAGACTCTGTCTCCAAAACAAAGAAAGAAAAGAAAGAAAGAAAGCACACAGTGGGTGAAGAAAGTACTCACTACTCAGGTAGTGAGTACCTGACCAATGTAGAATGACTTTTAAAATTCCAGACTTGGGAGCATTTCTCAGGATGCCAGTAGGTATTAAAAATTATTTTTGACCAAGTAAATTTGGAGAAAGATGGGTTAAGTGAAGTTGGATAGGGATTTTCTTTTTTATCGGTGCTTCCAAAGGGGGATGGTATATGCAGCATTTCCCAAATTTATTTGACCAGGGACCATGTATTTATTTATTTAGGAGCAGCTCAGAGGACTAGTGTTCCATGGAGAACACTGTGACAAAGGCTGTTCTACACCACGGAAGATTTTTTTCCTCTCTCTCTTTTAGAGGGCTCTTTTATTTTGGTGTATACATGTTTATTATTCAGAGCCAGCAAACTCTGTAACTTTCTCCATTGGTTATATAAAAAGTGTTAGCATTTTCCTTGGATATTTGTGAGGTTTTGAAGGGCCGGGATAATGACCGTTGAGTGAGCTCTTACTTGGTGCCAGCTACATTGCTGAGCATTTCCTCTAGAGTCTCATTAGTGGGAAGTACAAATTAGCAGTTCTGCTTTTTAGGTGAGAGGATAACTTGACCAATATGCAATTTATGCATCATTTCCAACATGCCAGACATTTTAAGGTGAAGAGATTTTAAAAATCATGTATAGTTTTATATATAGATTCATATATAGTTGTAAGAAGTTATACAGAGTGATTCTGTGTCCCTTTCACCCAGTTTCTCCCAATGGTAACGTGTTGCCTAACAGTATTACAGTATCACAATCAGGCAGTTAACACTGATTCAGTGATCAACACTTTAACACTTTTTAGATTTTTTTCTTCCTTTCTCTCTTCTCTTCTCTCTCGTTTCTTTCTTTTTTTGAGACAGGGTCTCGCTCTGTTGCCCAGGCTGGACTACAGTAGCAATATCATGGTTCAGCACAGCCTTGACCTCCTGGGTTCAAGCGATCCTCCCTCCTCAGCCTCCCATGTAGCTAGCTATGACCACAGGCATGCACTACCATACCCATAATTTAAAAAAAAATGTGTAGAGATGGGGTCTCACTATGTTGCCTCGGCTGGTCTTGAACTCCTGGGCTCAAGTGACCCTCCTGCCTGGCCTCCCAGAGTGTTGGGATTACAGACATGAGCCACCATGCCCTGCCATTTTTTAGATTTCATAGGTTTTACACACATTCTTTTTGTGTGTGTGTACATTTAGTTCTATGCAGTTTTTCACATGTGAAAATTTGTGTGACCACCACCGCAGTTAAGATACAGAACAGTTCCATCACAAGGATCCCAAATGGTATGCCTTTATAACCATAGCCAACTCTCTCCTTCTTTATAATTTTGTCATTTTAAGTAGTCTCTATAAATGGAACTATACAACATGTAACCTTTTGAGATTGGCTTTTTAACATCCTAGCTGCTTTTAATCCACTGTTGCCAATTTCTATAGCAATCCTATATGGATTCTTTTTTCTTTTTCTTCTTTTTTTTGAGACAGAGTTTCTGTCTTGTCACCCAGACTGGAGTGCAGTGGCGCGATCTTGGCTCACTGCGACCTCCGTCTCCCGGGTTCAAATGATTCTCCTGCCTCAGCTTCCTGAGTAGCTGGTGTTACAAGTGCCCGCCACCACGCCCGGCTAATTTTTTGTATTTTTAGTAGAGATGGGGTTTCGCCATGTTGGCCAGGCTTGTCTTGAACTCCTGAGCTCAGGTGATCCATCCGCCTCGGCCTCCCAAAGTGCTGGGGTGAATTCCTTTAAGTAGATGAGGAAGTGAAACCCCGGAAGAGTACAGTGTCATGCCCAAAGCTATATTATTAGTGGACCAGGAAGCGAGGAGGGGCCCAAGCATCCCTGATTCTCAGCCTTGACTCCTTTCACTCAGCGTTGGCCTTTCTCTATCTGGATTCCCAGTGTTCATATTCTGTTTCTACCAACACAGTTCTCCTTTTCTCTTCCTCTGTACTCAAAATAAAGTCTCTCTTGTTTTTTATAAATCTTAAATTTTAAAAAAGAAGCTTGGATCACATTATTATTTTGGAAGTGCAGAGATTGGATATTTTTTCCGTCCAGCTCTATTTTGGTCTTGTTACCATTTTCAGTGTTTTCTGTGCTGAGTTGCTTCACCACCTTGATGCTGCCACAAATGATGAGGATGGTTGTAGTATAGAGAATAAAGGTGGAGATTCTTGCACATCATTTCTTGAATCCATGTATAGGCATCTTTGGCTTGCAGCCCATCTGAGTGCTGTATTCAGCCTACTAGCTCTGGTTGCTCTGGTGCTAAACATATTCCCAGCGCCTTTGGGACTTAACTCACTACAGGCAAGAAGCTGTCAGTGCACTGAGGGATGGTGGGAAAGCAAAATGCATACATTTCTATTTATCGCAGTAGTGCCAGATGCTGTATATTTAAGAAAAAAACTTCCAGTATTGGAGAAGAATTGCCGTCCGCCCCCCTCACTTTATTTATTTATTTTTTTAAACAGGGTCTGGGTCTGTCACCCAGACTGGAGTGTTTTGTTGCAATCTCAGCCCACTGCAACCTTCACTTCCCGGGCTCAAGTGATTCTCCTGCCTCAACCTCCTGAGTAGCTGGGACTATAGGCATGTGCCACTGTACCTGGCTCATTTTCTTTTTTAGTAGAGATGGGGTTTTGCCATGTTGCCTAGGATGGCCTCGAACTCTTGAGTTCAAGCGATCCGCCTGTTTTGGCATTCCAAAATGCTAGGATTACAGGTGTACAAGTGTGAGCCACCATGCCTGACCATAAGCCTTTTGAAAGCTGTACTTTTGAAATGTATGTGGGATGTAGTATTTAAGAAGATTAGGAAACAGCAAAATGTGTAGATTTTTGTTGATCATTGAACCGCCTAGACATTCTCTTCTTTCAGTGTCCATTTACGTATGTATGTATTATGTATTTAGAGACAGTGTCTTGCTCTGTTGCTCAGGCTGGAGTACAGTGGCACTATCACAGCTCCCTGGAACCTCGAACTGGGTTCACAACCTCCCATTTCAGCCTCCCAAATAGCTAGGATTACAAGTGTGTACTACCATGCCTGGCTAATTAAAAAAAAAAAAAATTGTAGAGATGTGCTCTCACTGTGTTGCCCAGGCTGATCTTAAACTCCTAGCCTCAAGCAGTCCTTCCATCTTGGCCTCTCAAAGTGCTGGGATTACAGGCATGAGCCACCATACATGGCCTTTCAGTGTCTTTGAACTAGCTATTCCCTCTGCCTGGAAAACTTTCCTAAGATTTCCATGCAGTTTGGGGCACTTCCTCACCTTCTTCAAATCTCTGTACAATGTTACCTTTTTTCTGTGTCTGTGCCTGACATTTAAAATTGTAACACCTCACCCTCACCCCATTCTGCTTTACTTTTCTCCATCACACTTTGATCAGCTTTGAACATGCCCCTATGTCTTCGTTATGTATCTATGCATTGTTTTCTCTTTCCTAGAATGTAAACCTCCTGAAGGCAGGGATTTTTGCCTATTTTGCTCACTGCTGTATATCCAACCTTTTAGAATAGTGCCTGGCACATACTAGATCTCATTATACATTATACAAGTAAATGAAAGTTTTCAAGATTAAAGATTTGTATGAATTAAGTTAAGTAACAGCACCCTCTTACAGGACACAAGAGAATAATCATGTCTGTACAGGTTGGCCCCTGGTAAGATGCTCATTTAAAAATGGTTGTGTCAGTTTAATATAAGTGTGTTCTTTTCTTGCCTACTTAAAATGTATTTCTAACTATGACTTTTCTTTTGGAAAATGATTGACTTTGGGGGAGCTCTTTCAGAGGTAAAGGAAGTTAACTAGCAGATCTAGGTAACTGAACCTTGTGTACTATTCTAGAAATGTTTATACTTCTGCCAAATTGAAGCATGAGTTCAGTGTTTGCATAACCACCTGTGCAGTTACTCATAGTAGCATTCCAGTATGCATTTGCTGAACTATACTCTTCAATTTTGCAATAAAAGTATTTTCACATGTTGGCTGCTACTGTGAAAATTGGTTTCTCTCAAATGTTCGGAAAGCTTGTGCTGCAGTTTTGATGTGGGGGGTGTGGTTTAGTGCTGCATAACATTTACTTTTTTGGTGGAAGGGGGATCTGTGATGTAAACTTTTGGTTTCAATTTCTCTATTTGGAGCTCTTTTTGTTAGTGCTAAGAATTCTGAGGGTATCCCTATAGATGCTGGTTAAAAAACAAACAAAGCAATGTTGTCATTGACAGTTTGGTCAAGTGGGATGTAAGCTGCTGAGTGGGGTGAAGACCTGGTCTCCTTGGGGCTGATTTGGGGTTTGGGAGTGGTTTGGAGGGTGGCTGCCATTGAGGAGCAGGAAGTGTGGGGGTTGCTGCTGTGTCTGGAAGGACCTCCTAGGGGAGAGCTAGCAAACCAACATCACCAGTGCCCCCAGAACACTCAGCTGTGTGTGATGTGGCTGTGTGTGCCCTTGCTGGTACTCAGTCCTGTTAAGGCTTGAAGAGGAAGGTAAGGAGGGTAAGACTTGGAGAGGGAAGAGTTAAGGAGGGAGAATATTAATGCAGTAAGGAAGTAATTCATATTTTGAGACAGGTTCCCATGTGTGAACACTTGACTTCCAAACAGCCCACACTTGGCTTCATTATCTACAGACCACCTCTCCTGTGCTGCATTCAGACTCTCCCCCAAACCCCGACGGAGCCTCGGTCTGTCGCCTAGGCTGGAGTGCAGTGGCATGATCTCGGCTCACTGCAGCTTCTGCCTCCCAGGTTCAAATGATTTTCCTGCCTCAGTCTCCCGAATAGCTGGGATTTACAGGCACATGCCACCATACCCGGCTGATTTTTGCATTTTTAGTAGAAATGAGGTTTCCCCATGTTGGCCAGGCTGGTCACAAACTCCTGACCTCAAGTGATCTGCCTGCCTTGACCTCCCAAAGTGTTGGGATTACAGGCGTGAGCCACCGCACCCGGCTGCATTCAGACCTTTCCACGTCAGCTGAACTATCAGTAAAATTCTGAGCACAACTCTGAGAGAAATTCAGAGTTCAAATCAGTTGGTATGCCAGAAGCAGAGAACCCTGATCCTTACTGGAGTTGACTAGGACACCTTCTCTTTATTAGTTAAAGGTATGGCTAAATTTAAATAACTAATAGAGGTCAGACACGACTTACTTAGTTTCTGAGAGTAGTTGTTAACTGTCCTTTTCCCAAGGGAAATAAGCTAAGCTGAATTACTTAAACCACACTTTTTCCGTTTCTTAAAATGATTTCCATTTCCCTGCCCTAGGAAAAGTAGGCGGCTGCAGAGAGGTTGTGACAGAATTATAAAGCTATTTGAGTTAAATTAGCCCAGTACATCACTCTTAGAGCACATTGAACAGACAGCTAACACCTCCTGATAAGCACCAGCTACATACAGATCAATGTTTTCAAATGAAACCAAAGACATACATTCAATTTAGGGAGACAAAACAGACATTACTCAGGAATCTCATAGAACCCCAGATGATTATGATATAACCAATAACATAAGACCCACCTGATTGGCAGTTCTGTGAATCACCCTAAAATCTCTACTAAAATGGTTAAGTCCTGTACTCTTTACTCTGGAGTCCTCTTGTCTACCTTTCAGAAATGGTTGAAATATTTAGATGTGGAATTAATGAGATTTTACATGTCTACACTCTTGCTTTATATATTTTAATGTGATAAATGGCCTCATGTATGTATATTCTTCCTTGTCCCAGACTCATGTTTTTTGAGTAAAATCTTTAATTGGTCAAAATGTGTTGTATTGATCAGTATGTTATATAGAATGATGTACTTATTGATTTACTGTAAATAATTACAGTGGAGCAATTCTGTTAGGAGGGTTCGTTTTTGCCATTTTAGCAAGGAAAATTTGCCAGTTATTTTGGCTGAATTTAAAACCCCTTACATGATTAGATCACATGTCTATTTCTGCTGTAATAGAGGAGTGTAAGTAACTAAGTTTATCTGAACTTTTAGGAGTCTCCTTTTAGGCTCAAATTAGTTAGTCTGGTGTCTATACAGGGCCTTTGTTAAAGACTGGATTTAAATATTGGGTGGATCTGTCTTGGATCCTGTTCTAGGGAACGCTTCTTGGAAGTCCCAGACGGGGAACTCATCATAACCTGGTTTTACCCCGTAGCATGGCCCTGTGCCATCGACACCATTAGAGCAAGGCTCAGTGTCTCGAGCTTTAGTTTAATTCTCAACCCATTGATCGCTCTTGCAGTCAGCTTAACAGTTGAATGCAATGCTGTATTTTGTTTTTTTTTTTTTTTTTTAAAGCTAGTCCAGAAATTACCACAGCTGCTTCTCAGTTAATCAGATGCTTAAGACTCCCGTTTCCACATTGCTTGGCTGCTACATTTTTATAACACCACAGCTGTCTGGATCTAGCTTGTGCCCCTCGCCCCCCTTACCCCTTTCCATCTGCCACCTCTCACCACTTCCTCACTTGCTATGTATCGAGGTGGCAAATTCCCAAGTAAACTGCTGACTTTCCTCCCCTGCAGGAAGGCTGGGCCTTTGGTTCACAGTAGCCTCTTTCACCAGAACTCTCGTAGGCTAGGAACCAACCCTGGAGTACTGCTGCTCTCAGAAGTGCCCACATTTGCCTCTGGAGCTTGCTTTGTGTGTTTGGGTGTTGAATTTTCCCCTTGACTTGGAAACTTTTGTGAAGAAACTGAAAGGTGCTTTCAGATTAAGCAGCTGTGGCTCCCCCTTCCAGCCACGCTCTTTGTTTTTAAAGCTCAAAGTCTTATTTGAAGTGAGGAGAGAAGGTAGGTAGGTTGCAGTCCAGGTTTTTCTGTTTGTGAATGACGTTGCTTACCTTGGCTGATTCCTTTTCCTAATGACGGTGCTTCTACTCTTGGCCTTTTGCCATGTGTGTACCATCCACTGGGAGCTGTTTTCCCTTGTCCTTTAAAGCGTATCCGACTCTATCTCCAGTGCTCTTCTAGCAAGCTGTTACAGTAAGCATAAAAACAAGCGCATTAAACTAGGAATAAAATGCCAAGTTTCTGTCTCCTTGCCAACCTCATTAGAAAACAGTGATAAAGTATGTATGCATATAATTACAGTAATTAAACATTTGAAACCAGCTCAATAGGGAACCTTCTTAATGCTTTTATGAGTGTGATATTTTCATTTCAGAACTGGACTCTGTGTGGCTTCTATTTTATTCAAGACCTTCATCTTTATGGGGGTAGGCGGGGGAAGGTGCTCCTTTTGACCACAGCGCCAAGCATCTGCAAGAGTAGCTTTATTACACATGTATTAGCAGGGAACAGAGCAACCTTTCCATCACTGTGTTTATTTTTGAGGGTGTGTAGCCAGTTGTCAAATATAAAGACATGAATGGCCTGGCTAGTAAAGAAGACGTGGAAAATAATTGTAAACTGTCTGCCATGATGTGCTTGCTCTTAAGAGCAAAGGACAGGAATATTTTGTCTTTTGTACTGCCCCGACGGAGTCATACAGCCCCTGCATTTGTGTGGGATGATAGAGTAGCACTATGGGGTTTGTCTGCCTCGTAGCTCTTCCACCCTGAGAGCTATTCTCACTTAGGAAGTGGAAAGTCTAAAGGACCAACTGTAGGTTGAACCAGGAGTTTCATTCACTAAACATATTTTTTTTTTAGTTGATATATATATATGTAAAATTTCAATAGCTTTTGAGGTACAAATGGTTTTTGGTTACACGGACAAATTGTATAGTGGTGAAGTCTGCGATTTTAGTGCACCCATCATCTGTGTATATTGTACCCAATATGTAGCTTTTTTTTATCCCTCATCTCTCTCCTCCCCTCCCCTCTTCTGAGTCACCAAAGTTCGCTAAATGACTCTGTATGCTTTTGTGTACCCATAGTTTAGCTCCCACTTATAAGTGAGAACATACGGTATTTGGTTTTCCATTCCTGAGTTACTTCACGTAGAATAATGGCCTCCAGCTCCATCCAAATTGCTGTGAAAGATATTTCATTCTGTTTTATGTCTGAGTAGTATTCCATAGTGTATATAGACCACATTTTCTTTATCCATTCATCAGTTGATGGGCACTTAGGTTGGTTCTGTATCTTTGCAATTGTGAATGGTGCTGTGATGTGTGCACGTGTCTTTTTGATAGAATTACCTCTTTTCCTTTTAGTAGTTGCCCAGTAGTGAGATTGCTGGATGGAATGGTATCTTTACTTTCAGTTCTTTAAGGAATCTTCATGCTGTTTTCCATAGAGGTTGTACTAATTTACATTCCCACCAGCAGTGTATAAGTAAGTGTTCTCTTTTTACCACATCCATGCCAACATCTATTGTATTTTACCTTTTTAGTAATGGCCATTCTGGCTGGGGTAAGGTGGTATCTTGTTGTGGTTTTAATTTGCATTTCCCTGATGATCAGTGATGTTGAACATTGTTTTGTATATTTGTTGGCCATTTGTATATCTTCTTTTGAGAAATGTCTATTCATGTCATTTGCCCACTTTTTGATGGGATTATTTGGTTTGTTTTCTTGCTAATTTATTTGAGTTACTTGTAGATTGTGGGTATTAGTTCTTTGTAGGATGCATAGTTTGCAAATATTTTCTCCTACTCTGTGGGTCATCTGTTTACTCTGATGGTGATTTGCTGTGCAGAAGCTTTTTAGTTTAATTAGGTTCTATTTATTTATTTTTGTTTTTCTTGCATTTGCTTTTGGGGTCTTAGTCATAAATTCTTTACCTAGACCAATGTCCAGAAGTTTTTCCTAGGTTGTCTACTGTAATTGGTTTCAGCTCTTAGATGTAAGTCTTTGATCCATCTTGAGTTGATTTTTGTATATGGTGAGAGATAGGGATCCAGTTTCATTCTTATACATGTGGCTATCCAGTTTTTTCAGCACCATTTGTTGAATATGGTGTCCTTTCTCCAATTTATGTTTTTGTATACTTTGTCAAAGATCAATTGTGGTTGTAAGTATTTGGTTTTATTACTGTGTTCTCTGTTCTGTTACATTGGTCTATGTATCTACTTTTATACCTATACCGTGCTGTTTTGGTAACTATAACCTTGTAGTATAATTTGAAGTTAGGTAATGTGATGCCTTCATGTTTGTTCTTTTTGCTTAGGATTGTTTTGGCTATTCAGGTTCTTTTTGGTTCCATATGAATTTTTTTTTCTAATTCTGTGAAAAATGATGTTAGTATTTTGATAGAAGTTGCATTGAATCTCTAGATTGCTTTGGGTAGTATGGCCATTTTCATGAAATTGATTCTTCCAATTCATGAGGATGGGATATTTTTTCCATTTGTTTGTATTATCTTTGATTTCCTTCAGCAGTGTTTTGTCGTTCTTGAAGAGATTTTTCACCTCCTTGTTAAGTATATTTCTAGGTAATTTATTTTATTTTTGCTGTTATTATAAAAGGGATTGAGTTCTTGATTTGATTCTGAATTTGATTGTTGTTGGTGTATGGCAGTACTACTGATTTGTGTACATTGATTTTGTAACCTGAGACTTCACTGAGTTCATTTATCAAATCTAGGAGTCTTTTGGAGGAGTCTTTAGGGTTTTCTAGGTATATAATCATACCACTGGCAAACAGAGATAGTGTAATTTACTCTTTTCCAATTTGGATACCCTTTATTTTTCTCTCTTGCCTGATTGCTCTGACTAGGGCTCCTGGTGCTATGTTGAATAGAAGTAGTGAAAGTGGGCATCCTTGTCTTGTTCCAGTTCTGAAGGGCAATGGTTTCAACTTTTCCCCTTCAGTATGATGTTGGCTGTGAGTCTGTCATACATGGCTTTTATTATTTTGAACTATATTCCTTCTATCCCTAGTTTGTTGAGAATTTTTATCATAAAGGGATGCTGGATTTTATCGAATGCTTTTTCTGCATCTATTAAGATGATCAATAGATTTTTGTGTTTTTAAAAAATTCTGTTTATATGATGTTTCACATTTATTGACTTGCATTTGTTAAATCATCCCTACATCCTGGATGAAACCCACTTGATCATGGTGAATTATCTTTTTGATGTGCTGTTGGATTCAGTTTGCTAGTATTTTGTTGAGGATTTTTACATCTTTGTTGATTCAAGGGTATTGTTCTGTAGTTTTCTTTGTCTTTTTTTTTTCTGTTATATCCTTTCCTGGTTTTGGTATCAGGGTGATATTGGTGTCATAGAATAAGTTATAGAGGATGCCCTCTTTCTCAACCTTTTGGAATAGTTTCAGCAGATTGGTACCAATTTTTCTTTGAATGTCTGGTACAATTCAGCTGTGAATCTATCTGGCCTTCGGCTTTTTTTTTTTTTTTTTGGTCTGTTCAGGATTTCTATTTCTTCCTGATTCAAGCTAGGAAGATTGTATGTTTCCAGGAATTTGTCCATTTCCTGTAGATTTTCTAGTTTGTTTGCATGGAGGTGTTCATAGCAGTCTTGAATGATCTTTTGTATTTCTTTTGGTTATAATGTCTCAATTTTCATCTCTCTCTCTCTCTTTTTTTTTTTTTTGACAGAGTCTCGCTTTATCACCAGGCTGAAGTGCAGTGGTGCGATCATGGCTCACTGCAACCTCCACCTCCCTGGTTCAAGCGATTCTCCTGCCTCAGCCTTCCGAGTAGCTGGGATTACAGGCATGCGCCACTATGCCTGGCTAATTTTTTTGTATTTTTAGTAGACGTGGGGTTTCACCATGTTGGCCAGAATGGTCTCGATCTCCTGACCTCGTGATCCGTCTGCCTCAGCCTCCCAAATGCTGGGATTACAGGCCTGAGCCACTGTGCCCGGCCTCCATTTTCATTTCTAATTGAGCTTACTTGAATCTTTTCCTGGTTAATCTAGCTAATCATCTATCGATTTTGTTTATCTTTTCAAAAAACCAAGCTTTCGTTTCCTTGATGTATTTTTTGTTTGTTTGTTTCAGTTTCATTTAGTTCTGCTCTAATGAAAAGGTCTTTGTTATTTCTTTCATTCTGCTAGCTTTGGGTTTGGTTTGTTCTTGTTTCTCTAGCTCCTTGAGGTATGATGTTAGATTGTAAGTTTGTGATCTTTCATACTTTTTGATGTAGGCATTTAGTGCTATAAACTTAACTCATAGCACTGCTCTTGCTGTATCCCAGAGGTTTTGATGATGTGTATCACTATTATTCATTTTGAAATATTTCTTAATATCCATCTTGATTTCATTGTTCACCTAAAAGTCATACAGGAGTAGGTTAATTTCTATGTATTTGTATAGTTTTGGGAATTCCTTTTGGAGATGATTTCTAGTTTTATTCCACTGTGGTCTGAGAAGATACTTGGTATGATTTTGATTTTTTAAAATTTATCAAGGCTTGTTTTGTGGCCTATCATATGATGTGTCTTGGAGAATGGTCCATGTTCTGATGAGAAGAACGTATATTTTGCAGTTCTTGGGTGGGATATTCTGTGACTATATTAGGTCCATTTGTTCTAGAGTATAGTTTAAGGTTGATGTTTCTTAGTTGACTTTCTTCCTTGATGATCTGTGTGGTGCTGTTAGAGGAGTATTGAAGTCTGCACTATTATTGTGTTGCTATTTCTTTTCTTAGGTCGTGTAGTAATTGTTTTATGAATCTGGAGTTCAAGACTTAGGTGCATGTATATCTAGGATTGTAATATCATCTTGTTCGATTGATCCTTTTATTATTATATAATGGCATTTTTTGTCTTTTTTTACTGTTGTTGTTTTAAAGTCTGTTTTATCTGATGTAGGCATAGCTTTTCCTGCTCACTTTTGGTTCTCATTTACATGGAATATCTTTTTCCACCACTTTACCTGGAGTCTATAAGAATCCTTTCATGTTAGGTGATTCTCTTGAAGACAGCAGATATTCGATTTGTAACTTTTTATCCATTCTGCCAAAGTATATCTTTTAAATGGAGTATTTAATCTCAAGATGCAAGGTACTGTTCAGTTATGTTGATTGTTACATAGGTACTTAGTTTTCTTCATTGTATTATTGTTGATAAGTCCTATAAGTTTTATGCTTTCTAGAGGTTCTATTCTGGTGCATATCAACCTTTTGATTCAAGATTAATAACTCCTTTTAGTATTTCTTGTAGGGTTGGTCTGGTAGTGACACATTCCCTCAGCATTTGCTTCTCTGAAAAAGACTCCTTCATTTGTAACACTTAGTCTTGCTGGATAAAAAATGATTGGCTGACAGTTATTCTGTTTGAAGAGGCTAAAGATAGGACTCCAATCCCTTCTGGCTTGTAAGGTTTCTGCGGAGAAGTCTGCTGTTAGTCTGGTATGTTTTCCCCTGTAGGTTACCTGATACTTTTGTCTCACTACTCTTAGAATTCTTTCCTTCATGTTTACTTTAGATAGCCTGATGACTGTATGCCTTGATGGTGTCCTTTTTGCAGTGAATCTCCCAGGAATTATTTATGCTTCTTGCATTTGGTTACCTAAATCTCCAGCAAGGCCAGGGAAATTTTTCTCACCTATTTTCTCAAATAAGTTTCCCAAATTTTTTGCTTTCTCTTCTCCTTCAGTAACACCATTGATTCTAAGGCTTGACTGTTTTACATAATCTCATATTTCTTGGAGACTTTGTTCATTTCTTTTAATTCTTCTTTATTTTTGTCTGGGTTAATTTGAAAGGCTTATCTTCAAGCTCTGAAATTCTTTTTTCTACTTGTTCTAGTCTAGCGTTAAAACTTTCTACTATATTTTGCAATTTCCTAAGTGTATCTTTAATTTCCAGAAGTTCGGATTGGTTTTTCTTCAGAATATCTGTCTCTTTAGAAAATTTTTTGTTCATACTGTGAATTGTTTTTTCAATTTCTTTATGCTGATTTTTACCTCTGTCTTGTATTTCCTTGAACAGCTTTAATAGTCCACCTTTTGAATTCTTTATCTGGTATTTCAAAGATTTCATCTTGGTTTGGATCCATTGCAGAAGAGCTAGTGTGATCTTTTGGGGTTGTTATAGAACCCCGTTTTGTCATATTGCCAGAATTATTATTATTATTTTTTGAGATGGAGTTTTGTTCTTGTCACCCAGGCTGGAGTGCAATGGCACGATCTTGGCTCACTGCAACCTCTGCCTCCTGGGTTCAAGGGATTCTGCTGCCTCAGCCTTGCGAGTAGCTGGGCTTACGGTGCCCACCACCATGCCCAGCTAATTTTTGTATTTTTAATAGAGATGGGGTTTCACCATGTTGGCCAGGCTGATCTCGAACTTCCTACCTCAGGTGATCTGTCTGCCTCAGCCTCCCAAAGTGCTGGGATTATAGGCATGAGCCACCGTATCTGGCTGCCAGAATTATTTTTCTAGTTCCCTCTAATTTGGGTAGGCTATTCTAATTATTCTTGAATTTATTTTTGATTTGACTTAAAAATTTTTTTTCTCCCTTGAGGATGTGACTTTATCGTTTATTGTAGGCTAATTCAGCTCTTGGTGCTTTCAGGGATGAAGACTGTGTATGACTTCCTTGGTTATAGAGAGTCTTTGTATGACAGCTTTCTTAGATGCTGGTTGTAGTAGCATAGTGCTTGGTTTGTGAGCAGGTTCATTGTCTCCTGTGGGATTGGAATTGCGAGGTCTCTTAAAGCTTATCTCATTGCACTTTTTAATTAATTAATTTTTTTCTGCAGTATTTTATTTACTGAGTTGAACAGCTTAGGCTTCAGGCCAGTAGGAGAGATGTCCATGGGTAAAAATCAGTTGTGGCTAAAGCAGGTTGGTAAATGCAATACTCAGTGGTGGGCAGAGGTCCCAGCCTTGATAGAAGCAGCTGGGGCAGCTCTCAGTGAAATGCACTGAGGTCTTTTCAAGGGAAAGGGAAGAAGCCACCTCAGCTTCCCTGCTAGGCCAGCAGGAAAGTGATCCACCTTCCAATTACACTCCTGACCCAGAGTTCCAGCTATTCTGATCAGGCACCTCTTTTCATCTGCAGGAATGTTGATGTTCAACATAGAAAGGGATTGTGACTGTACCCCTCATCCAAGCTTGAACCTAGGGGACATGCATTCTCTGTGGATGCAGTTACCCTGAAGTATTCCAGAAAGGCTGTCTACAGGTGCATCCATGCTGAGCTCCCATGGGGGAAGCCTCAGCTATGTCGATAGTGGATGAAGAGGAGAAGAAATCACCTTCTCCAAGACCCTTCATGGGCACCAGGGCTGACTGGCTGTTGGGGTAGAGCCACAGACGTTTTCTGCTGAGCCAAGCATTGCAACTGTGCCTCTGCTAAAAGAAACTTCCCAGAAATGGGAAGTTCTGGGACTTAAGGCCTGCCATCTTGTGTTTTTTGTTTCATGGAGTGCTCCCTTGATGTCATGTACTTCTTCTTCCCTTAGGAGTAGAAATCCCTGAAGTCCAGACTACTGTGAATGCAACTCTTATCTGGGTCTAGCTGCCTAGTGGGGCTGCCACACTCCAGGGTGGTGCTGGGGGATGTCTCCAAGGAATCCAGTGATGTGACCTGTCCTCAAGTATCCCAGCAGTGGGTACCAGCACCAGTTCTGATGGGGATGGCAGGGGAGTGCTGTGAGATTCCTTGGTCATGAAAAGCCTTAGTGTGTTGGTTTTCTCAAGTACTGGTTGTAGTAGTAGATGAACTGGTCACATGGACAGACTCAGGATCTCTTGGTTAGCCAGGGTGTTGCAGGCAATAGTGATTGCTGAGGTCACACATGACTTTTCTCCTTCCTGCATGTTGTCTTCTTCTGCCTGAAGATGCTAATCTCCTATGTCAGTTGGCCTCCAACCAGAAGGTGGTGCTTGCAAAAGAGTACCAGCTGTGGTGGTGGTAGGATTTATGCTTTGCCTTATGTACCCAGGGGAAGTACTCTGGTGTCTCAGGCAATTGGTGGGGCTATAGAGCTCCGAAAAGTTTCTGTTCTTTTTATTAAGCTACCAGGGTAGGATTGAGGGGCAAAGCCAGGTGAGGGCTGGGTCAGGCAAGTCTGTGCTCTAGCTCTCCATATGTGGGCAAAAGTAGAGGTCCCAGTGGGGATCAGAAGGCAGTTTTCTGACTGCTGGGGTATATTGAAGGAAAAAGCACAGCTGCTTCTGCTGCACCAAAGAGTCTGCATGGAGAATGGGGAGTAGCAGGTAGCAGCAAGCCCTACGCAGCTTTCATGCACTTGGCAAGGCAAATCTCATAGCCACAGTGTACCACTAGCAGCAGCTAGCTGGGTTTCAGACAGTTGACACTCAGAACTCAAAACTGCCCCAGGCCATTAGCCTTTGCATGGCCTTCAGGCCACATTTCTCTTGGTCTCCCTACACAGCAGGGGCACCCCTGTGCTCTCTTATGGCTGCAGCACACTTCCCACTTGCCCCTCAGTTCTGGCCAAGGGAGCTTGTTCCCACTCATATCGTGAATCTCAGTTGAGCTTCTCTCAACCTGTGATTGCTGTCTGAGTTAGCTGGCTGACTTCCACAAGGTCCCCTGTGAGGTAGGATCAGCAGTGGCTTCCCTCTGTCCTTGCTGGAGACTGGGAGTGCACTGAAAGCATGTCCAGTGCTACTCCTTCTCATATACTCCCCACGGCTCACTGAATCAGCTTTAGTGCTGGGTAGGGTTGAGGGCTTCCCTTGTGGCCTGGATTGCCAGGTTCCCCAGTAGGAGTGCATATCCTAGAGGTAGTTTATCCTCCTCTCACACTCTAGGGACTTAGAGTTTTCCATCTGCCTCGTAGTAAGTTTCTGGGTTTTTTCCTGAAAAAAAAATTCACAGTGTGAATCTCTCCACACTATTTTGTCTTTCCAAGTGGTAGAGGCATGCTCACAGTGCCTCCAATCCACTCTCTTGGGGATTAAAAAAAAAAAAACAGGTGTTATTGGGTACCTTTGGGGTGAGAGTTAGTGTACAATTTAGGGACACTATTCTTGGAACCAGACAGACCTTGGTCAGACTCCTGGCTCAGTCATTTTCTGGTTGTATGGACCACAGCAAATTTAAAACTTTAAATCTCGGTTTTCTCATCTGTAAAACTAAAATAATGGTGGTCACACATACCCATAAGATTATTTTGAGACTTAAATAAGATAATGCATACAAAGCATTTAGCACAAAGTTTGACTCAGTAGGTGCTATTTGGTGTTCATGCCATTATTAGCTTTGTATTAAAGAGGTATATATTGTCCTATCTTCTAGGAGCTTACAGTCCAGTAGGGCCATAAGATACATATTGAGGAAAGAAAGGGGGATGTCAGCCTGCTGTGATGTGTTGGGAGAGACTTTCTTGAGGAGTTGGGATTGGGGCCACTGTGTTGTACAATGCCAGGGAACACCATTTACATCATCTTTGAGAATGGGTCCCTCTGGAGTAGTACAGTTGCACTGCTTGGAATTTTGAATGTGACCATGAAGGATGTGTAGAATTTGGATAGATGGAAGAAGGAGGGGTTTGGGTTTGGTAGGAAAAAACAAGATTCTTTCAGAGGATGGTGAGACCTCTCAGCTGGCCAGAGAGCTTTTTGCATTGAGCAGAGGTAGTCAGGCTGTGTGTCTTGAGGTGGCTCCAGGGCTTTGCTTCTTTCTGATCACTAAAAGGTGGATGGAATGAACCTTCTGGTGAAATGGGTACAGGTCAGGGTGAAATGCCTTTGATCTCTTCACATTGCCTTCCTTGAGTCTCCTCAGGGGCCGGGATTGCTATATTTCCAAAAGGGCACTTTTCTGTGAATAGCCTTTTAGCCTGGTTAAGTAAACCAAAAGGCTCACTTGCTTTTTCTGCCATTTCTTTTTCTTTAACATTACTTGTAACTCATTTTGTTAAATACCACATTTACTCAATATGTGAAGTGATCAAGATGTTGTATGTGTGACCCTGTACCCTGGTTCTACTTTGTATAGCCTTACATTTCTTTTGAACTTCTTTATGCACTTTTTTTCTTTCCTTTTCTTACCTCCATGGAATTTATTCTGCTCTTTAAGGACTCTCAAAGGCATAGTAGATCATGGCATAAATTAGGTGGCAAGAAAGGATTTTCTTTATCATTAGGCTTCTATTCTTCTAAAGCTGTGTCTTTGGGAGATTTTAATTGTGAGGATGTAAATAAAGCCATATGGACCAAAAGTGAATAGCATATTTAATTATCTTGTAAATAACTTTAGCTTAGTAAATCTCCGACGTTATTTTAAAAACACAGTATTTTATTGGGTATTTAGTATTATATGATACTCTAAAGCAGAAGTCACCAAACTTTTACTCTAAAGGGCCAGATAGCAAATATTTTAGGCTTGCAGGCCGATTCTCTGTTGTAGATACTCAGTTCTGCCATGGTAGTGTGAAAGCAGCCATAGAAAGTATACAAACTGATGGAGGTGGTTATTTTGCATTAAAACTTTATTTAAAGCAATAGACAGTGGGTCAGATTTGGCTCTCTGGAGTGGTTTGCTGACCCTTGCCGTCAAGGAAATAGAAAGAGATTTTGTTGGGTTGGGAAGGTAAATGGAAAATTACAGGAATTACAAAATTTCCAGATAATGAACTCTACAAAAAACTAAAAAAAACTTATACCTCCTATTGTTTGAATTAGATTTCATGTTTGATATGAATTTGTAAATAAATCCCAAATATCTTTATTGATAGTTCTTCCTTTTTAAAATCTAAGGACTTGGTTCACAACAGGCCTGTCTTTATTAATCAACCATTTATTGTTTTCTTTGCACCAGGCACTGTGTAGGTCATTGGAAATTTACAAATAACTTAGACACGCATTTTTCCTTTAAGGAGCCACAGTCTAGACTGTGTACTCTTTTTTGCCAGATGTGGACTCATGCCTTGGACCACATGAAATATTTGCTCTAAAGTAGCAAGAAACCTGCATTGGAAAAGGGACTTTTTGAGGGTACACCTATCTTTTTTTCTCTTTCTACTATATGTGTGTTAGGACTGCTATATTTTCGTTTCTCTTTATTGTTGTATTGTTAGAGAAAGTCTGCTAGAATTTATAAATGGTGAGAATATTTTGATAACTTAGTTGCCAAAATTCCTAGTCTTGATTCCAGAGGTTGTGTTTTCCTGCCCTTTAAAATTTTCACTTAGTCACCTTAATTCAGTTTTTGAATTTCTTTGAGTTCTGCCTATCAAATTATAAACAAGCACCACCAAATTGCAGAAGGTTATCTCTTAATAGTATTGAAATAGGCAGTTATAAAAAATTGTGTCACCTAAGTCTAACAGCTCTTCTAGAATGTTTTCCTTTAGACCTAAGCCATTCTGGCCCTTGCACATTGGGTGGGTCTGTGATCTGTTTCTACTCACAACACTTCTGACACAAATGGCTGGATTTTTTCCACACCAACAACCAATTCTTCGACTCTGACACTACCCAGAGTTAGCACAGACCCCACAGATTATGGGCTTAGACCCACAAGACTCTTCTCCACTTTAGATGCCAGTTGTAAGTCCAGGTCTCCTATACTTCTGACCAAGAGATGATAAATCTTGAGTTTCTATGAGCCCCACTCTTTGGGTTCAGTAATTCTCTATAAAGGCTCACAGAACTCACGAAGTCACTTTACTTCCTATTACTGGTTTGTTATAGAAGTTACAACCCAGGAACAGCCAAATGGAAGACATGCACAGGACAAGGTATAGAGGAAGGGCATTGCCCTCTCTAGATGCCCACCCTCCTAGCACCTTTGTGTGTTCACCAATCCAGAAGCTCTTTGAACTCTTTAACTTAGAGGTTTTATGGCGTTTCCATTACATAGTCATGGTTGACTACATCACTGGTCATTGGTGATTAGTTCAATCTCCATCCCTTCTTCCCTCCCCAGAAATGGGGCAGGGGCTGAAAGTTCATTCCTCAAATTTCGTGGTTGGTTCCCCTGGCAACCACCAGCCCTCATCCTGAAGCTCTCTAGGGGCCCACCAAGAGTCATCACATTTGCCTAAACTCAAGTATGATTGAAAATGGGCTATAATAATGAACAAGAGACACTCTTCTCATTCCTATTGCCCAGGAGATTCCAAAGGTTTTAGAAACTCTGTGCTAGGAACTGGGAATGAAGAACTTATTTTTATTTTTTTAAGACAGAGTCTCACTCTGTCACCCAGGCTGGAGTGCAGTGGCTCAATCTCAGCTCATTGCAACCTCCGCCTTTCTGGTTAAAGCGATTCTCATGCCTCAGTCTCCTGAGTAGCTGGGATTACAGGTGTACGTCACCACGTCTGGCTAATTTTTGTATTTTTAGTAGAGATGGGGTTTCATCATGTTGGCCAGGCTGGTCTTAAACTCCTGACTCCAGTTGTGTCCGGAGTTGGTTCCTTCCAGTGGGTTCTTGGTCTCACTGACTTCAAGAATGAAGCCGCGGACCTTTGCGGTGAGTGTTACAGCTCTTAAAGGTGGCACGGAGCCAAAGAGTGAGCAGCAGCAAGATTTATTGTGAAGAGCGAAAGAACAAAGCTTCCACAGTGTGGAAGGGGACCCGAGTGGGTTGCTGCTGTTGGCTGGGGGTGGCCAGCTTTTATTCCCTTATTTGTCCCCGCCTATGTCCTGCTGATTGGTACATTTTACAGAGTGCTGATTGGTGCATTTACAATCCTTTAGACACAGAGTGCTGATTGGTGCGTTTTTACAGAGTGCTGATTGGTGCATTTACAATCCTTTGGCAAGACACAGGGCGCTCATTGGTGCATTTTTACAGAGTGCTGATTGATGCATTTACAATCCTTTAGCTAGACACAGGGCGCTGATTGGTGCGTTTACAATTCTCTACCTAGACAGAAAAGTTCTCCAAGTCCCCACTCGACCCAGGAAGTTCAGCTGGCTTCACCTCTCACAAGTGATCTGCCTGCCTGGGCCTCCCAAAGTGCTGGGATTACAGGCATGAGCCACAATGCCTGGCCTTATATTTCTTATTATATCATAAAATCACAGTGGAGTTGGATGGGGGTGAGGGAGGGCAGTCTGTGAAAGAGAGAGGTTCTGAAGTCCAAATGAGGGCAGAATGTGGACTTCTCTGGCCCTGAGGAGTGGGTTGGGTTGAGTACTATGGGGTGATTTGATTGGACAGGTTCTGATGAGTCTGGTAGTGGGTACCTCAGGAGCCATGAGGACATTTAAATGTCACAGTGTCACAGAAAACATAGAAGATTGTTCCCTAACTTGGGTAGTGGCATGAGAAAGTGGGTCTGTTGTTGGGAATAAGGTAGGCTCGGATGGTGGTTTTTGAGGGTGCCAAGAAATGTCTTTATAAGGTTTCAAATGTACATAGATGTAGAAGGAAGAATGGTGCCATTCTAAAGTTTTTTTGAAGTGAAAAACAAAAATAATATATTTTAAAGATACAAATAATTTCCATAAACATATAACAATCCATAGAGAAGAGGGTAATGTCCTTCTGGTGACATTAATTGAAATACTTTATGCCAGATTGGACAAAATCTATGTTTAAATTACTGGTATTAGTATTTTGGTATTTTCCCTTTAGTAAGATAATCTTGATAACCTTGATTTGCTTTTTGTGTCCTGATTACCTTGACATTAATATCTTGAAATAGAAAAACTGTGGTTCTTGCTTTGGTAGTACATATACTAAAACTAGAACAATAAAGACATTAACATGGCCCCTGTCGAAGGATGACATGCAAATTTGTGAAATGTTTCATATTTTTTAAAACAAAATTATGGCTTGTATATTTTTAAAACTTTGTATTATGCAAAACTTCTTGAGAACAAATAATTATGGGAACTTTTAAATACATGCAAAAATAGAATAGGATAATAAACTTCCCATCTACATTTTATTTATTTATTTATTTAATTTTTGAGGTGGAGTCTCGCTCTGTCGCCCAGGCTAGAGTGCAGTGGTGTGATCTTGGCTCACTGCAACCTCCACCTCCTGGGTTCAAGCAATTCTCCCTGCCTCAGCCTCCTGAGTAGCTGGGATTACAGGCATTTGCCACCATCCCCGGGTAATTTTTGTATTTTTAGTAGACATGGGGTTTCACATGTTTGCCAGGCAGGTCTCGAACTCCTGACCTCAAGCGCTCCGCCCACCTTGGCCTCCTAAAGTGCTGGGATTACAGGCGTGAGCCACCGCGCCCGGCTGGTTTTTAAGACATGAAATTTCAGAATGTTTGTTTTCAAGAAAGAAAGCCCAATTGCCTCAATGCTTTATTTGAGGACAGAGCCTGAGGCACAGGAGAATAGCACGGTGGGACATTACTGGCACCATTGCCAACACAGCTCACACGCAGCAACAGCACGTTTTGTTGGTTTTGCCAGCGTTGATGCTCAGATCCCTCTGTGGCCACCAATAGCCAGCACCTGTGTCAAAGGTGGCTGCCTCAATTAAGACACAAACCAAAAATTCTAATTATATAGTAGTTTCTGTAGTATCAGCCACGTGTACAATAGGTACTCAGGTGTCATTTGCTTTTTCTTCTACCACAAGAGTGGCCTTGGACTCGTGTGTCCGTTGGGTGATGGTTGAGGTTGCTCTGAGCCAGTCCCCTCCCCTGGTCCACTCAGTGGAAGCTGTGTATGCCCACATGGCACTGTATGGACACCAGTTTGTGTTTTTTTAACAAACATTGCTATTTTTAGATTTGCTTTCAGAATGCGACCTATGGGGCAGAGGACCCAGAAATATATAGCTTCTACCTCATTGCCTCGTTCTCAGGGATATCCAAGCCTCACTGCCTTGAGAAATTAAGAGACAGTTCCAGCAGGTACTGTCTTACTTGATGACTATAAATTCTATAATCATTGCTAATAATAGAGTGTTTTGTTCAAGCCGCTTAAATTTGTTTATTTTTTCCTCTCGGCAAGCCTAACATCATCATCCTCAAAAGCATGGTTGCCTGTGAATTTCCTTTTGGATAGATGTAACACTATTTAATTTCGCCCATCCATTCATCTATCCAAGCATCCAGCAAACATTTATCGAGTACCTATTATGTGCTGAGTACTCTTTTAGATGCTGGAGGGACAATGATTAATAAGATAATCTTTCTTTACAGAGTTCACATTCGGTGAGAGAGGAAAGTTGGACATTAAAACAGATAGTAATGTGGTGAGCTAAGTGCAGCTATAAAGTTATGTACAACTTATCAGGAGAACCGTTATCTAAGGCATCCAGTTCACAGAAGGGAGGAGGGAACACCATGTAGGCAAGGGGAATTTCACTATTATTGCCATATATCCAAGGCCAAGAGTGGTGAGAGAATGGGCTGGAGATGTAACAAAGGTGCTCTGTGACAGAGTTTGAACTTCAGTTTGCTGGTGAGGTGTGGGGAAGTCTATGAACGGGATTCGAACAGTTGAGTGGCATGATTATATTTGTGTTCTAGAAGAATCCCTCTGGTGGCTCTGTGCAATGTGGTTTTCAGGGAGTGAGGACTGGAGACAGAGTAGATAAGTGAGAATGCTGAGGGGCCTAATGATTCGTTCATGCATTTCATTTAGTAAACATTTATTGAGCACTTACTATGGACCATGCCCTGTTATAGTCATTTGGAATTTATTTTCACATAGATAAACAGAAGAGATAAATAGTAGTAGCTTTTTTGGGATAAATAGATACCAAATAAATCACAGTGTTCGCTTTGATCATGACAAACTTTTGAATACATGTTTTCTAGAGTTATATATTGATTTGGTGGTATTTTTATTTTGGATTTGGATCAGTCAGCACTAACATAAAAAATGGCCTCTTTCATGGTGCAAATTAGTAAGGCTTCACTTTCAGCTCTTGAATTTTTCCAAGACTCATTATTCCAGTCTGTAGATTATTCTGAGCCTTAGACTCTCATTTTCTGCTCATTAGCACCTCAAAGAATGGAGAGGAAGGAAGAGAGAGAAACTTCAGTCTGACTTGCTACTTGTTAGAAGATTTGGTAAAGAAGGTGATGAAATTAATATTTAGTTTTCAAAATCAGGTTACAGATTGTTTTTGGGCTTGTTCTTGCCTGCAGTTCTTGCTTTCTCTCAACCATAGCTAACTTGCTGTCTGGATACATCCGAGTGTATTTGCCTCATGCACAATGAAGGGTAGGATTAACCTTGGAAATTTGCTGTGGGCAAATAGCCCAAGAATTAATACATTTAATAATACATTTAATTATTTTACCAATCACACTGGTTATTTGCAGTGTCAAAGCAGTTACCTTGGTATGATATAAGGACATGGAATTA
This sequence comes from Homo sapiens, assembly GCF_000001405.40. NCBI lineage: Eukaryota > Metazoa > Chordata > Mammalia > Primates > Hominidae > Homo > Homo sapiens. The sequence continues at coordinate 25,386,227 of NC_000006.12, forward strand.
ATTTTGTTGTTTATAATCTTTGTGTGTGTGTGGGGTGGGTGGTGAGGACGGAATCTTGCTCTGTCGCCCAGGCTGGAGTGCAGAGGCTCAATCTTGGCTCACTGCAACCTCCACCTCACAGATTCAAGTGATCCTCCTGCCTCAGCCTTCCAGGTAGCTGGGATTACAGGTGTCTGCCACCACACCTGGCTAACTTTTTGTGTTTTTAGTAGAGATGGGGTTTCACCATGTTGGTGAAACTGCTGACCTCAAGTGATCCACCTACCTCAGCCTCCCAAAGTGCTGGGATTACAGGCCTGAGCCACCATGCCTGGCTTGTTGTTTGTAATCTGATATCTTGCTACTTGAACTTTGTTAGTATGGTTTAGGAGTAGGAACTTTAAAATGAAAACGAACACCGCCCAGGACGTTGAAGAAATAACTGTACCCACTTCATAGGGTTGTCAGGAGGGTTAAATGAGTTAATATAAGCAAAGACTAAGGTCCAGCACATAGTAAATGTCATATAAACACTGGTCATTTTTATTGATTTTACTTTGAAAGTCAATTAGAATTTGCATGAAAGTAACAAGCAATAGGTGAAAATCATGATAGTACTAGATAATACAAGACATCATGAGGCCGGCTGTGGTGGCTCATGCCTGTAATCCTAGCACTTTGGGAGGCTGAGGTGGGCGTATCACCTGAGGTCAGGAGTTCAAGACCAGCCTGGCCAACAACATGGTGAAACCCCATCTCCACAAAAATACAAAAATTAGCCAGGCATGATGGCCGGTGCCTGTAATCTCAGCTACTTAGGAGCCTGAGGCGGGAGAATCGTTTGAACCTGCGAGGCCGAGATCGCACCATTGCACTCCAGCCTGGGTGACAGAGTGAGACTCTGTCTCCAAAAAAAAAAAAAAAAAAATCACAACAGACTAGATAACACTCTATGATGTCACCTTTTACTTCACTAAGAACACATTTAATGTACAGACTATATGCATTTTTAAATGCTCTGGTTCAAGGAAAGTTAAAAGTGTTTATAGTTATAGGTCTACATTTGAGAAATACTTGTTATGAACTGAGGAACAGGCAAATCCAGCATTTGGGCCACAACTTTTCTTTGATAGTTCCCCAGATAATAGGCTGAAGAGCATATGCAGAGATATAAAAGTCAATGAATAAGTGAATAGCTGAATCTGTTGAACACTATGCTCACAGTTTCTAGTTCAAGACAAATGAAACATTAACATAAGTTGTTCTGAATTTTCTAAGTGAAGAATTCTACCCTTCTTTAAGTTAAAAGATTTATAACCTTTTCAATAGCAGTATATATTCTGCAATTCAGCAGCTTTTCTTTCTGTGATTTTGAAGACCATCTTTTGAAGATGCAGAATTTAGAATTCCTACTTGGGGGCATTTCTTCAATTCAGTGAGCCATTCATGAGATTCAACCAATGGAAACATTAAACACAATGAGTGTGAGGAACTGAAAGTGCTTTGTTTTTTGGTTGCAGTGACTTCTAATTGAAGCAAACCAGCTATACATGTGGATGGTCATGACTTTATAATTACAATTAAAATATTTTCAGTAGAAGACTGAGGCCTCAGGGAAAGCATCGTATGAAATAGAGAATAATCACCAGATGCAACTATGGGCCCCTTTTCCGAGTGGGTAATGATTTCTTTGCCTCTAGCTGTGAGTTGGCAAATGGACTCTGTCATTTTGGGTATCTGTTGGAAGAAAGAAAAGGAAGGAACAGAACGATGAGAGAAACAGTTCATAAGAAAAAAAGAGAAAAAGATCTTGAGCAGATAGGCAAGTAGAAGTAAAAATCCTCACTGTTTGAGGCCTCCAGACCTTGTTGAACCATGTTACTATTGTAGCATTACACCTGCAATGTGTCTGCAGGTGTTCTGGATGTTTTGAAACTCATTTGATGTAGAAGCGTTTCTTGATGTCAAGTTATGTTGGATTTGGCATCATTATTCTCTCTACAACAGTAGAGTAAAGGCTGGAGAGTATTGAAAGGCTAATTTTTTTTGGTGATGTCTGCCTTAGTTAAAATAGCTACTATTAGGTGATAGAAATGAAGGTATTTAGCACACACAACAGTTTTATTATGTTTTGTCTTTTAGATGTGGATTTCTCTACTTTTTTTGTTTTGTTTTGTTTGAGATGAAGTCTCGCTCTGTCGCCCAGGCTGGAGTGCAGTGGAGCGATCTCAGCTCACTGCAACCTCCGCCTCCCGGGTTCAAGCAATTCTGCCTCAGCCTCCTGAGTAGCTGGGATTACAGGCAGGCGCCACCATGCCTGGCTAATTTTTCTGTATTTTTAGTAGAGACGGGGTTTCACCATGTTGGCCAGGCTGGTCTCAAACTCCTGACCTTGTGATCCACCTGCCTTGGCCTCCCAAAGTGCTGGGATTACAGGCATAAGCCACCGCACCTGGCCTTTTTTTATTTTATTTTATTTTAAGAGACAGGGTGTTGCTCTGTCATCTAGGCTGGAGTGCAATGGCATGATCATAGCTCACTGCAGCCTGCAACTCCTGGGCTCAAACAATCCTTTCACCCCAGCCTCTCAAAGTGTAGCAGCTGGGACTATAGGCACAGACCACCACACCCAGCACATTTTTACAATTTTTTTGTAACAAAAAAGGGAGGCTTCTTTTTGTTGCCCAGGCTGGTCTTGAATTCATGGCCTCAAGCGATCTTCCTGTGTCGGCCTCCAAAAGTGCTGAGATTACAGACATGAGCCACCACACCTGGCCTCTACTTAACAGGCACTACCAAGAAAGTAGGAATGACTGCCCTAAGGGGAATTAGCTTTTACTCCTTACTGATGGGGATTTCCTGCCTCCACTACTAGAGAAACCCACATTTCCATGTTTTACGTTCAGTACTCACCAAACATTTCCAAGTGCCTGGCACTGTGCTTGTCTCATCCACAGATGCTCTGCCAGTAGAAAATGGAATGGTTTTAATTGAGAAGACATGAGGAGGACTTCTATTTCTTAATTGGAGTCTATAAGCAAACTTCAAAAGAATCTTTCAGCTTCTCATTGGTTTAAAAATTATGACACTGTCTATTATATGTTTTGCATAACTTTAAATCTTCTTTTAGTCATATTGTATTGTTTTCTTTTTTGAGATTTGGGGGGGTCTTGCTGTGTTGCCCAGGCTGCCCTTGAACTCCTGGACTCAAGCTATCCTCCTGCCTCAGCCTCCCAAGAAGCTGGGGATACAGGCATGTGGCATAGTCAAATTGTTTTGCAAAAGTGTTAGCTGCTTGAGATTTTAGGCAGATTGGAAGGTGTCGATCACTTCTTTTCTCCAAAGTGTAAAATGGAATAATTGCTGGAATTGGATGTCAGTTTGTTTTTATTCTAGACACTATGAAACATGACTAATGATGCCAGGAATACTTGAGTCAGCATGTGAAAAGGAAAAAGCAATGAGTTGTTTCTGCCCAGTGATCAGAGCCAATTAAGCAGGGTAAGGCAAGCTAATGTTGGTGTGGGCCGCAGCAATGAAGATTTTGTCTGTCTTGTTCTGTATGTGTAGGACTCATGATAATTACAAGAGGGCATGCAATATCAGCAGAATACAGTTTAGGAATGAAGAATCAGGAGACACTGAGTTTCCTGCCTAGGAAAATTTTCTGTGTGAGACTAGCCACTGGTGTTGAACTATGTGCTAGGAAGCATTTTACTCTATTGTTATACATTATGAACTAATCATCTGTTTAAGATTTTTCTGGTGGCAATTGCCTAGTTTAAAAAAACAAACAGATTTTAAAACATTGCAAAAGTGAAGTATTGCAAAAATAATAATGCTTTCCTAGATGCACCATGAACTTCTTCCTGAAATTAGTTGTGATTAGGCAGCTCACTGCCCTTTCACATGTGCTATTTTGAGATCTCATTATTTGGTGCTATAATGATTGATTTTGCTAATATATGTTAGTAAATTTGTTGCCAAGTTTCTCTTAAGCCTCTGGAATATGGCTATTATTGACATTACCTGGTAATTTTTTAAAAATAATTTTTTCTAGACATATATAGGTACACATATATATTTACATATATATATATATATATATATATATATTTTTTTTTTTTTTTTTTTGAGACAGGGTCTCAGTCTGTCACCCAGGTTGGAGTACAGCAGCACAGTCTTGGCTCATTGCAACCTCTGCCTCTTGGGCTCAAGTGATCCTCCCACCTCAGCCTCCCAAGTAGCTACAACTACAGGCACATGCCAACAAGCGAGCCTATTTTTATATTTTTTTGTAGAGATGGGGATTTGTCATGTTGCTCAGGCTGGTCTCCAACTTTTGGGCTCAAGCAATCTGCCTGCCTCAGCCTCCCAAAGTGGTGGGATTACAAGCATGAGCCACTGCATCCCGCCTAGATTTTTTATATATGTTTTAAAAACAACCTAGGCAACTCTTTAAAAAGTCACACTTTTTGGCTTTTAAAAAATTTTTATTTTTTTTGCGACAGTCTCGCTCTGTCAGCCCAGGCTGGAGTGCAGAGGTGTGATCTCGGCTCATTGTCACCTCTGCCTCCTGGGTTCAAGTGATTCTCCTGCCTCAGCCTTCCCAGTAGCTGGGATTACAGGCGTGAACACCACCACCTGTAATCAGCCTGGCTAATTTTTGTACTTTTAGTAGAGATGGGGTTTCACCATGTTGGCCAGGCTGGTCTTGAACTGCTGACCTCAAGTGATCCACCTGCCTTGGCCTCCCAAAGTGCTGGAATTACAGGTGTGAGCCACTGTGCCCAGCCACTTTGTGGCTTTTAATATTTGTGTGTTTTCAAGCTTGTGAAAAAACTTTAAAGTTGGTTGCGTGATTTGATTTGAAAGCTAAAATAAACCGAATGGTTTCCTTCATAAGAGATAGTTAACTAATTTAAAGATAGCTATTTGTACTCTACAAGAAATAGTATTTTTCAATAATGTTCACTAATTATTCACAGATATTTCACTAATAATCCACTAATGTCATTATAATAGGGTAGCTGGCTGGGTGGGGGTCATTTCCATAGGACATTTTTCTATACATGTCATCTTTCCAGGGAACGTTGATAATTACACTGCTATACTTGGATGTTGATCCCAACCTGGACAGTCTTAAGGATAAAAGGGCACTGGGCTGTCTATCCTAGGATATGGTGGTGATAATGAATGGGCTAGACAATAGCTGACAGGAGCCCTAAGGACCTTCTGAGATAGAGCCTCAGATTTTTTATCTTTTCCTTCTGTCACAGTTGTCTAGATGGTATCGAGATCTTGCAGAAGATGATGGGTTGAGGTTGGTCTGGAATTTGACTTTCTTCTTCAGGGGCCTTGTCAGCAGTAGTTACTGTTCAATGTGATAGCCACTAGCCACATGTGGCTGTTTGAATTTAATAAATTAATGACAGTGAGATATAATTAAAACAATATTTAAATTACAGATTCCTTAGTTGCACTAACCATATTGCCAGGGCTCAAAAAAACTGCATATGGCTAGTGGTGAACATAGCAATACAAGTTCTGCTGGACACTGACATCTGTAGAGGCATGGTGGATTGTCCAAGGTCACATGGCTAGTCAGTGCAAACCAAGTGTTTGGACTAGTTTAGCAGTTATTCTTTTATGTCACGCAGGCTTTCAGTTTTGGGTATTACAACTTGAACTAAAAAATTGTCCCTGGCATGCCACATTCTTCTTCCAAACTGTGAGAAACTCAATGACAGAGTTAGAAATTAGTTATTACTACATAATTTTAGTTTTACAAATATCTGCAATTCATCTTAGGCTGTTTTTTTGTGTGTATGCATGTGTGTGTATATGCATGTGTGTGTGTGTGTGTGTGTGTGTGTGTGTGTGTGTGTGTGTGTATCACATGTGGTATGGTAAGAGTTTGCCACCTGTGCCATACATACATTGCTAACCTGGTATATATGATACACAAACCGTAGATATATATGGGATCTAGAATTGCAGGTTATTGCAGTTGGACAGGACTTTTGAAGGTATCTAGCTTAACCTTGTATGTATGTATAATACTCCTGACAAAGTTTTTGATAGTGAGAGACCTGCCTTATAAAAGAGTTCACTTCTTTCCACAACTTCAAATTGATCTTGGAATTTTCTTTATATCAAGCAAAAATGTTTCTTCCTATAATTTCTATACATTGTTCCCAGTTGGCTCAGAGGAAAACATTTATTCCCTCTGACATATGCAGCCTTGCCAATATTTGAAGTCTGTTTTCCTGTCATTCTTATGTCTTTTCTCCTATAGGATAAGCAGACCTACTTCCTTCAGCTTTTCCTTATGTGACATGTTTGCAAACTGCTCAGCACCCTGCTTGCTTCTTCCTGGACTGACTCCAGGGGATGGCTCAGATCTGTGTAACTGAACATTTCGCCTTTCATGTGAATGGATGTCATGCTAGATACATTTGGAAAATCTGAATAAGTCTTTCTTGAGGCAAAAAATGGCTACCAGTATCCACGTGTAGGAAATATATTGATTTAGTTTTCTTTGGTAAGAGGAAATGTAGTTGTCTGTAATAAATGTGTTATTTTTATAATCAGAAACTATTATGCCATTTTAATAAAATTTAATTAAAAGCAATACCCCTCTTTATAATTACTGGATTGGGTAGAGTTTAGGTCTAGTGGATGGGAAAAAAAAAACAACAGTGTTCCTGATCTTCCTCCCTCCTTTTTTCCCTCCCTTCATTCCATCCATTGAGTAATCTTTGTGTGCCTGTTATATGTTACTAACTATGGCACTAGGGTCACAGTGTTGAAGAAGAGAGTGGTTTCTTTCATGGTGAGAGGCATGAAATGAGTGATTTAATTATTCTGGCGGTGGGAAGGATGCAGTAGAACTCTGTTCAGATCTCCACAATAACTTACGAATTGCATGATCCTCAGTAGGTCTTTCATTCTATTCTTGTTTTTGAATTTCTGAAATAGCAATGATACTTGGAGTAGCTTCCTTATAGGATTGTTGTAAGACTTATAAATAAAATTATAGGTGAGATTTCTATAAAGATCATGGTTAGGCCAGGCGTGGTGGCTCACACCTGTAATCCCAGCACTTTGGGAGGTCGAGGCAGGCAGATCACTTGAGGTCGGGAGTTCAAGACGAGCCTGACCAACATGGAGAAACCCCATCTCTACTAAAAATACAAAATTAGCTGGGCATGGTGACACACACCTGTAATCCCAGCTACTTGGGAGGCTGAGGCAGGAGAATTGCTTGAATCTGGGAGGCAGAGTTTGCAGTGAGCCGAGATCACGCCATTGTACTTCAGCCTGGGCAACAAGAATGAAACTCCATCTCAAAAAAAAAAAAAAAAAATCATGGTTAAGTTTTTAGGTAGGGCATGGTGGCTCATGCCTGTACTCCCAGCATTTTGGGAGGCTGAGGCGGGATGATCACTTGAAGCCAGGAGTTTGAGACCATTTTTGGCAACATAACAAGACCTGCTCTACAATTTTTTTTTTTTTTTAATTAGCTGTAGTCCTAGCTACTTGAGAGGCTGAGGCAGGAGGATCGCTTGAACCCAGGAGTTGGAGGCTGCAGTGAGCTCTGATTGCACCACACACTCTAGCCTGGGCAACAGAGTGAAACCCCATCTCTTAAAGAAAAAAGAAAAGAAAGATCATGATTGTTGTTGCTATTGTTATTGATGAATAATACGTTCTTGGGGAGGTAGTGTGGCTGATCTTCCACGCTAAGTTCCCTTTTCTTTTTCACCTATTTCTGCCTTATGTGATTCTTTTGCCATTTTCTTATGAAATTTTTCTAACATACAGATAAGTTGAAAGAGTGTTAAGTGAGCACCCACATACCACCACTTAGTTTCTACCATTTACATTTTACTTGCTTTATCACATATCTCTCCATCCCTCTGTCATTAGCCAGTGTTTACAAACTTGTATTTACAGAGAAAGATGCATGATAGTTATTTTCCCTGGGAAATGGAGCCCTTCCCGCTATGATTTTGTTCATCTTCTTGGCAGTGATAGTGATGGTTATGATGACACAGTAGCCAGCACAAAGCAGCACACTATTAACTCATTCAGTCTTCTAACAACGCTAGAAGACAAGTGCTAAAGTGCTAAAATTAATTTCTGTTTTACAGAAGAGGAAACTGAGACACAGAGAGGTTAAATCATCTACCCAATATTACACAGTTCCTGAGGGGCTAAGTCAGAAATCTGGTAAACACTTGAGTAAGCCTTGTTTGTTTGCTTGCTTTTAATCTGTAAAATCAGTGAAAAAAGAAGTAAGACACCATTTAGGAATAGGAAAAATAACTACTGCAGCTCTTTGTGATTCAGGTTGGTTTAATGACTACTGTGTGGCAATTGTACCAAGTGTTGGGTTTGTGCAAGTGGTTAAGTCAGGGTCTCTCCTCTCAAGCCAGTCTAATGGACAGAGCCACTATGAGTTGTTGGATTGATGTTTTAATATAAATAACCGTACTGAAATTGTTAGAAATCAAGGGTTTCAGTAAAGGAGAGTTACCTAATTGTACTTAAAAGAAACATTTATACATTAACAGTTACTATTTTGGGGTTTCTGTGAGAAGATTAATTATTCCAGCAAATGAGTACTACCTATTTGGAAATGTCTTACTGTTTATAAGTAAATATGTTACTTATTTCCTTTTGCCTTAGCAGAGAAAAATAATTTGGGGAGAAATACACCCAGGAAACCTTAAAATATATTCCGATTAATGGTAACTCTTAGACTATTTATGGTAAGGTGTATCTAATTACATTTCACAAGGCACTTTAAAAAATATTGTCCCTTCAAGTTTTTTCCCTTTATTTCTCTCCATGATTTTGTCTAAATTTACCAGCAAGTCACAAAAAAATGAAAATTAAAACCCTACTGGGGACTAGGAGCTCGCTGAATTGGCTTACATCATTGTAAGCATGGACATATTTCTGTGCGTTGCTGTCCCCAAGCCCATGCGCTGTTAAGAATATGCATTGTCGGGACGGCGGTGCAAGGAGAAACATCCTGGAGAGGACGTACAGGATACAGAAACAAGTGACTGCTGTGACATCATTAGTCAACATTGGTTGAGTGACAGAGTAAATAAGGCATCTTCTGTTATAAATGATTGACACCGCTGAAAATTTAGAAACATCTTGCTCCAATAGCAGCATTATCTTCTTTGGACTATGCAAATCTTTTCAAATTAAAAATTCAAGTTAAAAGAAACTATTTTTAATTGACCCTCATTGCGGCCATTCCTTGATCAATATCTCTGAATAAGATTGTTAACTGAACAATGCATCTTCTGGCAGAAATAGAGATAATGACCGTTTTGTTTTCACTTATTTTTCTTGTTACAAAATTTAAAAGTAACATCAATTTTAAAAGTCTTTTTGTTATACATAAGTTACATTTTGGGACCTTCTTTAATGATTGCTCATATAGTATTGCTCGCTTTTTGAATCAGTGATCTGCCTAAGCATTTGCAAGTCACTCTTAGCATTCCTCAAAAGTTGCTGTTATAAATGATAATTTTACATAGAGGATGGAGGAAATGAGAAAATTGCGTTTGTCTTCCTATTGAGGTAAGACATAAGCAAGTGGAAAGGTGGTTTCCAGCCGGGGAATGAAGCCTGTTGTTCATGCTGTTGTGTGTTGACTTGTCCACTTGGATGGCTCCTAGGATCATGCGGGTCCTTGTGACTTCCATATGTCACAGATCTTGCGTACAGTTTCTGTGCCTTGCCCTCCTCCCAGTCTTTTCTGCCCTGTGGTTATTTCTCTACTGCCACTGAAGGGTGGCACTCAAGCTTTTCCTTATATGAGATTCATCCCCTTCAGGGTATGCGGATTCCCTGTGAAAAAGCTGAGCAGGTTTATTTTGACAGCACTACCTGGAGGGCTTGCCCCATTTCTTTTCAGGAAAATTTAAAATTATTCTGCTTTTTTTTTTTAAGACTGTCTACTTCATTTTATAAGCCACAACATTATAAATACATCTAAATTTAATAGTAGAATTATAACATTGCTTTCAAAATTTCTCACTGGGTCACAGAATTACAGAGCTGAAAGAGACCTTCACCAGAAGCAAAACCATCCTGGGAAAATAAATATCATGTTTTAATTTTTTTTTTTCCTTTTTTTTTTTTTCTGAGATGGAGTTTTGCTCTTGTCACCCAGGCTGGAGTGCAGTGGCATGATCTCGGCTCACTGCAACCTCTGGCTTCTGGGTTCAAGCGATTCTCCTGTCTCAGCCTCCCGAGTAGCTGGGATTACAGGCACCCACCACCACGCCCAGCTAATTTTTGTATTTTTAGTAGAGACGGGGTTTCACCATGTTGGCCAGGCTGGTCTCGAACTGCTGACCTCAAGTGATCTGCCCGCCTCGGCCTCCCAAAGTGCTGGGATTACAGGCGTGGGCCACCATGCCTGGCCGTTTTAATCTTAAGGTAGTTTCACTAACTCATGGTAACTTTGTTTATTTTTTTGTATTAACAACCTTTGCTGTCAGTAGAAAAGTACACTTTTCTACTTCTAAAACTGCCACGGAATAATAATGGAGTCACAGCGTCCTTAGAGATGGGCATTTTTCACTCCATGCAGAGATGCGGAAATGGGCTCAGAGAGGACAAGGGGCTCACCCAACATTAAATGGCTATTTAATGGCAGAGTAGGGATGAGAACCTGTCTTCTGATTGCCGGTCCAGTGTCTTCTGTAACACATGGGGCCATTTATTTTAAGCCATCTAGTCCCCAGCTGATTAACAATTTTCATGTACAACCTAGCTCATGAGAGCGGCATCAAGGAGGAGGTTGTCATTCAGCAAACACTTATTGAGGGGGGATACCAAGATGAAGATCATGAGACACTGTCCTGCCCTCAGGGGGCTAAAACTCCAGAAAAGGTTTGCAGGCATATTTACAGCTAAGTGCTGCAAAGAATTAAGCATTCTTAAGGTTCTTTCTAGCTCAGTCATTTGAACTTCTTTTCCCCCAAAAAAACCCTTTATTTCCCCAACTCCACAAAAGCAAGTCCTTCTTGGTTAAGCCCTCATACAAGCGGAAGTGCTGGTGTCTGCCAAGGGGGCCTTGCAGGCTGTTGGGCTAATTGTGGTCCAAATCCCCTTTCAAGAGGGCATCTTCAAGCAGGTGGTCAGAATAAAATTCTTGATGGTTTTGGTAAATGGCAGCAAGTAGAGCATGAGGGACAAGCAGTCAATAGGAATGGGGACATCTGGTGCATAGGGTGGGGCAGATAGGGAGTCTGAAGGGGTAGAGGGTAAGCAATGAAAGTTGTGGCCGTAGCTGCCAAACAAAGGGTGTTTTTACATGCACTTTTGCCACTGGTTATCTAAGGAATCTGCTATCACAGTGCCTGTGAAGAGGCCATTATTTGACACATGAGGGTTTTCAGTCAAGTGAATAGCATGGTATTCACTGGGCTGCTTAGAGAAATGCTATTATCTGGATAAAGGATGGTGGTGTCTGGATTAACTCTAGTATAGTTTCTTCCTTGGGACATCATCTCTTTTCCACTAATGGACTCCTAGGTATTCCATCACTCAGCTTAATTTTCTCGGGGAATACATGAAACGTGAAATCTTAATTTTAGACACCTAAATTGGGCAAATAAGCTTTTTAACATATACATAGATTTAAAATACATTTAGGTTTATTTTCATTCAAATAGCACATGCTTTCTGTGTCTGTGTGTGCATGTGCATGCAGTGAGGGAAGATACTGACATCTTTTCTGGATTATCATTTAATATTGATGTTATTTAATGCAAATTTGGAGGATTTAAGAATATTAGAGGGGAAAAGATTACATTTTCTAAAGAATTAGAAAAGGAGCCATATCTCTGAATGTTGGGTTACTGCAAAAGAGGAACAACTGGGTAAAGAACTATTTAAAAATTAATGAACAAGGTAATTTTATATTTTTCTGGTATGGGTGGAATTTTTTACTTCCTATAGTAAGACCTAGTGATGTCATGACTAGGACCTCTTCCACCAAGAGCTCTCAACTAGGGATAATTCATTTGTTTGTATTCAGAATTCACAACTATGATAAGCCTTTTTGATGACCAGTGGCAAAGGAACATCATCAGTCATGAAAACTCACAAATAGAGAAATCAGCAAGTATATTAAAGTAATGGATATTTCTCTTGTCCCCCAAAGGTTTCACATACAGGTTTGTCATGAGTGTCCTTAATTCTAGTTAATCTGTTTCTTGTGTAAAGTGCTTACGGTGATAAATCAATGTGGGTTTTAATTACCAACTAGCCTGTTAGTGGGTGGGAAGAAGTTTGTTTTCCAAAGCTTGGTGTTAGCAAGTCCTGTTTATGTGATAATCATATGCAGACGACACAGGCTAGCTATGTGCTGGCTATGGGAATAGAAGATTTAGATCAGACGACTATCTGCTTTATACCAGACACTGTGCTGTGTGAAGTGTGACATGAACAAGCCCTTCCAGAATCATGCAAATTATTGCTCCCCATGCGAAGACTTTTATGAGTAAATAATGTAACCAAGGATATGAGCCCCAAGAGCTGGTCTGGGGTATTGATGAGAAGCATTAGCAAGGAGAGGCTCACCTCATGGGGTGCTGCAGGGAATGTGGCTTTTGAAGCTGATAATTGAGGGTTCAAATTCTAACTCTTATCAATGTTGTTGGGACAAGTTAAATTGTTATAAACCTCTTTGAGTCTTGGTTTCCTTGTCTATAACAAGAGAATCATGGTACCTTCCTCATGGAGTTAAACGTGATAAGGTAAGTGCCTTGCCACTTCTGGTTTACAGCAGTTTTCAAAAACACCCCCCTTTTCTTCCCCGCTCACAGATGGTTCAAAAAAGGAAGAGCTATTATGAACTAGTGTGTGGAGAGAAGGCCTCTGGAAGGATACTTTTTGATACTTATGTAAGCGATCCAGGATGCACAGCCTTTTGTGGCTAGAAAAAGGCCTTAGGCCCCTGGTTTTGCAGGTGTAATACAGATGGTAGGGGCTGCACGGCTACTATGACAGTCGTTCCAAGTGTTTCTGCTCAGGATTCTGGACTTGCCATTGTCTGGCTCTGCCAGAATGTGGTTGTCTACCTGCCCAGGTGAGGATGCAACCCTTGCATTAGAGAAGACCCTCAACAGCCATGGTCTCTTTGACTGGGGAAGCTAATAGGAGACCCGAATGTTCTAAGTGTATCGTGGATGGTTTATGTTTGGTGACTGGATATGAGGCAGATTTCAGGGAATGGTTGCAAATTGGTCAAATCTGGCAAAAATGTCAGAGGCATTGAAACCACATATCAAACTAAGCCTTAAGGCATTCAGAAAATATAACAGGCTGACTTCTAAGAAGTGAAAAATATAAGTTTTGTTTAACTTATTTAACTAAAAAATGATGCTAATGAATGTGGAGGGGTGATTTGGATAGAACCTGTTCTGTGTGGGGCCTTCATGTAATCCCTAGAGAACGTGTAAATCAAATTATGCCTGGAGGAAATTTTATTTCCAATTTCAGTTGCTTTACTGATATGTTAAGGGAATTAAAAAATATTTAGCTCGGCCTTTCAGAGAGCTGTTATTACTGGTTGAACTATGACTGTTATTTTAATTCTCATTAGATAACTAGTATCTTTTGAGCTGTTGTTAGCTAGGCTGTGTGCTAAAAAGTTTTATATACATCCTCTTATTTAATCTTCACGACACTTATAGGAGGTAGATACTACATTATGTGTTTTTACAGCCAAGGGTGAGGTGTAGGGGATCTGATAATTCGCTCCAAATCACACAGCTAGTAAATGGTGGAGCTGGTCCAGGCGTGTCTGTCTTGAGAAGCGCTGTACCATTCACCTTACAATTATATCTGTAGGTATTGTCTGACTCATAGAATCCATGCAGTACATCTGTGCAGCTTCCATTTCTGTCCTTAGCCTCAATTCCTTTCTGTCTTTAGTTCTCTATCTTTACCTTAAAATCTCCATGTAAATCATGCTAACCTAGCACGATCCATGGTGCACCCACTTGGCATTTTCAGGGAAAAGGGATAAGGCCTATAAAGAAAGTCCACACCCAGCGCCTGGTTCTGCCTGTGCCCATTCTGACTGCTTTATCTTCAGTGCTTTAGATGAATGTGCATCTTCCTGGATGCTTTTCCTTCCTGCATGATTTGGAAGAATTAGAATCAGTCTTCCTTCCATGAGTTTCCCAGGGAATCAGAGGGACTTTTTAAGCATAATGATGGAATTTTTATTGTCACCTTTTGTTGTAAAATGCTCTATAGATGAGAAATAGATTATATCCATCCCCCCACCAGCTGTGCTTCATGGTAATGGCCAAAAAAATGTTCAGAATTAAGACTGGGAATTTTTTGAATTCATATCCCAAAGCTCCTTTAAAAACTTATAACTTGGGGAACTAAAACAAAGTCATTTTAGAAGGAAATGGGTTTTTCTCTAATAATGGCCATCAGAATGATTACCCAAGTGATGTCACACAGCTGGCAACCTTCTTAGGGAAGGTAACTGATAGCAGAGGAAAGTCTGCCTTTCTCTATGTTAGCACTTCAAAAACCAATTGTTCCTAGAATCTTCAGTGTCATCATGAAACATATATAAAGCCTCTGCCTATTGTTTGAGTCTCCTCTCACTAAGAGGAACCATCAATTCAGACTTGCCCAGACTCATTGAGAAGACCAGGCTAACCAAGCCATCCTTAAGAAATTTTTCTAAATTCCAAGAAGCAAAAGAATATATTTTTATTATTAAATAGCTAACATACTTACTTTAGTTTAGATTTATGATATAGTTCTAGTTTTAGGGTTTTCCTGCATATTGTATGGTACTTTTATCTCCATATATAATATATTTAGTATATTTATGCTTATTTCACAGGAACTAATAACATTTATACAGTTTTGAATTATTTTAACGGTTCACATTTGTTTCACCTTTGCTTTTATAACATTGTTATGTCTCAGCTCTTAATTAATAATGTTGCAGGGATGCAATTGCTAATTTTAATATTCCCCCCCAGAAGAAACATTTTATACACAAACACACACACACAAAATGTATATGTATATATACATACACACACAAAATGTGTGTGTTTATAGATACACATATAAAATGTGTATATGACATTGTGTGTGTATATATATTGGAGTAAAAAGCAAGGATAGTCAGCTCCTATGTTTGCTTATACAAGACACAGGAACTCAAGCTCGCTTGCTTGTAAAGTGAATAAAATTGTGTTCTTATGCAAGTGTCACAGTTTTCCTGGGACTCAGTTTCCTCATTCTCAAAGAAGGAATTTAACTGATGAATTCAAGGATCAACTCTAAACTCATTGAATTGCCTTATTAATCTCTTGGGTCATGCAATTCAGTGATATAACTAGGGTTAGCCTGAGTGTTTCAAAGCAAGATTAATGGAAGCTCATTCGCCAGCTGTCGGGTTAGGAGATTATTCACAAATGTTGCCCTGTCATTTGAATCTGGTAGGGTTTGCTGATGAATAAATGAACCCCATTATACTGACAGCCACCTCACTAATCGATCCTAACTAAACCACCTTATCCTCTTCACCTTCCAATTGTGTAGCCAGCAACTTGCCAGATCTCAGGGACGTTGTTGGGACATGTGGAAGGTCTGAGACAGAGGGCCGGAAGGACAGACAATGCCACCAACTCTATTAATCAGTCCGCATTTCTCAGACCTGGCTCTCAGCCTACTGAATTTGACAACCAAGGATTTGCGTGTAGTTTTTTTTTTTTTTCATTTTCAATTAATTTCCCTTTTTATGCCTTCCTAATTTCTCTTCTTTTCTGACTAAGCTATATATTTACACTGTGAAATTGACTGTCATTAATCTTTTTCTGCCTTGATTTCCTCAACTAAAAAATGGTTAAACTAATACCAGCCCTTTCATTCATGGTGATCTTGGGAGGAAAAAAAAAAGAGATAACTGATGTCAGAGAGTGCTTTGAACTTAAAGCAGGAAGATTGTTCAATTATAATAAGACTCTTCTATCTTTATTTTTATGTGACATTTAGAATGTTAGCGTTGAATACGCGTCAAGGAAGAAAATCCCATTTTGAATGACAGTGTTAGAATGACGGCCTGTAAGATATTGGAATTGCATGCAAAAACCAAGAAAATGTGTTTAAAAACTGCTAAGACCAAGCCAGCTACTGTTTCTTTTCAAAGAATATATGTAGGGAATAGGAGAATTAGGTAACTCTAGGGCATAATAAAAAAGAAGAACATGTGCTTTCTGATTTTGCCAATCTATTTTGTACTTACTTTATAATTCAATTTTAAGAGTAAAGTGTAATGTCTGATTCATGAATGTTTTACTGTGTAGTGATTTTTTCTTCTTCTAGAGCTGTATGGTCCAGTATGATAGCCACTAGCCATAATTGCTATATTAATTTAAATTAAATAAAAAATTTAGTCACACTAGTCACACTTCGAGTGCTTAGTAGCTACATCGTGGCTGGTGGCTCCTGTATCTGAATGTGCAGATACAGAACATTTCCAGAAAGTTCTGTGAGAGAACACTATTCTAGGGGAACAGAGAAAAGGTGAAAGGATATTCCCATTCTCCCTTTTCCCAAAATTGTGTTTTAGAATTTAAATAGAATCTCAGGTTATATATTATAGGTATTATATTTACAATATACATTTGAAATTATTAGAGCATGAAGGTGGTGGTTGAGCAGGAAAGCACAACTCCAGAAGATCATTTTTTCCCCTACTGAGGACAAACATAATTTGATAATCTTCAGAATAACACTTGGAAAATTCTGGAACCAGCTGTTTCCTCTCAAGTTGCATTTCTTCCATAAAGAGTTTTTTTTTTTTTTTTTTAAAAACAAAACAAAAAACTTCATCTAGGTAACACAGTACCTAGACCAATCCAGGAGTCACTTAAATTGAATTGCTATGTAATTATTTCATGGGTGTAAACCAAACTGTTACCTTAGCAAAATAACTAGTTTTCTCTTATATTCCAATTTCACTTCCTCAGCAAAACCAATGGGCTCCATCATCAGTGTATATCTGGTCTGACCACCTCTCAGCACTCCTGCTAACCTCTGTGGCTTAACCATCACCATCTCTCACAAGCTATTGCCGTTGGCCCCTGCCTGAGCTCCCTGCTTCCACTCTCCTTCTCTCACCCAACATGGCAGTCAGAGATTGGCCTTCAGGGCAATTATCAGTCAGAACAGTGTGGACAACAGCCAATAAAGCCTCACAGACCTCCTGGCTCACCTCACCCCCACCTTATCACCCCTCTGACCTCCCCTGCGCTTACTCCCTTCAAGCCAAGGCTCTTCTTTATTTTTCAATTGCTGCAGGCATATTCTTGCCTCAGGGCCTTTGCGTTTGCTATTCCCTCTGTCTGGACCATGCTTATCCCAGATAGCCATATGGTTCTTTCTCTTACTGCCTTTAGATCTTTCTCAACCTCACTTCATAATTACGTCACACCAAGCTATTTAAAAATGCCACCCACCTAACCCACCACTCCTCTCCATAACCCCCAGGCATTAAGCACGCTCTATTCTCTTTTTGTACTACATTTTTCTCCATAGCACTTATCACCATAGATATGCCATATGTTTTACTTATTTATTCCTGTATAATCTCCTTTGAATGAAATATAAGCTGCTTGAAGGCAGAGCTTTATGTCTTTTTATCCTTGGTGCCTACCACAAGGTAGGCAGTCAGTAATTATTGGTTGAAAGAATTACTCAAATATTTAATGACAGTGTTTGTAAACAAAGAGTGCTAATCTAATTGAAATTCATTTTAGCAAGAGATAGAGAGTCAGGAAGACACATCCTCTGGTGTAACCCTGCCTCCCCTCCACTTCTAAGATTACTCTGGTTTTAGGCTCTGCTTTCTGCCTGGCTCAACAAGGGGCCTCCATTTCTCTCCTGCCTGCACTTGAGGAGCCACATAGAAGGGAGTTTGAACCAGGGCTTCAGGGAGTTGTCTGTGGACAGCTTCTGAGAGAGGGAAGTTGGGGCTTCCCATGTTGGCTGGTCCCTTTGCTGGCTGGCCAGTCCTTTGTCACCATGCCAGCATTCTCAATGGAGGCAAGAAGGGATCTTATGGGTTTTGCAGCAGGGCTGCTTTGGGTATATGTTTGTTTGAACGGGGTAGGGACAGTGGATGAAGGACCCACCTGGAGTTTGCTGCCTTGGGAGGGGAGGTGATGAGCTTTAAACATAATAGAGGCTGGGCGCGGTGGCTCATGCCTATAATCCCAGCACTTTGGGAGGATGAGGTGGGCGGATCACCTGAGGTCGGGAGTTTGAGACCAGCCTGGCCAACATGGTAAAACCCATCTCTACTAAAAATACAAAAATTAGCCAGGCATGGTGGCACACACCTGTAGTCCCAGCTACTGAGGAGGCTGATTCACAAGAATCGCTTGAACCCGGGAGGCAGAGGTTGCAGCGAGCCGAGATCTTACCACTGCACTCCAGCCTGGGTGACAGAGTGAGACTTCGTCTTAAAAAAAAAAAAAAAAATAGAGGTGCAGTGTTCCCTGCTTCACACTAGGAAGTGGTTAATGCCAAACTGGGGCACCCGGCCTGTTTCTGGCAAAGTGCAGGGGAAAGGAAAGCTTGGAAAGGGATCTGTAGCAGTAAAGACAGAGGAGTCACTTTTTGTTTGTTGGTTCCCACTGAGGCACGGCGGAGGAGGCACAGCTGTGCAGAGATCCTGGGTTGCTAATTTCTACATTAAAAGGTGTAGCAGCAGCAGTGTTTATGACTAAACCCGTCAACGTTTCACTTCCTCCTGTTGTGAAGACTGGGTTTGGCTTAAAAAGCTCTGCCTGAACTTTCAGTTTATCTTGAAACTTTGAGACATTTGTCAAAGTGCTGAATGGAGTTATTTTAGTAAATCAGTGATGTTTCTGTGTTCCCTGAGTGAAACACTAGCTGATCTCATTTACCTGAGCTTCGAGAAAGAAAATATTCTCTATTTTTAAAAATAGCTTTGCTCCCTTGAGCATGCCCTTTCTATATGCCCTGGCTTTAGAAGATGGGCTGCCTTATGTTTGAGATTTTTTATTCATTGCCACTAAAATAATATATGGTGATTTGTATACCTCATATAAGGTCTGCCTCATCAGTACCCTGACCCATCCTTTATTGATTATTTAGTTTTGTGGATTTAACCCTGTAGTCCTGTTGGCACAATCAAGGGCAAAATCAAGATCCAGAAAGACATCAGATACCTGAAATCCTTTATTAAAGTGGATTTTGCTTACCCTACATCCATTGTTAGAAATGACATTCCCAGATCGTAAGAGCTGCAGAATTCTGGAACTGAAACTCTGTCTTTCTGTAATGAATTTGTGAATGAGGAAGTTCTTTGAACACAGTAGGCAAAAGGCAGGGGTGTCAGCACTTGACACTTCTATGCCTTTCCTCTACTAGGCTATCTTTTTATTGTTCTATTTCTTTTCCTTTTGGCAGGTGAGTTGGGAATTAGCTAGTAGATCTGTTTTAAGTGGGTAAGCTGCAAACAACAGATTTTTAGGTACTTCCCTTATAGGATATGGCTATTAAACAGGAAGGATGTGTCAATTATGTGGTAGGCAGCAGGATAAAACAGGCAGGACAGAATTATTATCAGATTCACAGACCGTAGCAACTTTTTGCCTTCTAAAATCCTGAATTTTCAGAGGTGGAAATAGGGTGAGAAGGAGCAGTAAAACCTGTTGCATTCATTCACTCAACAGATATTTGAACACCTATTTTGTGCCAGGAATGTACTGGGCACTGAGAAATAGAGCTTTGAATAGGACAGATGTGGTCCCTGCTCCCAGGCACCTTGCAGTCTAATGGGGCTGGTAGATATTAAATATGTAATCCCACTGTTAATTAAAACTGTGATAAGTATTCATAAGAAAATGTGCAAATACGGTGGGAGTATATAATAGGGAGACCTGGTGTAGTCTGGACTTTCTTAGGGAAGTCCTTTACCTGAAGAATGAGTAGGCATGAGCCAGGTGAAGGTAAAGCAAGAGGGGGAAGGGATAGCTCCTAAAGCAGAGGTGGGGCAGGAGCCCTCCTCTTGGGAGAGCAACAGAAGGCCAGTGTGGCTGGGTTGAAGTGAGGCTGGAGGTGGAGGCAGGGGCCAGTGTAGTGGTGCAGAGCCACTGAAGAGCTTAAGCAGAGAAGGGACATAATAATGTTTGGGTTCTTAAAAGATCACGTTCAGATCCTATATGAGCAGGTGATTTGAGGGGGCAGGAGTGGATCTGTTAGAAGGCTATTGCAAGTGGTCCAGGAGCAAGAGGGTGGTGGCTTGGAATAGTATCATAGTAGTAGAGATGGAGAGAAGTGAATGGATGTAAGAGGTATTTAGGGAGGTAGACTGCATTGAACTTGGAGAATGACTAAGATAGGAAGAGAAGGGGACAATGCTTGGATTTCTGGCTTTGGAAACCATATGGATGACCATCCTTGTTCCTGAGCCAGACCTATTGTGGGAAGGGCAGATTTTGAAAGAAAGATCATGGTTTAGTTGTTGACATGCTGAATTTAAGGGTTGGAGTACATACAAGTGAAGTTAGATCAATAGATCTGATGATCGGAGGGGAGATCTGGGCTGTGCATAAAGTTGGGAGTCATCTGGGATGGACTGAAGTCATGAGAGAGAATGAATGGTAGCAGGGAATGGGGATTGGACATGTGACTAGGAATAACCACAGAGGCCAGTTGAAAATGTATGGAAACGAGAACATCAAGCATGAAGGGCCATGCCCAGTGCTAAGGAGAAATCTGGTTAGGAAGTGCATGGATTTAGCAGCCGTGAGGTTGGATTTAGCAATCAAGATTGGCACCTCAAGCAGGAGAAATTTAAGTGGAGTTGTGGGGACAGAAGCCAATTTTGAACACTAGATGAGTGAATTGGAGGCAGGAATATGAAGACACTGAGTATGGGTACCTTTTTTGAGAAGTTGGGCTCAAAGGGTAGAGACAGTTAGAGGGGACCTGCAAGAGGTGTGTAGGATCCAGGCATATAGCTCTAGGTCTAAACATCTCTATGTTTGGATATTTAGAGATGGAAGAGAAAGGATATTTAGTTGCTTAAGGTTCCTGCAAAGACAGGTGGGATGTAACCCAGAGCCCACACGAAGGGACGGGCATTTATCTCCAGCACTTCAGAAGGAGAGGAAGAGGAGGGGGTGGGTACAGCTGCAGATGCAGGCAGGTGTGGAGGTTTGGAGTGGAATGGTAAGTGATACCATTCTGATAATTTCTGTTTTCTCTGTGAAGTAGGAGGGAAAGTCATCTTCCCAGATGAAGGGAACGGAATCAGGTTGCTGGGTAAGATCAGTTCTCCAGCTGTGCTTGGCAGCTACCACTGCAAGCATGGAATAGGCGGCTAGGTAAGTTCAGCCAAGATTGAAGTTTTACTCTGTGGGAGTAATAAAAGGACAAGGAACACGAAGGCTAAGGACATTAACACATGGAGGAATGATTTCAGTGGAGGTTCAGTTGGATGAAGATAGGTTAGTGCTGATGGAGAATGACCTGGCAGTGTCAGGGGGCAATAAACAGGGTAGTGGTAGTACCTGAATAAGGGAACTAGCTATGAGTGCTTCTCCAACTGTAATGCTAATGTGAATCACCTGGGGATTTTAGTAAAAACGCAGATTCTGATTCAGCAGGTCTGGGCTGAGGCCTCAGATTCTGCATTTCTAACAAGTTCCTGTCACGCCAGCCTCTCTGGCCCGTGGATCACACTGTGAGGGCCAGGTGTGGTGGTGCATGACTATAATCCAAACACTTTGTGAGGCCCAGGTGGGAGGATCACTTGAGCTGAGGAGTTTGAGACCAGCCTGGGCAACATAGACGTCATCTCTACAAAAAGTTTAAAAATTACCTGGGTGTGGTGGCTTGTGCCTGTAGTAGCTACTTGAAAAGCTGAGGCAGGAGGATCACCTGAGCCTGGGAGGTCAAGGCTGCAGTGAGCCGAGATTGCACCACTGCACTCCAGCCCGGGTGACAGTAAAAGCCTGTCTCTTAAAATAAAAAAAAAAAAAAAAAAAAAAGATTTCGGGCAGAGAGTGGGATGCCTGAATTAGAAATCGTTTGACATGGTATAATCTCAAGCAGTAACTAACATGGCCCAGGATATGACAGAGTGAACAAGAAGGCCGAAGAATTCAAAGGCTTCCTGATCATCATATCTTTAGGGATGCAATGATTTACACTGACTATCGCCAACACTTTTCTAAGCACCTTGTGTGTATTACCTTCTTTAATCCTTATGACAACCTCCAGTGAGGTATATATTGTGATCCCATATTTTACAGATGAGGAAAGTAAGGCACACAGAGGTCTTTCTCAAAATCATTCGTGCTTGTAAGTGGTGGGACCAGAATTCAAACTGGGGTGGTACAGTTTCAAAGCCTAGTGCTCTGCATGATTGGATGCTGTATTGTCCCCTGATGAGAGAAGTTGGGGCTGTATAGAAAGTGTGAGGTGGGAGGATCATTTGATCCCAGGAGTTAAGACCGGCCTGGGCAATGTAGTGAGACCCTGTCTCTACATAAAATAGAAAAAAAAAAAAAAAGATTTTGAGCCAGGTATTAGCCTCACCTATGAATGAAGTTCAGCATATCTAGGAGAGTGCTAGGCACAGTACTTGTAGGCTTTTTACATGTTACCCCTTTAATCCCCACAACTGTCCAACAGAGTCTATTTCATACTGATTCTACAGGTAAGAAAAATAAAATTTAGGAGGTTAGGTAGTTGATAAATGGAGGAGTTGGTAATTTGATCTAAATTGGTCTGGATTCAAAGCCCATTCTTCCTTTATATCAAAGTTTATCCCATCACCATATAGAAATGGAAATTCTCTTCTAATTCTTAAATAGGTTATAGTTACCATGGGAGTATTCTCCCCCTTGCTCTGACTCAAGCCACATGCTGAAGATGATGTGTTACGAATAAGGCTGAGACCAGGAGACTGGGCTTCTGGGCTCAGCTCTGTTTCTAACTAGCAAGTTTGCACACTGTCTCTGTAGGTCTCACACCTTTGTCCCTGTGGATCATTTTCAGAGCTATATTCTATAAGTTTGAGGACAATTATTATGGCTCCTTTTATATTAGTATCTACTGTATGCTCAGCACTTGATAGGTTATCTCTAGTACTTAAACTAGGATACAGATTGTCTCCAATTTAGAAGTGAAAAAGCTGAGGCCTGGAGATTTCAAGCAACATGCCTAATACCTCTCAGTCCACAAAATGGCAAAGCTGAGATTTCGCCTGAAGTGTGTCTGACTCTAAAGCTCATGTTCTTGCCATCTTACCAGCTGCCTCATCCTCATCTATAGCCTCATGGTGGATCCCGCTTACAGGTGCATATGGTACCGTATGCTAGTATTTATCAAACTTTCAAAACCTGGATCCAGAGTAAAACATGCATTTTATATTGATTTCGAGAATTGTGCACACACACACACATTTGCATGCGAGTACCATGTATATACTGACATCACTCAAACAAGTTTTGTGAAATAATGCTCATGTTTTCTACTTGCTGTGCCTTGGCTTTCTTTTCCTTTTCACTTTGGTTTAGTCTGTCATATTAATATGCTCATTAAACTCTGATGAATTGATTTAACTACCCACCAATGGGTTGTAGCCCTCAGTTTGAGAAGCACCGCTGTAAATTATATACCTACCTTAATTTCTTGATAGGATTACCCCAAATCTTATATTCTCCTTCTTTCCTTATTTTTTATTCTCTGAATTTAATGAAGACTATTTCTCTGATTATATATGTAATGGTGTTAAATCTAAATCAACCCCCCCCGCCCCCCGCCGCCATATGGCAACCACCTTTCTGCAAAGTGGGAAACTATCTTATAACTTTGTTCTGAGAGAAGGAAAGAAAATATGTATTTTTTTCATTTGATGAAAATGCTAATATAACAAGGGAGGGAGAAAGAAGTGACATTTGTGTTTCCTTGGCTTGAGAAGATGAGAATGTAAGGCCAAGAAACACAGACAAGTTGAAATGATGTAGGCTGGGGAGGGACTGCGGCAATAGACTTACAGTAAAAGAAAAGTGAAACTGATTTCTTGTTCCAACTCTTCCATTTAGCATTTATTGGACTCCTTCATGTGCCAGGTACTTGTGTTTTGCATGTATTATCTCAGGTGAGGAGACAGAGGTATGGGAGGCTGAGTTACCTGCCCAAGATTGCATGGTTGGTAGAGAGTGGTCTAGCAGACTCCCTGGAGCCAGTGCTCGTTGTCACTAGGCCATAGCTGCCACTTGTCTCAACTTTTGAGTAATTCTGTGTGGTCTTTATTTGGTGCCAGGCCCAGGAGGGGACTTTTGCGCCCTAGGCTTTGAATCTTGAGAGGGAACATGCTAGGGTGGAAGATTGGAGTCAATTTGTTCCACGAGGGCAGCCAGAGGAACTCCTTATTAGTCCCTGCTTCTCCCATCTTTAGAGTTGATTTGGTTTCTGTCTCTACTGAGTTCTGGTTGTTCTTTTGATTACAAGAACTACTCAATTTCCTTTAAGTAAATTTATTTATTCTTAAAATTCTGTTGCTTGAAACTAAGAATAAGCCCTAATAGGCACAGAGGAATAATTTAACTCTTCCTGATCTGTTTCCTCATCTGTAAAATAAAGGAAAAGGGCACACATATCCCCTGACCCCTCTTAACTCTCTCATCTTTAGCTAGAATTGGGTTCTAGTGATTCTCAAATGGATGTGTTCTAAAAGAGGCTGGCTGGCCCTGTGTTGGGGAAGCAGAAGTTTTAGTAATTAATTAGGTTAATATGAACTTTATAGTTATATTTTTTCTGTATTCCCTGAATAACTGTGACTCTATTACTTGTGAATTTATTTAAAACATAAATATGACAGTGATGACTAGATGAGGTCTCTTAGCACACATGCCCTATGCAGACCTGTGAGTCCCCTGCTGTCTGCTCACCCAATAGTTGAGGGCCTGGGTAGGAGTTCTGCCACATGTGAGTTCTTAACACAAAATCCTCATGGACCCTGTGGGCCTGGAGCTGGATACTTCACTCATCTTCACCCTTGGCCTCATGCTAAGAATTACCATCCTGCCACCACTTAAAGATGCCCATTCATGTTAGTGTGTCACTGCTAAAGTACTGTCATTAAAGAAGACCTATCATTACTCTGACTTTAAAATACATTGTTCTAACAGAATCACTATGGGAGATTCCAGACTTCTGTATCAGCGGGTGCTTTGAAAAGAGGATCTGATATGTACTGGCCCCTGTGTTCACCTGTGGGCGAACATTAGACATGTTTGTTTCTTTTATGCTTTGATAACACCTTACAACTTGCAATAGTGTGACTTTGGAAAGAATGAAGTGATTGTGTCTGGCATGCTGTATGTAAACATTCCATTTCTACATAATGTGAAAAGGAATGAATTAGGTGAAAATAAATGGATTTGCACAGGTGTTAGAGTACGTAGATTTCCTCTGAAACTAAACATCCGAATAGAAAACGAAACTCAGTGACTTCTTGACCGCCTATTGAAGAAGCACCTGTTGGTCCAGGGAGCAGAGATCTAAGGGGGAATTAATTCCTCTCAGCAAATATTTACCGGGGGCTTGTCATTCCTAGAAGTCCACCCAAAAAGAGTGGGGCTGGAGGAGAATCCCAGAGAGAGTCTAAGTCATGGGCTCAGAGTGTAGGGAAGTGACTTTGAGACCTGTTCCAACCAAACCTCTTATTTTAAATTTGGGTAAAATAAGGTCTCTAGAGATTGTAACTTGTTCATGGTTAGGCCACTTGGCTAACTTGAGGCCAGACTCAGGCTAAATCTGGATAACTCTCTTCTTGGTTTACTACTATTATAGACCTAAAATTTTATTATGATATTAAAATGTAAATAACAGTAACAGACACCATGTAGCAATTCTCATGTGCCAGCACTCTTCTGAGCACTTTAGGTGTATTAACTCATTTAACCCTCATCATTCCATGAAGTGTAAATATTTCTCTCATTTTTAAAGAGAAGAGAGCCTGGTGCAGTGGCTTGATGGCCCATGCCAATAATCCCAGTCCTTTGGGAGGCCGAGCTGGGAGGATTGCTTGAGGCTACGAGTTTGGGACCAGCCTGGGAAACATGGCAATACCCCATCTCTGTAAAAAATTAAAAACTAGCTGGGCATGGTGGCACATGCTTGTAATCCCAGCTACTCCGGAGGCTGAGACCAGAGGATTACTTAAGCCCAGGAAGTCTAGGCTGCAGTGAGCTGTGATCGCTCCACTGCACCCTAGGTGACAGAGTGAGACCCTATATCTTAAAGAGAAAAGGAGGAAATTGAGGCACAGGAAAGGTTTAGTAATTTGCTCTTAGCCATGTATATATTAAATAATGGAGCTTGGTTTCAAACCCAGGCAGTCTAAATCTACAATTTATTCTCTAAACCACTAGACCAGGGGTCAGTAACCATATCTTGGGCTTTATGAGCCATAAAACTCTATGTGGGGTAGTGGGAAGAGGCTGGGTTTGACTTATAAGCTGTAGTTTGCAAACCCTACACTAGGCTGTATAGCCTCACTGGGGCACATCCATTAATATCAATGTATCCCACAGCTGCCCATGAAGAGTGAAGCTCTAATTTTGAAAAGGATTTTAAGTCAGGAATTAAATTAAAATGTACTTTTTTGGTGTTCCTTTTGGGTGAAGTGTCCTCCTGCCAGGAAGGATGATGTTCATCATAGCTGAGTATAGTGTTAGGAGGCTCAGAGCCAGGA
The DNA here is from genome assembly GCF_000001405.40 of Homo sapiens. Classification (NCBI taxonomy): domain Eukaryota; kingdom Metazoa; phylum Chordata; class Mammalia; order Primates; family Hominidae; genus Homo; species Homo sapiens. Next base: position 25,413,033 of record NC_000006.12, read on the forward strand.
GAGAGGTTTTATTCTCCTTCAGTTTTCTGGGTGACCTTGCAAAAGTCCCTTATCATCTGCCACTTATAACTCTGCAGTGGTGATAATGTGCCTCACCACCTGCCCTTCTCCCTCACCTAGGTATATGTCTTGGATTAATGAGGTTTTATCTGTAACGTACTTAGAGCTGGGAGTTTGGAAGGGGAAAGTATTAAGAGGGGGAATGATGGCATTCATCATTTAGTTTGCTTGCAAATTAGAGAGTGCTTCAAGGGTGTAAGACCATTTGTTGAATGTTTGGCACGTAGAGCCCAATTTTAAAGAAAAGGCACTCCTGGTAATCTGCATGAGAGAATGTGGATTTAGAGAGCATGAATTTATGGATTGCCTGTGCTGCAGTAGGCTTTAGGCCATGGAGTTATTTAAGATGGTATGTATTTATTTCAGTTTCTAATAAGTGTGCAATGAGCAGATTCCATAGTTGACCTCCATATCTCCATAAGAAAACATAGGCTTCTCTGCTAAACTGTGAGTCTTAACAGTAAGGAGGACTTATAAATGTTTCTAAGTGAAATTATGAAGTTAAAAGTTGAACCAAGAAGCCTCAGAGGGAACTGGCTGCTACTTGCATTTCAATGAAAGGCAGAGGAAATTCATTACAGAGGTTGAAAATGTGGTTTGCATGTTAAGGCTGCAGTGGAAAAATGGGCCTTCCCAGGGGAGGTGGGAGGGAAGTTGTAGCTTACCCTTTGTGGTGAAGGTTCCTTGGCTAAGCACATATACTCCATCTGATGCACCCTAATTTTTTTTTTAACTTTGCAAGAAAATTCTTCCCTTCAAAGCCAAAGATGTGCATTGAACAGAAAATTGCAGCCTAGGAGAAGTTTCAATATCTTTGTATTTTTTGTTTGTTTTGTTCTTTTGACAAAAACAATTATTAAAAAATTCAGTAGGTGAAGCAACTTAATCTTACTTTGTGAAACTAAATCTAAGATGCTATTAGTTAAGTTATAAGAAGAGCTGGTGTTTAGCAAAGGCATATTAGGTTCTGGGGTAGGGCTTTATCTGCATTTGTATCTTATTTAATCCACACAACAGTAACAGTCCTGCAGAGGAATATTCTTGTTTGAGCATCTCTTGTATGAGGCACCTCAGTTTGCTCATCTGTAATTCTGTAATCTCTAACTCTCTAGAGATAACAAAAGTCTATCAGGTTTAAGTGGCAGAGCCAGAATCTGAATATAAGTCTTTCTGATTCCAAAATTCAAGCTAGTAGATTGACCAACAGTCCCAGTTTTCTGGGATGCAGGATTCTCAGCCCTGAAACTAGAAACGTCTTATACAAACAGAAAGAGTTGGTCACCCTACAAGCAGGATGCCTCCCATCCCAGGCACTGAAGAAGTATTCATTATCAGGAAACCCTTTTTGGTAAGTCACAGAGGATGTGTCCTGTGCAACTGCCCCTGACTCTGCTAGAAACCATGTGTGTGTACTATAAATCCTCTGAAGCTTTAAATCCTAGGGCAGTTTTGGAGCCAAACAGAGAGGCTGGGAGACTGAGTTCATTGGGATTTCTAGTATGAATGTAGCCCCATTAATTGGCTCGGTTTGTGTTGATAAAACAAGAGTCACAATCTGACTTGTAACAGTAGTATTTGTAATTTTCATTCTTGCTTTAAAATATTGCTGCCCTGTTGTACCCACAAGTGGGTACAGTTTTGGGAAAGCTTGGAAGATTTCCTCTATTCCAACCCCCATCCCCTTCCACATTTTCTGTGAACTCTCTGTGTCTCTGGAGGCTTTCACTGACCACCAGAAATGGGGACCATCCTGCACAAAGCTTTTGTAGCTTATCAGTCTTCCTTCAAAGCCTGGGCTCCCTTATGAATGTGTTTCTTTTCAGACAAATTATTTTGATCTGTATCCAACTTCTGAAGGACACTGTGTACTTCCACTGCCTGTAAAATACTTTTAAAGAAAGGGAGTTGACACAGAGGGCCACAGATTGTGAACCTTATTATTGCTGGGGTGAAGGTAGAAATGATCATTAGATCCTCATGTATCTACCTGTAGTTACAAAATTAATCTTTACTCAAAAGATGAATCCATATGAACATTCTGGTTTCTTTTTTCTACTCTTTTTTTTTCTATTTCATTTTTTATTTTTAGAGATGGGGTCTTGCTCTGTCACCCAGGCTGGGGTGCAGTGGCACCATCGTAGCTCACTGTAACCTCGAACTCTTGGACTCAAGAGATCCTCCCACCTCAGCCTCCTGAGTAGTTGGGACTACAGGTATGAGCCACCACACCCAGCTCTCCTCTTGTTTTAAATATTCTGACCCTAGTTCATACCCTGTCAGTGGCCTCTAGAAACTTCCTATGGTGACTGTTCTGGAAAGGGCAAGTCAAGAGAAGACAAGCAGGTCACCTGACTCCCTCCCTCTTCCTCTCCCCACCCCCCACCCCCACTCCCCCACTGGTAGTGGGAGCGTTATTCCCTAAAGTGCAACAATTGTCAAAGGATGGAATGGCTGGCTGGTTCCTTGTGTTAGTGATTGCTGTTGTATTTCAGTTGTTTGGGTGCATGTTTGAGATTAGTTTTTAAGACTTATTAATTAGATTCACACAGGGGACGTTGTAATCACTTAATAGCCAATATGCTCATTGTATAATGATGTCAAAAGGTGTCTAATTATTTTTGGTTCATACTTTGTTCACGTTTTTCTGTAACTGTGTTACAAATGAAATACTTTTCTAGAATGCATTCTTTCTTCTGTGATTGGTGTCTATTGTCTTGCAAAAGGAATAAATAAAGTAACAAGTTCTCAAGTGATTCTCATGGAGAAGGGGCTGGGGAATGGAGGGCAGAATGAAGGCAGGGGAGGAGCGCACCAGAAGAGGGAAAGGAGATGGAGCAAGACGGGGTGGAGTGTGGGGGACACTGGCAGCAGTAGCAGAGAGAGGGGTCAGAGGAGGGGTGGGGAGCCAGTGAGGAGAGGCACAGATAGACTGAGAGGTACATACGTAGAATCATGTAGACAGATACAGAACAGAGATAAGAGAGAAATTCAGAGACACAGAGACTAACAGATGATGGCGGTGCATAGAAAGAGACAGAAGGAGACACGCAGACCAGTAGGGATTGGTCCTTTTCCTTATGATATCCAAACATCTCTCATTGTACTGCTGGTCATTTTACGTGTTTGCTTCTTTCTGGCTTTAAAGCTCCATGACTCATCTATGTTTCCATGTGTGTGGACTATTGAGGAATCTGTTTTTTGGAAAGGTGAGCTTTGACAGCCAGTATAAGTCATTAGGAACACCATCTCTGGAACCAGACCATCCAGGCTCAAATCCCAACTGCCACCTACTTGCTGGATGACCTGCACAAATTACATAATCTCCATGTGCCTCTGTTTCTTCATCTTAAAATGGGGATTATAATAGTGTTTTCCTTATAGGGTGCTGTGAGGATTAAATGTGGTAACATATACAAACCTATTAGAACAGTGTACTCAACAGGTACTGGCAATTATTACTATGTTTGTGAAAGGATCCTGAATTCCTTTGAAGGAAAGTTCACAGTTAAATATATTTTTATGAATACTGAAGAGGCTACAAGTTCCTGTCTTTGACTTTTGGCCTTGAACCTTACTTTTAATGTAAGGTGAGAGTGGAGAGTTAATAGACTGAGAGTGAGGAGTTGCAGCTTCTAGTTCCAGCTCTGCCACTGACTAGCTGTGAGATGATGAGTTTCTCTGGACCTGCTGTCAGATAATATACAAACTCAGGGAATTTTAGGTCTTTGACAATGTGATGTTGAGACCTTTCTGGCATACGAGTTTTAGGATTTGTCTGTTATTTTACCTCTATGCAGAGGTTTTGTGGACCTAAGCTTTTTGGAAAGATTGGGGATTGATCATACCAGTACCCCTGGGAGAGAGAAATGTGTGTGCTGCTTTGTAAATAATAAAAAGGGAGAAATGGTGAGAATAGGGGACTGGCTTCCTATAGCCATGCTTATGATCATGGTTGTCAGCATTATTATCTTATTTCTTTTTCTTTTCCACTCTGGGGGAGGAGCAGTATTTGAAAGAGGGGTCATATCCTGGGGCTAAACTGGAGTAGAAGGTGCTGGATGCACTGTGGAGCTTAGTTCAGAGAAGGTGAATATTTCATCCTGTAAGATGAGTTCTAATCTTGTATTCCGCTCCCCAGACCTAGGCAAATGGCAGTGCAAGCCAAGCGTATCTCTGGTGCCTTTTATCTCCCTTTCCAAATTCCTCTTTATTACTGTCATGCTTCTTTTGATTATCTGATGCCTGTTATCCAACCCTGTGTGTCTCATGCAACAAAATGATCTCCTGCCCTTTTGCAAAAGGCCTGCAAACTCTTAATTCCCTGAGTACTGCTGTATTAGCCAAAGATTAACTAGTGCTGATGACAGAAGAGTTCAGCTCTCCAGGGCATACTTGGATTTAAAAAGAGCATTTTGAAAACTGTTGGAATGTTGAAAAAGGTACTCCTTCAAGCTGAGAGCTTTGTGGATCTCTTCCAGTCATGGCTGCCCTGGGCTATCCCTTCCTACCTTCACGGTAACTGATCTTCCAGGGGCTAGAGCACGAGGAGGCAGGATTGAGTAGTAACATATAAATATAGCCTGGTGGTTAAGAACATTGGTTTTGGTGTTAACAAAGCTGTAAGATTTAAATTATACTCTTCTTAAGGACCTTTTGAACTCTGATGCTTTTATAAACGATTTCTGCTCTAATTGAATGACCTTGAAGTGAGTTCATCACTGAGTCTCAATTTACTCATTTGAAAAATGGGAATAATGACATCAAATATAGTTGTTGTGAGGATTAAGTGTGCCACTCTCCTCAAAGATATTCACCTATTCATGGCACATAGAAAATGCTCGACAAAGAGTAGCAACGCTTAGGGACAGCTTTTATGGCTTGCAATCTGTACAGTTGCACAGGACACATCCACCAGGGGCTAGAGCACAAGGAGGCACGATTGAGTAATAACATGTAGACATATTGTGGTGGTTAAGGACACAGGCTTTGGCATTAACAGGTAAATGCAGCCAGAAAGTGGCAGAGCCAGAATCTGAATGTAAGTCTTTCTGATTCCAAAATTCAAGCTAGTAGGTTGACCAACAGTCCCAGTTTCCCGGGATGCAGGATTCTCAGCCCTGAAACTGGAAACACCTTGTGCAAACAGAAAGAGCTGGACACCCTACAAGCAGGATGCCTTCCATCCCAAGCATGTGAATTCTGTTTCTCCCCTAATTATATGACCTTGAAACGAGTTCATCATTTCCCTGCATTGGGTTAATGCCTTATTGTTATCGTCTTGAAATTCTTAATCATATTTGAACAATGTCCCTACAGATTATGTAGCCAGTCTTGCTACTACCGAGCTGCACTTGACCTCCCCGCACTCATCCTGGCCATACTTCATCCCTGTCCCTCTCCTTTCTACTGCCTGGTGCTTTGTCCCATTTCCTTGCCCCCAAGGCCTTAGGAGGGTGTAAAAAAAAAAAAAGATAAATTCCTCAGGGAAAAGATGTGATTTGGCTCACAGCATATGGAATATTCAAAGATAGACATCATCTGTTGCCCACATTTTTATGAGACTGACATGCTGCCTGTAGCATTGAGAAGGCACTGGTTGCCTACACTTTTAGAAGTCATTTATTAATGGCTTCCTAGGGCATGCCAACTCTAAAATCAAGCCACAAAAATGATACCAGGTAAAAATTGATCCTGTGAATAACTGTGACGGTGGCATTTGGGTGAAAGGTCTTGAAATGGGCTGTGTCTTTTCCCTCAACTTTCCTCACCCGCTTTTATCACACTCTCCCAGCCAGTGTCAGATTACTTCTCTTCTCATCTGTCTCATAAATAGTTCTGGCTTGAGTTATCCCCTACCGTGATGACATATGATTATTCAAAGAAAGATTTTATAGAAAATGCATTGTTTCTATTTGGAGTTGGGAGACTAGGGAAAGGTATAAAGCACGCCACAGGGGCACAGCCTTGATTGACTTTCTGTGCTCAGCTTAGCCGTTCAAGCCCGGGGTTGTGTCTGGGTAAAGCTGTTTGACTTTGGGTAAGTCCTTTAACAACCTGAGGTCCCAGTGTTCTTAACTTTCTACAGTTTTGTTCTAATCCAGCATTCTTGAACTAGCACATAAGCATAACTTGCTAAATAAGCACCACTTGCTAAATACAGGCTTAGTGACAAGGAAGTTATTTGGAAAATGAAAAGAGGGCAATTCTCCCATCAGGACTTGAGAAGCCTTGGAGTTTTCTTTCTTTATTGAAAAGACTCATGAGGCCTGTCCAAATCTCAAAGTTGCAGAGTGGAAAGTTTTGTAGTAAGCTTCATGGATGTGGGATCCTGGCTCAAGATCTGAACTCCTAGCTCAGCCCCTTAGTATTCATGAGGGCCTCTGCTAAGTAAAAGGAACCTATAGGCATATGGGACCCCACAGGCTGTATGTATGTTCTTAGCTGAGTATCAAAAAGGAAACTTCCATAAATGTTCTAAGACTGAGAGAGGCACAGCTGAGAAGCAAAGTTAGGGATGATTTTTTGGAAGCTTAGCCTGATTTTGCTCTGTGCATTATATAAATGTTAGCTGGAGTACAAAGAATGGAAAGCAAGAGGGCAAAGGTGGGAGGTGTTTGTAATTTGGGAAGTGCAAATGAGTACTTAGTTGTTGTTTTTTTTCCATTAAGTTTGCTGTTGATATAGTGAGACTTGTGACTATGTATCTTATGCATTTTAGTATCACAGAGACCTGTTTTACTTAATCTGAATAATCTGTTGGGTTTTTGGGCTGCTGACAGATTTCTCATCTTGAGATTTCACCTGTGATTTGTTCTAAAAGAACTTTGATACAGGGACTCTTTAAGTTAAAACTAATTCTGAGACCAAGAAGCTGTCCCAGCTCGTAATTCTTCTTACATGACAGGAGCCAAGCCATGTGGCCTTCTGAGGTTTCAGTATCATTAAAGTCCCGTGGAAACACCAAAGCCCACTGGCCCCACTTTTTGGTGCTTATACTGATGCTGCTGCTTCTGTCTTACAGGTCCTTACATCATGCCGAGCCTTCCTTGTAACAGCGCGAATCCCCACCAAGGTAAGTGTTGATGAAGTCCTTCCTTCTGCACTCACACTCACTCATACCCACTCATGCATAGTCACTCATGCATTCTTACATGTGTGCACACATATTCCTTCATATACTGCAACACAACACACACACACCTCACTTACATAGACTTTTGATTTAAGCTGTGTTCAGATTTCTCTTAGCACATTCAAGTTTTCCTTCCTTCTTCCCAGAAGCACCTAAAGGCTGTAATGAGAAACATATTTTTTACTCCTTTGTTCCCTCTCTTTGTGTAAAGGCATCCCAAGAAAATCAGTGAAGGATTTTGTGCTCTATGTCCCTAAGGCTCCATGTCCCAGTTATTTTTCTCTCTCAACTGGGGCTTGATTTCCACTTTATTCAAGTCTACTTCTTATTTCCTTCGGTGATCCGAAGTACTGGCAGATTTTTCTAAGACTTCAGACATGTGGGGAGTAACTTTCATAACTCCAAAGAATACACTACCAGAAATGTAACCATCTCAGCTGTTCTCCGTCTACTCTGATGTTGCCTGTAAGAAATAACAAGATGCCACTCTGTTCTTTAAAAGAGATATATAACATTTTTCATAAGATGTCCTTCATTACTTGGTGCAGAATTCGAACTGATCGTTTGTGGATTAATCATAATAATGACTTATTTTGTTTATGTTAACTAAAAGGAGTTTATCATTTTTATATGATATTGACTGAATGGTCATAGGAAATTGAGATCTTTTTCCTAAAAAGGTGATAACATTTACTGGAGTGTTGTTTTAGTAGATAACTTGATCCTTAACAGAATCTCATGAGAGCTATAAGTCTTATTATTATCCCCTTTATTGATGAGAAAACTGAGGCCCAAGGAGGTTCAGTAACTTGACCAAGGTTAAACTTCCACTAGTATGTGGCACATGTGTGATTCTAATCAAGGGAGGCTGGCTGCAAAGCCTCTGCTTCTGTTATTGCTAGAATCTAATAAGTTATTTACTAAGTATGTAAGGATACAGTCTCATTTAATTCTCACAGTAACATTGTAGATGAGTGATTAGAAAATAGCTAAAAGACAGACACTTCTCAAAAGAAGACATTTATGCAGCCAAAAAACACATGAAAAAATGCTCACCATCACTGGCCATCAGAGAAATGCAAATCAAAACCACAATGAGATACCATCTCACACCAGTTAGAATGGCAATCATTAAAAAGTCAGGAAACAACAGGTGCTGGAGAGGATGTGGAGAAATAGGAGCACTTTTACACTGTTGGTGGGACTGTAAACTAGTTCAACCACTGTGGAAGTCAGTGTGGTGATTCCTCAGGGATCTAGAACTAGAAATACCATTTGACCCAGCCATCGCATTACTGGGTATATACCCAAAGGACTATAAATCATGCTGCTATAAAGACAAATGCACACGTATGTTTATTGCGGCACTATTCACAATAGCAAAGACTTGGAACCAACCCAAATGTCCAACAATGATAGACTGGATTAAGAAAATGTGGCACATATACACCATGGAATACTACGCAGCCATAAAAGTGAGTTCATGTCCTTTGTAGGGACATGGATGAAATTGGAAATCATCATTCTCAGTAAACTATCACAAGGACAAAAAACCAAACACCGCATGTTCTCACTCATAGGTGGGAATTGAACAATGAGAACAGATGGACACAGGAAGGGGAACATCACACTCTGGGGACTGTTGTGGGGTGGGGGGAGGGGGGGAGGGATAGCATTAGGAGATATACCTAATGTAAATGACGAGTTAATGGGTGCAGCACACCAACATGGCACATGTATACATATGTAACTAACCTGCACATTGTGCACATGTACCCTAAAACTTAAAGTATAATAATAATAAAATAAAATAATAAAAAAGAAAATAGCTAAAAGATGTGAAGTTGGCTAGTCTAAAGATTCAAAAGTAATGAATGGGAGAAAGAGAAATTAGACTCACCATGTCCTACTTATTTAGACTTTTTACTGAGCTGAACTGCTTCCCCTACCTGCATATCCAGGAAAATGGGTAAGGTCTGGTAGATGCTTTCAGCCTTATCGTGCTATGATGTTTGGGCCGCAGTGTTATTTGCTCATTAGTCCTTTCTTGTTTCTTAAAATTTAACATTTAGCCACTGTTTTGTAAATTCTGACTTAGGTGCCAAGTTATGGCGCTATAATGTTATTGGTACAAATGAAATGGATCTTTTGGGACTTGCAGTCTCATGATTTGCACTGACTTTTGGGAAGATGCCAATGCAATGTTTGCTAGTTATAGGCTTAGGATATCTGTGGCCTTTCTTTTTTTTTTCCTCCCGATCATACAAATGTTAACTTTTATAAAGTTTCTCCAAGAAATGAGACTTTTGGCCCAAGCCCCTTTAGATAATATAAAATGAGCCTATATGTTTATTATGTTTTATAAATAAATTAGGTCAATGAAGTTGGACTAAACTATACGTTAAAATACCTGAAGGCATGATATGAGGACTTTAATTAGACATTATCCCACTGGTAAGATATTAATTACAGAAGGAAATTTTATGGGCTTAGGAAAATATTCAAGCACCCTATTGAATAGAAGATCCCTAAAAAATATGCATACCCTAACATGTTGTGACACAGTGGAAGTGTGTTACCTCTTGTGAAGTCACCTGCCTGCCTTCTGCTGGATGACTTTATATGACTTTATTCTGCCCCCTCCTTGCTCTGCCCCTGAGGAAAGGCTTGGCTCCGTCCTGTGATGTATATAATGTTTCACAGCCAGCCTGGCCAGGGTAGTTTGAACATTGGTTCTGATTTCTGATATTGTCAGCATCACAAATAAAGAAAGGCAGATTTTCTTCCAAAGTGATCTGCTTGCAGCTTTGCCGCTTTCCCCCTTAGAGAAGGCTGGTTTTCATGTGCCACCTTAAGTCTTGACTGAGAAGTAAAGCCAGTGTGAATGATACTAATTTTCTGGAGAAATAAGTATATTTATAACATTAGTGTAAAGCACTGACTATGACATAGATGTCTTTTCTTTGGAAGCTGATTAATTAAACATCTTTCTTTTGTCATTTTATTGTGAAATATACAACATATATAGTCAAATGCACAAAACGGACATGTGCATCTCAGTAATTAACTACGAAGCAAACACTTCTGCAGTCACACCCAGATAAAGAAATAGAACTGTGCCATCACCCCAGAAGGCCCTAACTTTTCTTTCGGGGGTTGGGTAATTATGAGATCAAAGAAGGGTTTGCGGAGAGGGCCAGTTGAAAAATCACCCATCAGCCGGGCAAATAAAGGGTTTTATACTGGCCAAAAGGCTTAGCAGTTTGGAAGACCACAGTGCATTTGGGGAGCTGGAGTGTGGGCTGAGGATTGTGGAGGAGGCGGTGGTGGGAGGGAAACAGCTCAGAAAGACGGACAGGGCCAAGGCCTGGCTGAGGAGCTGAAGCATAGACTGCTGCCTGGGGAAGAGCGGGAGTTACTGAAGAACAGGCTCCTTATCACTTTGAGATCTGCTCTGTTGCTTGTGGGATGGGCACTGTCTTGTGAGGGTTTGGGTGTGAGGTGAGCAAGAGATTGGTGGAAAAGCTATTGACAGTCTGGGTTAAGTTTTTCCTCTTATCTAATAATTCACTAATTTCTGTGGTGATATTTAATTAGTGTAATTTCTAACTGAAAAATGTCCTCAAGTCTTCATGCAGCCTACATCTGCCTCAGCTTCTTAACTGGTCTTCCTGCCTCTTCCTGCCCATAAATCTAATCCAGTGACATTCTTTAAACTGTCTTTGGGTGGGTTGGAGTAGAGTGGATGATGGGTTGCGGGGACCAGGAGCAAAGGCCTAATAAAAATAGCCATAGATGAGATAGGAGAGAATGATTTGAACCTTGCTGTGACGTCTTTCAGTATGTTTTAGAGACTTCCCTCCCCACTATTAATGATAACCTGGGACTTCAACTAATCACAGACTCAGCCAGTCATCCTTGTTGATTACTAATACTGCAGGATCTGCTCCTTTTAGTTTCTTCCTTGTCCTAGTTCTTTTAACACCTCGATGCCTTTGCGAATTCTTTTTCTTCTGCCTGAATTTCCCTCTACACTCCTTGTTTGCTTGAGGAACTTGAAGTCATTCTTCAGGGCCTAGATGAAATGTCACCACTCTTTCCTGGCTCCCCAGCACTTTGTTGTTCTACTCCAGGGACAGCACTCAGGTACAGTAGACGCATCTTAATTGACCTCCAACTAATCTTGCTGAGCCAAATTGACCAAAGGTGGCCATTCCTATCCCTGATGATGCTGACTGATGCTAGCTGCATTTTCATAGCTGTTAGCATGTAAGAGAGGGTACCTGCTCACACCTATTCACACCTGCTACCACCCACTGAATGAGATGCTCATTGAGGGTCATGGGTTTATTCCTAAACCTGTTTATAGCAGTTATAGTAGCAAATGTTTTTAATGCAACATTTTAGTGAAAGATATTTTATGTAGCAATAAAATATGAGTGCAAAAGAAGAGTGTCTGTGACATTGAATATTGATGAAAGTGAATTGCTTAAATTGCTGTTTTAAAGACTAGACAACTTTATAGTTGGGGGAGGGGTGGTGAGGAGCATAATAATCTAGAAAACGTCTGCTGTCATATTACTTTGCAAGTATTTTGCAGTTCTGCATTTTTAAAGAGACTTAAATTGGAAGCTGGAAGCCATACTTGTGAGTATGGCTTATGCAGAAAGGCCACTGGAGGGCCAGCCAGTGGGCTTAACTCAAAGAAAAACTTTGGCACAGTATTAAAGGGTAGTGAATGAATATTTATTCATAAACTTTAAATTAAAATAATGAAGGAAGGTATGTATACTTTTTAGAAAATAATTTCCTGCTTTAAATGACTTTTCAAAACCAAATTATGTATAGATCTTGATAATGATAGGCAAGAAAACTTCTACTCTAATTTAATGCTTTTAAACATGTGCCTTAAATGTTGCATTTAGCTCTTGGAGGACAAAACAAACGTCTCAGTACTCTTTGTATTTCCAATACTGGCACATAGTGGGCTTTTCATAAGTGTTTGTCAGTTGACCAAGTGAATAATGAATGAATGAGTTCTCTTTCTACTTCCAGAGCTCATCAGTATACTTCATGTTGTTTAACTGGAGATTCAGGGGTTTTCTGCCCAGTATTTACTTCCCTCCCCACTATTAATAATAACTTCATCAGTATACTTTGAGATGTTTAACTGGAGATTCAGCGTTTTTCTGCTCTAAAATTTATTCTACCAACGTATCATGGTACAACATACCACCAGGGAGCAGAACTAAATCTCTTGTGGGTTTGGTTCTGGATGTGTTTTTTTATCATTATATTTCTCGGTTTAATGTGGGAGGGTAAAAAAATTGATCCAACTTGGTCCCCCACTGTCTCTAGCTCCATGCTCTGTGATTATTTGCTGAAATGGGGAAAATCCGGGAAGAAAGATTAGTGGCTGTTTATCAGGAAAAACAGGTAGAGAGTGAAAGACTGGGGATATTTTAAAGAAAAAGAAACTGCTGATTACAGGAGAAGAGAGGGGCACTTGTTAAAATAGAGAGGAAACAAATCATCATTTATTTACATGCAGAGAGAGAGGACTTTTGTTTAACTCTGTGTATTTCATTTAAGCACAACTTAAAATTCCTAAATATTGTATTCGTGTAAATATGGATTTAATTAGGATAAGTATAGATTTATTTCTCTAAATCCATTCAAACTGTGCATTTTTATGGAAGACAGTAGAAGGACGGCTGACTCTGGTAAGTGGTCAGAGTGTAACAAATAGCTGAAGGTTTAGAAAGAAGGGAAAAACAACATTGACTTTATCCTGATAGGACTTTCTGAAGCAAAATTTTGAAGTGAAAAAGGGAAAAAAGTGTTTAGATGGTTCCTTCCATACATTCATTTCTCAATGAATAAATAGTGGTTAAGTGCAAAAACTTATTAGGTTCGTGCCAAAGTAATTGCGTTTTTTGCTATTACTTTTAATGGCAAAAACTGTGATTGCTTTTGCACCAACTTCTACTATTGTGTTTGTCTCTGGATATAATTTTAAAAGTTGTGCATGCAGCTTCCTTTCTTTTCTTTTTTAGTAAAGTAACACCTTTTCTGAAATTTGATAAATCATGTTTCTATCTTGTTGAATGAATGGAGATATTAAACCAGCCCGCCTTCAGAAGATGCCCAGTGTCTTATTTGCTCTTGGGCTGTTTCTAGTTGTAGGATTTTTTTTTTTTTTTTTACCTTAAGTTATATGTTTTTTTAAAACCCTCATTGCAGGTCTTTTCTTTCCTCCTTTCCCCTCAATTGCAGCTCGAGTTAACCTTCAGCTACTTGGAGATTCATGGCGTCGTTTGCAGCAAGTCAGCTCAGGTGAGTGTGAAAAATGGATCACTGCAAGATCATGATCTTTCTTGAATTCTTGAAACCCTAAAATGTTCCTTGAGACAATGTGGATAAACAAGGTTAGGGAAGATGAAATTTTTGAAATGAGAGACTCAACACTGGCTGTGTGGACAGGAGTTGGGAATTCATTCTGATAAGGAAAACACATTCTCCATAACTCAGTTTGTGAAGAACAAATTAGCTCTTATGATAACCGGCAGTGTAAACGTGAGAGTACTGTTCCTTATAGAGTTTGTACAACATGCTTTAACACTAAAATTGCATAGCAATTGTATAGTACTATATAAGGGCTTAGTGGGAATATAGTGATAAATGAATTTTTTGGATTTATTAAAATGCTGATTTAAAAAAATAGCTTTATTGGGCTATAACTAACTGCAGTAAACTAAAGTGTACAATTTGATAAGTGTTGACATATGTATGACTCTGTCTTCGCCCTCTTCCCCACCTGCAGTCAATCTGCAGGTATCTACTTTTGGTTGCTGTAGTTTGCATTTTAAAAATTTTATATGAATGATGTCATACAATGTATACTTCTTCCTGTCTGCCTTCTTTCAGTCAGTTTAATTATTATTATTTTAATTTTTAATTTTATTTTTAGTTCTGGGGTACATGTGCAGGGTGTGCCAGTTTGTTACCCAGGTAAATGTGTGCCATGGTGGTTTGCTGCACCTATCCATCCATCACCTAGGTATTAAGCCCAGCACGCATTAGCTATTTTTCTTAATACTCTCCCTCCCCCAACCCCAGTTTAATTATTTTGAGATTGATCTACTTTGTTGCATGTCTCAATAGTTTATTCTTTTTGTTGCTGAGTAGTGTTTAATTGTGTGGCTATATTACAGTTCGTTTATCCATTCGCCTGATGTGAGGGACATTTGGGTTGTTTCCCATCTTGGCTATGATGAATAAAGCTGCTATGAATATTTAAGTACAAGTTTTTGATTGGACCTGTACTTTCATTTCCCATGTGTAATTACCTAGGGGTAGAATGGCTGAATTGTATAGTAGCTATATGTTTAACTTTTTGAGAAACCGTCACACTTTTCCACAGTGGTTTTACTATTTTACATTGTCCCCAGCAGCATATGAGAGTTGTAGTCCCTCCACATCCTCCCCAACACTGGTATAGTCAGTCTTTTTAATGTTAGCCATTCAACAAGTATGTAGTGCTTTTTCATTGTGGTTTTAATTTGCATTTCCCTAATGACAGAACATGTGGAGTATCTTTTTATCTGTTTATTTGCCATCACGTATTTCCTTCTGCCATTACAGAAATTGGGCTGTTTGTTTTCTTATTGAATTTTGAGTTTTTAAAAAAATACATTCTGGATACAAAGCCTTTATCAGATATTTTCTCTCAGTCTGGTGGCTTGTCTTTTCATTCCCTTAACAGTGTCTTTCAAAGAGCAGAAGTTTTAAATGTTGATGAAGTCCAATTTATCAATGTTTTCTTTTATGGATTGTGCTTTTAGTATCATATTGAATAAATCTTTGCTTAACCCAAGGTCACAGAATGTTCTATATCTTCCAGAAGTTTTACAGCTTTAGGTTACACATGTAGGCCTATGATCCATTTTGAAGTAATTTTTGAATATAAAGCTATGTATAGATCAAAATTTTTTTTTAGTTTGTCTTTTTTTTCTCATATGTGTATTATATTCACTTGTTCCAGTAACATTTGTTTGAAAGACTATTGTTTCCTCACTGAGCTTGTTTTCACCTTTGTTGAAATTCTGTAGTCCGTTTAAGTGTGAATCTATTTCTGGACTCTGAATCCCGTCTCCTTGCTACTATCTTCATGCCACTCTTATACTCTCTTTATTATTGTGGCTTGTTTACAACAAAATTTGAAATCAGATAGTGTTAGTCCTCCAACGTTTTTCTTCTTTTTCAAAATTGTTCTAGTGATTCTAGGTCCTTTGCAATTCCGTATGAATTTTAGAAACACCTCAGTTTCTATAAAAAGCTTGCTGGAATTTTGGCTGATATTACAATGAATTTTTAAATCACTTTGGGGAAGAGCTGACATCTTAGTAATGTACAGTCTTCGGACCTAAGAAAACTATATATTTCTCCATTTGTTTAGGTCTTTTTCAGTTTTTCTGAGTGTATTTTGTTGTAGCTTTCAGCGTACTGGTCTTACATATGTCTAAATTCATTCCTAAGTGTTTAATATTTTTTGATGCTACTATAAATTGTGTTATTTTTTACATTTCAGTTTTCAGTTGTCTCTTGCTGGTATTAGAAATATAATTGATTTTTGCATATTGACCTTATATCCTGTAACCTGCTATCTTGTTCTACTCACGTATTAGTTCTAGTAGCTTTTAAAAATAGACTTCATCATTTTTTACAAAGATGATGTCATTTGTGAATATGGATGGGTACCTTTTATTTTTAACATGGGTGCCTTTTATTTCTTTGTCTAGTCTTATTGCTATTGGGAGATATTCCTCCATTGGTGGAGCAATTCCTACATATTTTGCTGGGTATGCCAGGAATTTAGGGCTGTGACTTCTCTTTGCCCAGGCTATTTCTCAGGGTTGATAGCAATGAGCATCTTGTGGGATGGTGGAATAGTTCCATTGAATAAAGAACAGGCTTGCTTACTTCTTACCATGAAAACAGTAGATTTCCAATGTCCAAGGGTTCCTTTCTTGTCAGCAGCCTACTGTGTGTGCAAGCATCCATCTGAAGCACCATATGGGACTTTGAGGGCAGGGGAATCTATCCAAATGTGGTACACATGCCTTTTGTTGTACCATGAATCATAAAATCCTATGTCTCTGACCCAGGCGTCTCCTGTCTTCTGCAGCATCAATGAAACATCTAATAGGCTAACTTACTGGCCTACAAGTAGGGTAAAAACTCAGAACTTGGCAATTGTTCTGGTACTTATAAGACAGTGCTGAATGGAAGTGGCAAGAGCAAATCTTCTTGTCTTTTTCCTAGTCTTTGAGGGAACGCATTCATTCTTTCACCATTAAGTGTGATGTTAGCTGTAGGTTTTTAAAATAGATGCCCTTTATCTGGTTTAAGAAGTTTCTTTCTATTTTTAGTTTGTTCAGAGTTTTAATCAGGAATTAGTGTTGGATTTTGGCAAATGTTTTTTCTCTGTCTGTTGAGATTATTGTGTGGTTTTCTTTCTTTTTTTAAGCTTCTTAAAATGATTAGTTATATTGATTAATTTTTTGAATATCAAATATTTGATTCCTGGGATAAGTCTCATTTGGCCATGATATATAATTATTATTATATATATATTTTTGAGACGGAGTCTCACTCTGTCACCAGGCTGGAGTGCAGTGGCACAATCTTGGCTCATTGCAACCTCTGCCTCCCGGGTTCAAATGATTCTCTTGCCTCAGCCTCCCGAATAGCTGGGACTACAAGCACGCGTCATGACATCCAGCTAATTTTTGTATTTTTAGTAGATATGGGGTTTCACCATGTTGGCCAGGATGGTCTCAATCTCCTGACCTTGTGATTCGCCTGCCTTAGCCTCCCAAAGTGTTGGGATTACAGGCCTGAGCCATGATATATTATTTTTTTAATGTTGAATTCCAAATATTAAAATTTTGTGAAGAGTGTTTTGCATTGATGTTTGTGGGAGTTATTGGTTTGTCTTTTTTTTTTTTTTTAACATTTTTGGCTGGCTTCTCTATTAGAGAATCATAGATTTATAGAATGATTCTATATATTTCTCCTATATAGAGGAGGAAGTAGTTCCTTCTCTTAAATTTTTTCTGTTGAGATGGTATTAATTTTTGTCTTAAATGTTTACTTAAATTTACTGGTGAAATTATTTGGGCCTTGAGTTTTCTCTTTGAGAAGGTTTTTTTTTTTTTTTCCAGACAGGGTCTCGCACTGTTGCTCAGGCAGGAGTGCAGGGGTGCAATCTCAGCTCATGGCAACCTTCGCTTCTCGGGACCAAGCGATCCTCTCACCTCATCCTCCCAAGTAGCTGGGACTACAGGCATGCACCACCATGCCTGGCTAATTTGTGTATTTTTTCCTAGAGACAGGGTTTCTCTGCATTGCCCAGGCTCGACTCGAACTTCTGAGCTCAAGCGATCCACCTCCCTCAGCCTCCCAAAGTACTGGGATTACAGGCATGAGCCACTGTGCCCAACCTGGGAAGGTTTTAAATTGCAAATTCTATTAATATTCCTTAATGATATAGATCCATTTATATTTCTTTTCTTGAATGAGCTTTGGTAGTTTGTGTCTTTTAAGAAATTTGTTTATTTTATGTAAGTTGTTGAATTTATTGGAATAAAGTTGTTAATAATATCCACTTGTTATACTTCTAATATCTGTAGAGTGTCATTCCCAATATTGGTAATTTGGTTATCTCTCTCTTTTTCCATTTCAGTCAGGTTAGAGGTCTACCAATTTTTTTTTATCTTTTCAAACAACTTTTTTTTTATTATTATACTTTAAGTTTTAGGGTACATGTGCACAATGTGCAGGTTAGTTACATATGTATACATGTGCCATGCTGGTGCGCTGCACCCACTAACTCGTCATTTAACAACTTTCTTTTTGGTTCCATTGGTTTTCTTTATTGATTTCATTGATTTTCTATTTCCTATTTCATCGACTTTTGCTCTGATCTTTGTTCTTTCCTTCTACTTTTTGTTTTAGCTTTTAAAACTACAAAGAAAGTGTGTGTGTGTGTGTGTGTGTGTTTGTGTGTATGTGGAGTTTGTTCATAATGTTCTTTAAAATTGTCAAAATTGTCACTATGTTTTTTGAGATTTCATACAAACTCTTGGAACTTTTCCACAGTTCATCTTAGAGCAATGTTTTATTTTATGTGTTTATCATTTTCCAGAAACTGGAGTTTGAAAGAAAAATCGCAGCAACATATGTTTGCCCAAATGGTCAAACATATGCAGGAGTGAATGATCACTCGTGAATGATGACATAATGACATAACAAGGGTCTTCTCGGTGGTCTTAATTCAGGAATGTTTATGTTTATGATTTGAGAGCTGGGATGGGAGCAGAAGGGCACTAGCGAAATGTTAATGCCAAGGTTATGTTCGAAATATGATTTCACTGTGCTATTTAATTATGAGAAAGAGTGTTGATGCAGCAAGACTAATTTTCCCATGTGGCTGCCAAAATTGGTCTTACCACACTTGTAGTCTTGCCCCTTTCAATATGCGTACCATTCAGAGGAACTGTGTATAAAGCCGTCTGTCTCAGCCCCTGTCAGTGTCAGTACCAAATGAATAGCTTTACAACAGTGCTTCAATTTAACTTTGACCCACAGTATGGACCTTTGAGATGAAATTATAGTGAACATTGGCACTGCTTCTGTAAATGGCCTAGCAATTCAGAGACTGGCAATACTAGTAACCTAATGGTATTCAAAATTTGCTGTGTTTTGGAACTGCCTGTGATTGTTTTTAAAAATATACTTTCAGCAGTACCCTTCTCTCTGTCACATCATACTTCCTCATTCTCCTCAAACACACACAATATATACTTAGGACAGTTACAGTTCTATACATCCGCGGTGGACGTTTGTTTTTTTAACAAGTGCACCATTTGATTCTGTTGCATTCCAAAGGTTAAGAACCAGTGAGCTGTGTAACCAGTGACCTCTAGTTTTGATTTTCTTTTATATAAAATCATGAGGATGGGAATATCTACCAGTGGCACTCAGAATCTAGCCTTGATTAGGAATTCTTTTGTAATGTTCTCTGGGATTTATTTTTTTCTCCTTGCTGTTCTTTATTATGATTTAATTATAGTTCATAAACTCAGATAAAATTCCTGAGACTTACCTACTGCATTGTGTTTAAGAGTGAGTGATTGCTCTATTGAGTTAGCGAAATGTGACTTTTACTATTGCTATTTTCCCCTTTCTTCAGAAATGTTGGAAACCTTTATCTTATTTTACCAGTCTCTATGCCACATTGTTTTCTGGTGCTCGAGTTTTATTGCCTTCATGGTATTTAAGTTGAGGCCAGCAGTTATACAGTTTTATAGTTATACAATTTTTGCACCTTTTTTTGTACAACTGAATACCTGCTATGATTTTTTCTTGAATTATAGGGTTAATTGTTTGCTATGTCACAGAATGATATTGATAAGCCATCTACCACACATGGATGGATAAGCCATCCACCACCACATATTTCTGACAGAGGAGAGAAAAACAACTCACAGGTCTGTTAGCTGGGGATTAGTAAAACGTGCTGCCCTTGAAGTTTAGTCAGGTTGTTCGACCTTAAAAAAAGGCGGTGGAGTGGGGTGGGAAATTTGAATCATACATAAGTTACTATGGCTTATATCTCTATTATTTTAAATGTATATTAGATATCATGGGTTATATCCTGCTAGGTGTCTAAAGAAAATGTGTTTCAAACATTCTGTTCCTCCCCAGCTGAAGTGGGAGGGAAAAGAGTATTTGATAGGAAGCTCTTTTTTTCTTTTTTGATGAGGTGACTTATTGTGTTGGTTTCACCTCCATCACTTTGTTGCAGTCTTTACATTATGCAAAGGTGGTGACATCTTACACAGGGTTGTGTGAGTGCTTGCTTGTAAGGTTGAATTGAAGGCCTCATTTCTTCCTCCACCTGTCACCATTTTTTCTTCTCTGTCATTCTATTCAATCCTGTGCAATTAAAGATGATTAGGTGTTAAGATTAAGTGGAATTAGAATAAGCTAATTACTAATTACTCGCACCCAAACTGTGAACTGAATAGATGTGCTAGATGTGAAGAATGTAAAAGTACCCCTGTAGTGAAAAATATAATTACCCATGGTGGGAAGGTTGGGAGTAGGGTGCAGAGCACAGACACAATGGCACATCAAAAGTGTCTGGCTTTTAAAAACATGCATATGCACAGATATGTGCATATGAAAAATATGAGCCTAATTTCACTAAGTAGATTTAGTCTTACTTAAAACATCTTATAGACTACTGGGTTGTTTAGCCTCCAGGTACAATAATGCTTGATGTCTTTTGCTAGAGGAATACCTCTTGAACCAGCTTTTAGAAGACAAATGGAGCCTTTGCCTAGAGAATTTTAAAGGCTTTGCCTTTCATTTCTTGAGGAATGCACTGAAAAATAGGAATTTTAATTTTTTTATGTACAACTAACTAGCACAGAAGTGGTATTTATCAAATACTCGTTGACAGATTCTTCTAGAGGTATTTATGAAAAAGTAACATCTGAAACACTTACATTATTTATATCCTTTTCTTTGATCTCATCATTTTGACATACCTTGCGTTACTTTTCATTTTGACATACATATGTTGAAATACTTACATTATTATTATTTTCAGTTTGGGCTAATTTCAGGAAAATGTAAGGCAAAATCTAAAAACTGCATTGCACATTATAAAGTGTTCTCCATCATATTTTTGTATAGATAAAGTAAGAACAGGAAGTAAACGTGTGCAGATATTTTGAAGAAGTGATAATCTAAGAGGATTGCATTTTATGGGAATTTTTTGGGGGGTAGGAAGATGGGGTTTTGCTATGTTGCCTGGGCTGGTCTTGAACTCCTAGGCTCAAGCAATCGTCCTGCCTCAGCCTCCTGAGTTTACGGGGTTATAGGCATGCACCACCACACCCAGTTTACATGAATGTTTTTGAGATTAAAGAAAATGGCATCTTTTATTTTTAGGTAGTTGAAGTTCTTCTTATTTGTAATGTGTACATCTTCAGCTTCTTGCCCCTTTTGTGACCGACCTGTCCTCCTTTTCACAAGTTAGTTTGTACTTATTTAGAGGACTAGCTGTCTCAGTCTCAACATTTTTTGACATGTTTTGGACATCTCCAGCAATTAATTATAGGAATGAGTCTTAGTCTAACACTAAACCTAACACCAAACATTTTATTAACGTGTTACCTTAATATTCCAAGTATCCCCTCTTCTTAGAAAGCTCAAAACCATTTTTTTTTTTTTTTTTTTTTTTTTAGACGGAGTCTTGCTCTGTCATCAGGCTGGAGTGCAGTGGCACGATCTCGGCTCCCTGCAACCTCCGCCTCCTGGGTTCAAGCGAATCTCGTGCCTCAGCCTCCTGAGTAGCTGGGATTACATGGGATTACAGGCATGCATTACCACACCTAGCTAATTTTTGTATTTTTGTATTTTTTTTTCTTTTTAGTAGAGACAGGGTTTCACCATGTTGGCCAGGATGGTCTCAATCTCTTGACCTTGTGATCCGCCTGCCTTGGCCTCCCAAAGTGCTGGGATTACAGGCATGAGCCACTGTGCCCTGCCGATCGAAACTTTTAAAAGCATTTCTCTTTTGCTCCCAAGCAAAAGGTTTTAACATTTTATTTAAGCATATGATAAGGTTTCTTGTCTTTAAAATGTGTGTGTGTGTATTTTAAAGGTAGCTTTTAGATTGCCTATGGGTACCCACAGAAAGATATAGCCATACTTACACTACATAGCAGGGATATAAAAACTTTGTAAGACTGCAGCTCAGGACAAAATCTTGGTAAAAGGAGAAGTCGTGTTTGAATGTGGGAGTTCAGTCTCTATCATATGGGAGTCTATTTGAATCTGCCAGCTTGGCCCTTGGAAACACTTACTTCAGTTTCTAGACGTTTCTGACAATACTTCCACCCTCTACCCAAACACTTCTTTGAGTCTTAAATTAAGTGCATTATTTTAAGAAAGTGCTTCTTTAAAAGCTAATATTGTGATCCTTTTGTAGTTCATGAGGGTGATGGTTGGGTGTTCACGCACGTATGTGAGATGTGCTACCCTCGAACCTTGTTAAAGAAAAAAAAAGCTAATATTGTATTAGTATATATCTGTGTGACTATGTAGTTTACAATATTTAAAATAATTAAAAACGGAAGGAATTGGACTCATTCTTAAGAAGTGTCCCACCGGTTCTTGCAGATGATTGTGGAAACTGAGAAGTGCAGCATTTCCATGAAGATGGCGTCACCCGAGGACGTGAGTGAGGTGCTGGCTCACATAGGCACCTGCCTGAGGAAGATATTTCCTGGCCTCTCTCCAGTGTGAGTTTCCCTGGGCAGGGTGAGGAGAGCAAAGAACCTGTTCTTCCTCAAAACGGCAAATACAACAATGCCTTCTTTTTACCCCTTCACTTAGTTCCTCTCTCAGACTTCCTTCTCCTCTTAAATATTAAATATCAAAACCCTTATCAAAACCCTTGTGTTTTGGTCTGAGGATTTCTACAGGGCTGTGTCTTATTCTTTAAAGAGCTTGAGTGATGAAAGGATTTGGCAGTCCTTTAACTTCTCATAAGACTAAAACAGTAACCTTTTTAATATAACTCCAGATTTACAGGAGTGTGAATATTACTCACAGCTTATTACCAGAGTGCCAGGGGCTGCATGCTTTGTATAGTGGCACCAAGTATAATGCAGATGAAGAGAGAGACAGTGCTTTATTTTCTTTGCTTTTTTATTTTCAGGAACAAGAAACCTAAAAAAATTGAATGTAAAAATCCCTTTTTTTCATTGTCCTGTTAGTGTTCTGAAATACCCATTAGGCATATTAGTAAATTTCGTTCATCCATGCCCTCATATTTTTTGTTAAGCTTTTAAAGTCAGGATTATGGGCTTGGATACCTGAGTTTGTAGTTGGGGAGTGTGTGGGTTGTTGGGATGGAGGAATTAGATTGACTGAGGTGAAAGGCAAAGAGATGCTTATGTCTGAAAGCTCCCTAAAATAATAGGTATAGTCAAAATACCCTCCTGATAGAAGAACAGGATTCACAGATGGCAGAAAATTTCCCTCCCATTGCTCTCCCAGCAGGCAGAAGTGTATACAGGGAAGGGCTGGAGGCCCCACATAGACATGTGTAGCATGCTAGCTGTGTTCCTTGCGTGGTGGAGGTGGGAGGGGGATTTTGGGAACAGTTGCCCTTCATAAAACATGCTCCTCCTGCAATGCCTTGCCTGCAAGTTGAGAGACAAAGCAGCAGGAAAACCTAGGCTTCTAGTCATTTAAACCTTATGGATGACTAAAAGTGGCTCAGTGGGGACAGACACTCCCTTTCAAGCTCTTTGGCCTTAAGAGGCCTGCTCAGTTCCCTTCACAGCCCTTCGCAGGGCTCTCTCCCTTCCCCCCATGGTGGGAGGTGGACACACCAGAATGGAAGGCTTGCCCTGTGCTTGCTGGTTGTTCACCTTGGGCTCCTTCCTCCCTGAAGCTTAAGTCTTGTGGTTCTCTGATTATCAGGGTAGCTGGTTGCCGGGGGAGCTAAGTGTCCCTGGCCTCCATTTCAGTGGAGTGGAGAGGGTGAGCTGGGGCTGCCCTCTGACTCCTGCTTGGCTAGAATTTCAGGTATGAGGTGTCTTCAAGGCAAGCTTTCCTGGTCTCTAATCACACACACAGGCGGTTCTGGAGAAGAGGTGTGGGCAGCAGTGGGTGGTTGGATGAGGTAAGAAGTGAAT
Source organism: Homo sapiens (assembly GCF_000001405.40). NCBI lineage: Eukaryota > Metazoa > Chordata > Mammalia > Primates > Hominidae > Homo > Homo sapiens. The sequence continues at coordinate 25,437,009 of NC_000006.12, forward strand.
CCATGGTGGCAATGGGAATTGCCAAGAAGCAAAACCTTAGGAATGGGTTCGACATCATCCTTAAAGCCACCAGAGAACTAGCTGGGGTAATCATGAGTTAACAATAGCTACAACCCATCTTCCTTAAACTACATTTCAGTAATGCGACTTTGTACATGTGTTTCTTTATAATGTGCTCGCTTTCCTTCTAAATTAATACTGATGAAATAAAAAAATTATTAAGCACCGCCTTACTTGGCAAGAGCTTATAATACCCTGAACTTTAAAGACACTTCAGAGCAATATCTAGAATCTCTATTTTCTTTAAAAGGCAGCCTTATTTGTTTAGTATTGTAGGATTTTCAGAGAAACTAACCATTTTTATTTTTGGTTTGGATTCTTCCATTTTTTTCTTCCCAGAGAACATTGAGTAAGAATAGTATTTTCACTTATAGCTTCCATTTAACTTCTTGTTAAAATCTTCGGGCAATTATTAAACCAGTATTAATCACCTCTGTTTCTAGGAAGAAAGTTCCCATGTATATGTTGATTTCTAAATCTGTGACCTCTGCTGTACCCAGGTCTTCGTCCCCACCTACCAGCTGCCCAATAGGGCATCTCTACAAGGACAGCCCCAGGCACCTCACACTCAGTATGTCCCACACTGGACTCCTCACTTTCCCCCCTAAAAATTGCTTATATTCTGTATTTCTGTCTCAATTAATGGCATTGTTGTTCACATAGTCTCACAAGTTAAAAGCTGAGCCGTGCTCATCTCTTGGTCCTTACTGTCATATTCAATTGGTTGCTAAGCTTTTAAAAATATTATCTTAATATCTCGTGGTCTGGTTCTTTCTCCTTGTTTTCATTTCCACTGCCATAGTCACTTTCTCCCTTGCATCTTTCTAGTTAGTCTCCCTGCTTCTAGTTCTTCTCTTGCAAGTGATCCTTCATACTGTCATCCGAGTTATCTTTTCATAATTCAAACAGTATCTGTTCTTTGCCTAAGCTCTCAAATGGCTGGCTTTCCTGATAAAATGTAAATTGTATAGCCTGACACAGAATACCACTGTTTTCCTGTTCCTGAACACAATCAGGCTCTCTCATATTTTCAGCACCATTATAATAGCTCTAATCCTGACAAATTCCAAAAGATTTAACTCAGGTATCTTCTCATCTGTAAAGAGAGTCTTTATTCATGTTTCCAAAGAACTTTGGATCACTTCCTGCACTAGTACACATCATACTGTGTTGTAAGTGCTTGTTCATACACTTATATATTCCATGACTATTTATTGATTTTCTACTATATGCTAGGCATAGTGCTAAGTGTTGAGGTCCAGCAGTGAACATGGTCCCTGCCCACGTGGAACTTACATTTTAACTTGGGGAAAGAAACCCCCCAAAGAGGGAAATACATAAATCAAGTAACAGTACCTTTGAGTAAGTGCTGTGAGAGAAATAGATGGGACTCGTATAAAGAATAAACTTCTGTCTCCAAAGGCCTCCCTGTGGCCATGATAACTTCAACAGACCTAGGGGAAGAGAAGGCGCCTGCCCTATAAGAGTAGGGCAAAGAATATCATCTTCCCAGGGCTTCTGTTCATGCTATTTCTCTTGCCTAGAAAGGGCTTGGTATCTCTGAGAAACTGAAAGATATCCACTTTGGCTGGGGTATAATGAAGAACAAAGATGGGAAGGGATGAGGAATGATTCAAGAGGGGGCTGGAACCAGCCCTGGTGATGTAGATGTAGTTGATGTAGAGCCTCGTGGGAAAGAGGTTGGGATTTAGTAGTATTTTCCTGGGAAGCCACTGTAACATTTTAGGGGTGGGAGATAAATCTTTAGATAGTTTATGAAAATCTTTTTTTTTTTTTGTCTGCTAAAGAGAATGGACTGGTGGCAGAGCAAGAATAGAAGTAGAAAGCTAATTTGGACACTTGTAGTAATCTAGGCAAGAGATGACTGTGGTCAGGAGAAAGGTAGCAGCATTAGGTATTAAGAGAGAGGGTAGATGTAAGCTTTATTTTGGATGCAGGAGTTGCTGATGGATTAGGTAAGTGTGGGTAAGGGCAGTGAGGAAAGAAAGAGAAGAAAAACAAGGATGGCTCCTCAGAGTCCGGTTTTAATAACTTGGTGACCAATATGACAGCAAGACAGAGAAGGCCTGGGGTAGGTGGGGGACAAGTATTTTCTGGGGGGTGGGATCTGTAGCCATTCTGTTTTAGGCATGTGGAATTTGAGATCTATTTGTCTAGGACCTACAAGACCTCCATAGACCTCTCCTCCAAGCTCCACTAGGTGAGGCTATCAGGTAGGCAGATTTGTGAGGCTGGGGCTTGGAGGAGAGGTCTGGAGTTGGAGCAAAGGTGAGTGCCATTGAGCACAAGATGGTCTTCACTGCATGGCTGTTGATAACATCACCTGGAGAAAGATGTGTAGAGGAGGCATACTTGGAATGAGCTCAACACTTAGAGGTCAGGTAAACTAGGAAGAGCCACAAATGGAGTTGGGTAAGGACTGGCTGTCAAGGTAGGAGGAAAACCAGTGAAAAACCAGGGCCTGGGAAGGAGTGCTGACTCTGCAGAATGATGCTGGGGCTGAATAAGCTGCAGGCAGAGAGGTGTCCAGTGTTGGTGACGTGGATAACATAGGCACCTTGATGAGAGCAGGTCTAGGGGTCTGGTTGGGAGGGCAGACTGCTGTGGTTGAGGGATGAACTCAGAAGTGAGAAAATGGATGTGGCATATGTGGACAACTTCATAGAGAAGATCAGCTATTAAGGGGAACTGACAAATTGGATGTAGCTAGCGCACTCTGAGGGATTACGGGGGATTTCTGTTTGTGTTTAAAATGGGAGATAAAAGCATATGCTTAAACCATATGGCTGTAATGAGGGGAGTGATCAGTAGAAAGAGAGATTTGTTGCTGGAGACTGCCCTAATAAATAAATCAGCAATATCCTTGAGAAAGTGAGAGGCAAAGTACAAAACATACCTGTCTTTCCTTCTAGGCTGGGAGCTGCTTAAACAAAGACCATGTTTTTATTAATCTTAAATCCCTAGTTCTTGGCACATAGTAGGTACTGACTGAGGTTTTGGATGAGCACATACACTTCACACTTAATCCATTTCCAGTACCTTGTTGGGTGATGTACCATGGGGCATAGAGAAGTCAGAAGACAGTGGCCCTGCCTTCAAACCATGAACTCATTAGCTGAGGTAACCTGAAGCAGATGAGACAGGAGATGATTGGGTGTAAGTGGGAGATGAATGAGCACAGGCTGGCTTTGCAGAGGAGATTTACTGCAAACGGATGGAGAAAATTCAGAGGAGAGAGTAGTGAAAGGAAAGGCAATTCACATGAAGAGACCAATTGGAGAGAAGGTGCAGATTATAATTTAGAAAATGCCTTGGCAGAGAGTTAAATTACCTAAATGTATTTGACTTGCATTCCTCTTTTCTACCCAACACACACAGTTAGCTTGTCTCGATAAGCCTAATATTTTGTGGTTTCTATGTTGTGCCTTTACTCTTGAAGTTCCTTAGATTGCATTATATGATTTTGGGAGGGGAAACGTACAATTTTATTGGTATTGGTTGTGTGACTAGAGAGGGTGGAGAAGTTGGTAACCGTATCTTTTCTCCTACATTCCCAGTATGCCTTAAGTCAAAGCTATCAGTCAGGGGAATATTTGTTTATATAAATAATGCACAATAGAACATGCAAAATAAAATATGTTTCCAGTAATGTCATATATTCCACTCATGATAAATTGGAGAATATGAAACTATATTTAGAATCCTTAGACCTTGTATGACTCATTTGTCCCATCAAATTTATTTTCTGAGCCTGTCTTGGGGGTCCTCATCTCCTTCCTTGCTTAGGGTACCTCTGGTGGTGACTGATGAACAGAAAAGGGTCTCATGAGGAGGTATTAGGAACCAGGTGAATCAGGAGGAGTTAGATCCTGGAAAATTCTCAGTTTGGGTAATCAGTTCTTGAATACTCTACGTATGACTCTATATAAATGAACCTATACCTCCAAAGATCTGAATTTCTGATTTTACCCATATACAATTCTGAAAATAACATCCATCATTCAAATCAAATATATGAAAATATACAGCCTGGGCAACATAGTGAGACCTCATTTCTACTAAGAAATTTTAAAAATTAGCTGGGTGTGGTGGTATATGCTTGTATTCCCAACTAATGGGAGGATCACTTGAGCCCAGGAGTTTGAACTTGCAGTGAGCTATGCTCACACCACTACACTCCAGCCTGGGTGACAGAGTAAGACCACATCTCAAAACAAACAAACAAACAAACATATATATATATATATATGTGTGTGTGTGTGTGTGTGTGTGTGTGTGTGTGTCTATGTGTGTGTGTGTGTATGTATATGTAATCAGCTCTTAAGAGAATGCAGGTTGGAAAAAAATGAAGGATTTAAATTAAAATTTGTAGTATTTACATGTCATATTTTCTTCCCATCTCCTGTCTCCAAATATATGTTAGGATATTTCTCTCTCCCTCTCTCCTTCCCTTCTAAAATGACATTTTCTCCTCATTAAATATGGAAAGTTTAATTCAAAATATAGAGAACATCTGTAAAGAAGAAAATTTAAGTTAAATTTAAAAATCACCCCAACTCAAATCACTGTTATCGTGTGTTTTGTTAACATTCCAATCTTTGCTATAGACTGTCCTTGGAGGCCTCACCTCTCAGACAGTGACAACCCTATGGGGTGAACTAGGGAAGGGTTTAGAGCTTCAGTGTTGTCATCTGTTTTCTCAGGGTTGTCTGTGATGGCAGTTCTCTTCAGGAAGTCATTCTGTGTTACGGCCTTCAGCTTTTCTACTATCAAGAACCTTGGCTGGTCTCCAAAACAAAGCTAGATTTTTTTTTTTTAGTATTAAATGATATTGTTAATACAGGTATGAGGTATGAAAATGTGAGGTTATTATGGAGAAAGCTGATGAAATAGGAGTTTATATATAAACAAGAGAAAGGTGGTTGCTGTGTTTTGGTAGTCTCTTCACTTTGCAAAGCAGTAGGTAGCCTTTTGTTGTGGTGTGGCTTGCAGCATTAAAGCATGTGCTATTCTGGAGACAGCTGCCATGTTGCATAGGCTGAGCATTGGAATTGAATTTTAAAGAAATCAATTAGTGTGAGTACATTAAAATAATCTATAATTTTTTTGTGTCAATAGTTTATCATGAGATTTGCATGGACAAAGAGTTGGTGTGTTTGTCATCTAGTTTGCTGTTTCTTGCTGCCACATAGAACTATTTTCTGAGTCTTGTGCAATTTAAATGCATATAATGCAAATGCTGAATCAACGCTAGTGCTGCCTGCATGTGAGAGACATGTCTTGCTTATGTTTTGTTTTAGGATTTTGGTTTACCTTTTATGGTACTTATTGGACAACAAATCCTCTGTCTTTCTGTCTATTTAACAGTGTGTGTGTGTATGTGTGTGTGTGTGTGTATGTGTGTGTGAGCTGGTGCCCGGTAACAAATACACTGATGGGGCTCCTTGCTCTCATTTCACTACAGGCGGAAAACAACTTCTGTAGAGTGGATTCTCCTCTCACTTATTATTTCTGTGCACAGTGTTAGCATAGATAAGAAACAGTTCCTACCTTCTGGAAATTTAGTTTTTACAACTTTATCTCTTATGGAAATGAATGAACTTGTTTCATGAGACTACTTTAGCTCCTGAAATCTCAGTTGAAAAAGAAAAATGAGAACTGTAAAGAAGCGGAGCTACTTGAAAAGGCCCCGCTGGACACGTCTGCAGGTTGGTTCGCACAGATGTCTCCCCTAGCTGCTGCCTCCTTTACTCTCTGATTGATTTCCCCTTAACCCTGAGTGTGAATGTCCACTTTTGTTTTTCGAGTAAAACTGAGGCTCTGGTTTCCAAATCTACCATCAAGATTAATTTATTTCTTTCTGTAGTTGTAGACTGTCAGCTTCCTGTTTTTAATCCCACCAGCTTCCGGTCAAAGATTTTTGCCATATTTTCTTCCTGTGTTTGAGTAGCTGAACCCCCTATGTATCATCAAAAGAGCATGGCCTGCAGTTTTATGGAAACAAAGCAAGAATTTTAAAAGAGAAATGTGATCCTAGATGAGGTCAGACAGAAGTCCAGCTTTCTGTGTCCAAGGTTTACCTAATTGAGTTGAATAATGGCTGTGCCTACTTCTGACAGCCTTGCTGTTTCTTTGCATAATATCTGCTTCATTGTCTTGATGTAGACAGAATATAATGCCATTAAAATGCCAGATGATGGTTTTGAACCAAGATGAACCATTCCAAATTGCCAGATTCTGTAATATCATTTTAATTATAATGTCTTCTCAAACATGGTTACCCCGAAGTATTAAAATAATGGTTCTTAATTACAGGTTCCTTTGGGTAAAATAGACAAAAATCATGCTGCACTTGTAGATCTTGTGCATTTACACGGAATTTGAAGAAATTAATGACATCTGACATGTATTAGGTAAACAGGCATACCTTGGAGGTACTATGGGTTTGGTTCCAGACCATTGCAATAAAGTGAGTCAAGAACTTTTTGGTTTCTCAGTGCATATAAAAGTTACGTTTACTAAAGTATGCAATAGCATTATGTCTAGAAGAATATATATACCTTAAAAATACTTTGTTGCTAAAAAATGCTAACAGTCACCTGAGCCTTCAGTGAATTGTAATGTTTTTGCTGGAGAAGGTTTTGCTTGTGTGGAAGCTGATGGCTGCTGTGACTATCAGGGTGGTGGTTGCTAAGAGTTGGGGTGGCTATGGCAATTTCTTTTTTTTTTTTGAGATGGAGTTTTGCTCTTGTTGCTCAGGCTAGAGTGCAATGGCACGATCTCGGCTCACTGCAACCTCTGCCTCCTGGGTTCAAGCCATTCTCTGGCCTCAGCCTCCGGAGTAGCTGGGATTACAGGCATGCACCACCACGCCCGAATAATTTTGTGTTTTTAGTAGAGATGGGGTTTCTCCATGTTGGTCAGGCTGCTCTCGAACTCCCGACCTCAGGTGATCCGCCTGCCTCAGCCTTCCAAAGTGCTGGGATTACAGGCATGAGCCACTGCGCCTGGACTTACAATTTCTTAAAATAAGACAACAGTGAGGTTTACCACATCAATTGACCCTTTCTTTCATGAGTGATTTCTCTGTGGCATGCAATGCTGTTTGATAGCATTTTACTCACAGTAGAACTTGTTTTAAAATTGGAGTCAATTGTCTTCAGCCCTCCCACTGCTTTATCAGGTAAGTTTACGAAATATTCTAAATCATTTGTTATGACTCAAGGGACATTAAAAAAAAAAGAAAAACAATCTTTTATTGTCATTTCAACCAGGTTCACAGTGTCTTTTTTTTTTAAATTATATTTTAAGTTCTAGGGTACATGTGCACAACATGCAGGTTTGATACAAAGGTATACATGTGCCATGCTGGTTTGCTACACCCATCAACTCATCATTTACATTAGGTATTTCTCCTAATACTATCCCTCCCCCAGCCCCCACCGCCCGACAGGCCCCGGTTTGTGATGTTCCCTGCCCTGTGTCCAAGTGATCTCATTGTTCAATTCCCACCTTTGAGTGAGAAGATGCGGTGTTTGGTTTTCTGTCCTTGTGATAGTTTGCTGAGAATGATGGTTTCCAGCCTCATCCATGTCCCTGCAAAGGACATGAATTCATCCTTTTTTATGGCAGCATAGTATTCCATGGAGTATATGCACTACATTTTCTTAATCCAGTCTATCATTGATGGACATCTGGTATGGTTCCAAGTCTTTGCTATTGTGAATAGTGCTGCAATAAACATACATGTGCATGTGTCTTTATAGTAGCAGGATTTATAATCCTTTGGGTATATACCCAGTAATGGGATTGCTGGGTCAAATGGTAATTCTAGTTCTAGATCCTTGAGGAATCGCCACACTGTCTTCCACAATGGTTGAACTACTTTACACTCCCACCAACAGTGTAAAAGTGTTCCTATTTCTCCACATCCTCTCCAGCATCTGTTGTTCCCTGACTTTTTAATGATTGCCATTCTAACTGGCGTGAGATGGTATCTCATTGTGGTTTTGCCTTGCATTTCTCTGATGACCAGCATGTTCACAGTATCTTTATCAGAAGTAGATTCCATCTCAAGAAACTTCTTTCTTTGCTCATCCATAAGAAGCAACTTCTCATTTGTTAAAAGTTTTTTCGTGGATTACAACAATTCATTCACATTTTCAGGCTCCACTTTTAATTCTAATTCTATTGCTGTTTTCACCATATCTGCAGTTACTTCCTCCACTAAACTCTTATACCCTTCAAGGTCATCCATGAGGTTTGGAATCAACTTTTTTGGAACTCCTGTTGATGTTGATATTTTGACCTCTTCCCGTGAGTCATGAATGTTCTCAATGGCATCTATGATGGTGATTTTTTTCTGAAGGTTTTCAATTTACTTTGCCCAGATGCATCAGAGGAATCACTATCTATGGCTGCTTATATTGCCTTACAAAATATATTTCTTTTTTTTTTTTTTTTGAGTTGTTGTCTTGCTCAGTTACCCAGGCTGGAGTGCAGTGGCGTGATCTCGGCTCACTGCAAGCTCCGCCTCCCAGGTTCATGCCATTCTCCTGTCTCAGCCTTCCGAGTAACTGGGACTACAGGTGCCCGCCACCAGGTCCGGCTAATTTTTTTTTTGTATTTTTAGTAGAGATGGGGTTTCACCATGTTAGCCGGGATGGTCTCGATCTCCTGACCTCGTGATCCACACGCCTCGGCTGGGATTACAGACACAAAATATATTTCTTAATAAGACTTGAAAGTCAAACCTATTCCTGGATCCATGGGCTGCAGAATGGATATTGAATTAGTAGGCATGAAAACAACATGGATTTTTTTGTACTTCTCCATCAGAACTCTTGTGTGGCCAGGTGCATTGTTAATGAGCAGTAACATTTTGACAGGAATCTCTTTTTCTGAGCAGTAGGTCTCAACAGTGGGCTTAAAATATTCAGTAAACCATTCTGTAAATAGATCTGCTATCACCCAGGCTTTCTTGTTCTATTGTGGAGTGCAAGCAGGGAGATTTAGCATCATTCTTAAGGGCCTTGGGTTTTTGGAATGGAACATCAGCACTGATTGGCCTCAACTTAGAGTCACCAGCTGCATTAGCCACTAACAAGAGAGGCAGCCTGTCCTTTGAAGCTTTGAAGCCTGCCATTGACTTCTCCCTAGCTAAGAAAGTGCTAGATGACATCTTCTTCCAGTAGGAGGCTCTTTCATCTACATTGAAAATCAGTTGTTTAGTGTAGCCATCTTCATCAATGATCTTAACTATATCTTCTGGATAACTTGCTTCAGCTTCTTCATCAGCACTTGCTCCTTCATCTTGTACTTTTACGTTATGGAGACAACTTTCCTTAAACCTCATGAACCAACGTTTGGTAGCTTCCAACTTCAGCTTCCTCCCCTCTCTCAGCCTTGATAGAATTGAAGAGAGTTAAAGCCTTGTTCTGGATTAGGCTTTGGCATAGGGAATGTTTCATTCCAGACCACTAAAACTTTCTGCATCTCAGGGATAAAGTTGTTTCACTTTCTCATCATTCACATGTTCATGGAAGTAGCGCTTTTAACTTCCTTCAATAACTTTTCCTTTGCATTTGCAATTTTGCTAATTTTTTTGTTGCAAAAGGCCTAATTTTTAGCCTGTCTTGGCTTTCCATGTGCCTTTCTCACTAAGCTTGTTTCTAGCTTTTGATTTAAAATGAGAGATGTGCGACTATTCCTTTTACTTGAACACTTAGAGGCCATTGCAGGGTTATTAATTGGCCTAATTTCAATATTGTTGTGTCTCAAGTAATGGGCTTGGTGAAAGGGAGAGACAGAGAGGAATGGTTGTCAGTGGAGCAGTGAGATCACACACACTTTTAAGTAGCTAAGTTTGCTGTCTTATATGGGTGTGATTCATGGTCCCCCAAAATAGTTACAATAGTAACATCAAAGATCACTGATCACGTCACCAAAACAGATATTATAATAATGAGGAAGTTTGAGATATTGTGAGAATTACCAGAATGTGGCACAGAGACAGGAAGTGAGCACATGCTGTTGGAAAAATGGCACTGATAGATTTGCTTAATGCAAGGTTGCCACAAAGCTTCAATTGGCAAAAAATGCAATACCTGTGAGTATAATACAATAAAATGAGGTATGTCGGAACCTGATTATGTCTTAGTCATAAAACTTACAAAGAAGTAGGAGGAATATTTTCCATGCCAACAGAATGTATTTAAATGATTTGATATGTATTTGAGGTTTTCTCTAGGAGTAGAACAACCCAACCAGGCAACCTCCCAGGCCCTAGCATATTTTATCTGGAATACATCCATTCAATCAGAAAATGTAAATAACTGGGAACATTTTCTTCCAGTCTCTGCAAGGTGATGGAAATTCATAAGAATGACTGAGAGCATTGTATGTAGCAGAGTGCCTTGAAATCATTAAAGATGAAACTATATTCAATACAAGTTAATATATTTATTTCACCACCTCTCACCCACGTCCTGTCATGGTACTGGGTGACTGACACCCTGACACCCTTCCTCACAGCTCATGACCTCTTCACCTCTACCCTACTTCCACTTGCTTTTGTGGCCACATGACCTTGTCATCTCCTGGAACAGCTTATTCCATGGTGAAAAAACAGCCCTCCCCCTCTGACTACAGCCTTTCACTTCCTCTCCCCTGGAAGTACCAGTATTTGGACTTTTTCAAGGCCTCCAGACTGGGGGTGGCTTGGCTTTCTCTTCTTCTGCCACCCCCATCCTGCCTTCCTGTCCATTCTTAACTGCTCAGCCCACAACATCCATGACTTCACCTAGGCCTTGTCAGTATCCTCTGCTCCTTCTGTCCACACTGTTTTTCTGACACACCCACCTGGAAATCCTGCATCCTGCAGCAAGCCAGCTGCCCACCTCTCCATATACATTTTGGCTGCTGAGGGCTGCAGGAGGAAATCCCACAGCTATTTAGCCCTGAACCACCAAGAATCCATGATCTTCACTCTCAGCTGGACTCTTAACAGTCCTGGAAAGTTCTTTTTTATTTTTCAAGCTATGTTTTCTATTTCTCAATTTTGTAGAAAATTGAGAGCAAATACCTACACAGGCAGATATTTGTTCACAGTGCCCATCTAATCATCACGTACTCATCTGTTTACAGTCTGCCATGGCTCCTCATTGCCCTGAGAATAAAATCAAAATCCTTTTATTTGACCTGTGAGGCGCACCATGGCCTGGGATTTTGCCTTGCTCCCCAGATTCTTCTGTTACTCCTTTCTTTATCACACATCATTTGCCAACTATTTTGAACTAGATTGAATTTCTGGTAAGCATGGGCTTTCTCATCTTTGGGGGTGTGCTGTTCCTTTATCTGAAACACTTTCCTGGCCCCTAGCTCACACCTCCTCTCACCATGCTTCACCTGATTGTCTCTTTTTGCCCTCCTGTGGGTCTTAGCAGAGATATATTTTATACCAAAGAGCATTTCCAACTCCCTACGTCCCACCTCTTCTCCTCACCAGGGAATAAGCTAAGTGCCCCTTCTTTGCCCTCGCTTTCGCCCTGAACTTTCCTTGTGTTAGTTCTCTTCCACTAGTGCCTGGTTATTCGTCTGTTTCTCACAGTAGACTGCTAGCTTTGCGAGGGCAGGGGCAGCATCTGTGTTTAATCATGGTTGTATGCCTGGTACCTGGTTTTGGGTCTTGGCACTCTGTAGATCTTTCATAAAAATTTTTTGAGTGAATTAATGAATTCATAAACTATTCATTAAATGATTACTCTGTGATAACTAATGACAGTATCAGTTAACATATATTGACATTACCACACACCAGGGATTCTTCTTTTTTTTTTTTTTTTTGGAGAGTCTCCCTCTGTCACCTAGGTTGGAGTGCAGTGGTGCAATCTAACTGCAGCCTCTACCTCCCATGCTCAAGCAATCCTCAGCCTCCTGAGTGGCTGGGACTATAGGCACATACTACCACACCTGGCTAATTTTTGTATAGATGGTGTTTCGTCACATTGCCCAGGCTGGCCTTGAATTCCTGGGCTCAAGTAATCGCCTGCCTTGGCCTCCCAAAGTGCTGGAATTACAGGCTCAGCCCTGGGGGGGTTATTCTAATAACTTGATAGGTACTATTATCATTTTTTCTCACAATAACCCTATGGGATAACATCTCAGAAACTGACAAATTCAGAAATGTGTCAGTTCCTGAAAAAGGAAACTTTGGGATGGTTGGCTGTACTTTTAACCACTACTCTGTCTTGTCTCTGCATGTGTGGGCATGAACTTTGTTAGGTTCTGAGGAGGAGGATGGGGGGTTGGGAGGAGCTGCATATGTTCTCTGCCCCAGAAGAATCATGGCCCAGGGGAAGAGGTAGCAAAAGGAACAACTATTCCAGTATGACTTGATCAGTTTCTTGATGGACATGTGTGCAAGGCACTATAGAAGGACAGAAGAGATTTTTACTTTAATTAATTGAAAATTAGTAATTTATATTTGGTATATACGTAATCTAATAATTCATTAAGTGGAGCAACTTTTCAAACTATTCTAACAAAATCTAACATTATAAAACTATAACATGGAGACTGCATTGCTAAATACCTTTCATCTACAAAGGAAAGTTATAGGGATTTATTATGTTTTCTAGATTTCTAGCTCTCTAGTGCTCAAAAAAATTGAAAATTGAAAAATTGAAGAAAAACTGAAATTGAAGTGACCCTCATCTTTGTTGAAGAAAAAGGAATGTGACAAAATTTATTTCTATGTGCAGTCAAAAAGTGTGGTTTGTGAAATGTGTTGTTGTTGTTGATCTTACAGGAGAATCATGAAAAAAGTCTCCATGGAGCCATCTGAGCGCCTGGCTAGTCTCCAGGCGCTGTGGGACAGCCAGACCGTGGCTGAGCAGGGCCCCTGTGGTGAGCATGCATTTTAAAACTGAAATGTGAATAGCTGGATGGATATCCCCCTGCCAGGAAGTTAAGTCTATTCCTAGTGTGCTACTGTAAAGGTGCAATTAGTTTCAAGGTGTAATTAGCAGCGCACAGACTTTAGATTGGTGGACAAAAGTCCTATATTTAAGCTGTATTGCATCCTGCTATGTACTTACTATAGAACAGGGAGGAGAATCTTTGCTGTTTTCCCCCCTAAAAAGGAAAAGGATAATCAGCATTGTCAACATCGGCCATATTTAAGCTTTAAAATTTTAATTTAAACATCATTTTGCCAAAGACCTGTCAGTGTTTTTGTTGTATGTTTCAGGTGGATTTTCTCAGATGTATGCCTGTGTTTGTGACTGGCTTGGATTTTCATACAGGGAAGAAGTACAATGGGTAAGAATGTCTGTGTACATGTGCATGAGCACACACACTCCTGGAGAATATTCTAATGTTTGGCTGGCTTGTTTTTCTTTTTTTCCCTTCATTTATTTTTCACTTAAAATCTTCACTTCTCAGATTACATAAAAACCTGCCATTGTCATTGTCTAATTCTCACTGTCTCTCTTGCTTTCCTGGTCATCTGCATGGACTGATGACATGACTGAATTATATTTCAAATAGGATGTGGATACAATTTATCTTACCCAAGACACCAGGGAATTGAATTTACAAGATTTTAGTCATCTTGACCACAGGTAAGCTGCTTCCTTCCTTCTTTCCTCCTTTCCTCCCTCCCTTCCTCCCTCCCTTCCTCCCTCCCCTCCCTCCCTTCCTCCCTCCCTTCCTCCCTCCCCTCCCCTCCCCTTCCCTCCCCTTCCCTCCCCTCCCCTTCCCTCCCCTCCCTTCCCTTCCCTTCTCTTTTCTCTTTTTTCTTTTCTTTTCTTTTTTCTTTTCCTTCTCCTCTCCTCTCCTCTCCTCTCCTCTCCTCTCCTCTCCTCTCCTCTCCTCTCTTCTCTTCTCCTCTCCCCCTCCCCTCTCCCCTCTCCCCTCTCCCCTCTCCCCTCTCTTCTCTTTCCTGCAGTTCTCTGTTGGCACTTAGGGCTGTACATTATCTCCAAAGAATTGTTTTATAAGAGGAATCAGTACAATCTAAGAATCTCTAGATTTTTGCCTTTCAAGTTATAGTTTCAAATATGTTTATCACTGTGGATGACTTGTGGAGGTCCACAGTGCATGTGTGTATCCAAAATCCAGAGTTCGTAGTTAGAAAATGTGCTGAATTTTACCATAAAAACAGTATAATTCTTAGGTTCTTATGTCAGCCTACAAAAGTCTGTCTATTCTACCCTGTCTATAAAATGTAGTATTATTTTACCTAATTGCCATTTAGAACATTTTTTCAAGGATGAACTTTAATACTGAAATTCTGAGATATGACTTTTAGTTCAGAGTTTATGAATTGGGCATTGGTAGGGTGTATATGTGTATGTTGGTGAAAATCAGTTTGCCAGTATCTGCCATGTGATAGTGATAATAAAGTCATGAAACCTGTTACAAGTTATTTGAGAAACTTTTAGGTTTAAGATCTTGACTTGAATATATTTAGGGCTATGGCTTGTGAGATTCAGACCTCAGAGAAAAGCTTCATTTTTCCCCATGTCTCTTAGCACAGCAGACCTGGCAAATTTATTTTGCTCTCTAACAGTCGAGCCCGGCCCTATTCCAGAGTGTCTGGTAATTTATCTTGGCCTATCCCAATCTCTTCAATTCTGGATGTGCTGCTACTTATTAGTAGCAGGGGTAGCAGGGGTCAGCCCTACTTAATAAACTCCAGCCCTACTTAATAAATTAGTAGCAGGTAGGCAGGGGTCAGCCCTACTTAATAAACTCCAACCCAATAAATCTTTTCTCTCTGATTGGAATTGGGAGAGAAATCTGGGATTCCAGCTATATCATTTGTGCCATTTGGACAACTGAAGTGTCACAGAGGATTGTTGTTGCCCATATGTCATCTCATCACTAGCATCTTGCCCCCCCCTCCCCCCCCCAGAATACTGTTTTGAATTATTTTTCCACCTACCTGGCAGGAAATCCAGAATTGCAGTGTGGTCCCTGAAGAGCTCTAGCCAACTGAATCGGCCAGGGAAAAAGTATACTAGCTGGATATACCTCCTCTTTGCACAGCCTGGGACTACGGAAGATGGTGAAGCAGGCTCAGCTGTGTCTGTAGTTGTGGCTGATGGGCCTAAAGCCTCCAGTTCTCAGGCAATTTTTTTTTTTTCCTGCTTAGAGCAGTTCTCCTTCTTCCTATAAGTGAGGCAACTTTATACTTTCAAATTTAGACAAGATGTTTCCTGTGTAGCTCATAAAAAAGTGAACTGAGAAAGAAAAAGGGAAAATATTTTACTTTGTAAGTATTTTCCAATAAAACAAGAAAATTGCACGTGGAATAAGATAGAAGTTTACAGTCCTCCAGTGTTTGGTCTCAGCGTTTTTGGTCCCTTTACAATCTTAAAAATGATCGATCTTTGGTTTTTGTGGGTCAAAACATTGGTATTTACAATATTATAAATTAAAACTAAAATTTGAAATATTTATTAATTAAAAAGTGACACTAATAAAGCAAACCATTACGTACTAACATAGGTACTGTTTTTATGAAAAAGTAAATATATTTTCCAAAACAAAAATAAATCAGCAAGAAGAGTGGCATTGGCTTATCTTTTTGCAGATCTTTTTAATGTTTGACTTAATAGAAGACAAGTGGATGCTCATATCTACTTCTGCATTCACAAAATTGTGATATGTTGTTTTGACTGAAGTATGAAAAGAAAATCCAGCCTTAAAGATGTGTAGTTAGGAAGTATTTTCAATAGCCTTTTCACATAATTGTGGCTATTCTTCCTTGGTACTTCACCAAAACTCAACAAGTGGTGGTTTCTTAAAGATAAGTTGCAATGTAGAATCAGAACCATATCAATGAACTTTTTTGTATTTTGTTACATTAAAGTCTGTTTGGTCTATCTTCTCCTTTGACTGGGTCTTATCCATACATAATTTTGTAGCATTGTACATTGGTAACTTAGAAAATATTGGTTCATTGAGTTATACATAGCTTTCAAGTATCTTCCTCTTGTATAATAGCAAAAGAAAAAAGAAAGACATTTCATAACTATCATCACTGATATTATAAAAGTTTTTTGAAGTACTTCAGAGGTGTTGAGCTCATAGTAGCAGACAAAAGTTTTCCAAAATTTAAATTTTTGCTTGAAAGATACAATTTTACTATTGGAAAAAAAAAAACAAACATATTATCAGGTGAAGTGATATCTTGAAGTGACCAGATTACTTCTTAGATTTTAGAGGGAATGTCTACCAAATCCCAAATCTAAATAACTATACGTTGTCATTTTTTTGTGATAGTCCACTGAAAAAAAGGAGCTGGTTCTGCTTAAAAATGCAACTATCACACAAACACTTTACATTGAGACAGTGATCCCTTTGATATATAGAGGAACATACTTCCCATTTTGAACTTACTTCTCATTCTGTTACACAGGATATTAAAATGTTTGTACTCAAGAGCTAAAATTTAATAAAATGAGTAATGTTTACTGCTTCACTGAGGACATTCTAAAATGAAATTGATGTTTGTTTAAAAAACTAGGAGCTTGTGCCAGTGAAGACTCCCGCCTTGGCTTGTGCTCAGGTGCTAGCAGTTTTCCCCACCATTGCTTTTGCACCTTCCATGCAAAGGGCAACACAGTGAAAGGATAAGTTTGTTTTAGAGTTGTTATGAAAACGATTTTGAACCTGTGAACCTCCTGAATGAATCTCAGGGTCCCCAAGGGTAAATCCTTGGAGAACATCTGGCCTACGGGAGTGAAGACACTGTAGGGCAGCTTGAGGCGTTTTTTTTGGACTTACTTTATTATGCCATAATGATTTTTATAGCATTGATAGGTATGTATAGGGTCAGTGCTAAACTTTTCAGCTAATCCACCATGTTTAATTTGGTCTCATCCACCAACTAACCCACCACGTTTAATTAACCTGTCAGCAAAGGGAAACTATATTTAAATAAGCCACTAAATACAGTTACCTGAAATATGTAGCAAGAGAAATTTGTCAAACCTTTTAGAAAAATTATTTACTAATTCCTTAGTTGGAGAATTTTCAGTTCATCAGTAAAGACTGAATTAGTGGGGTAGACCCAAATCATCTACTTTTCTTGCTTAATTAAGGGGCTGGAAGGACATTTGTCATTATTGAGACTCTAGTGGAGGATTTGGAAAACTTTTTTTTTGTCAAGGACCAGATAGTAAATATTTTAGACTTTATGAGTCAGACAGTTGCTGTTGCAATTATACAATTCCACTGTGGTAGCTTGAAAGCAGACCTAGACAATGTATGAATGAGTATTGCTATGTTCTGATAAAACTGTATTTGCACAGATAGGTGTCACGGGCTGTAGTCTGCTGATACCTGCTCTAGATCAGCCACCTCTAATGTGGAATGTATGTACCTAGAGAAAAATCCAAGATGGGCTACAAAAAAGTAGTGGAACTTTATATTATTGACTTATTTTAATATTTCTCCTTGTTTTATGATATGTGTATAAATATTACTATGGTAGTCTTTGGAATGCAATAACTAAATATTAAAAAATAGATGGTATTCAAAACAATTTTTTACTGTTTTTTTTACTAGTCTTACTATTAAAATTAGAGCCAGGTTATATATATGAAGAGACTGTTCTCAGTCCTTTTAGATGGGCTTTGATAGTATTTTGCTAATTGAATTACAACAAATTTTATTGGCTGATTATTTCGATGTAGTAGAAGCTTCAACATGCTAATTCATGAAAGTATCAGTCTGCACTTAAATGGTACAGTTGTAGGATTCATTGTGGCATAAGTTGATGTGATGTGTGTGGGTTATTCTCTTACCTCTACTGGTATTTTCCTCATTGAGGTGTGAGTTATGGAGAGGAGGAATTAGAAAATTTGGAGGTGTCAGAAAAGACATCAAATGGGCTATGTGTTGAGCTGGAGTTTGTTAGCAAATATGGGGAGTCATTCTCATATGTATACATGAATTTTCCCACTGTGATGGTTGGTTCCTATGTTCCCTATTTGAACATATTTGAACATATGTCCCCTATTTGAACATAATTCAGATACAAGCAAGCAACCTTGTTTGCCATTTATATTTATTAAAATTAGATTCTGCATGCATTTGTATGTCGAGATCTGTGAACTTCATATTACAGCTAGAGAAAGCTGTACTTGTTTCAGAGTCAATAAGAAAGCTCTCCTGACTGGCCATCATCCAAAGCTTTATTTTTTCATTCCACTTTTTCTCGCCGTTATATTTAGTCTTCATACTTAGAAACATCCATTTGTAACAGTCCTTAAAACCATCAGTGCTTCTGGAATGGAAATTCAGTGAGGGCCAGGCTGTGTCTGTCTTGCTTATGCTCTGTGATGTGATACTCTACAGTCAAACCATAGTCCCAGAATAAAGGATTTTTAAGGGATGGTGAGTGATCTGCTCTGGTGGAGCAAATTAGAATCCTGCGAGCTAG
Source organism: Homo sapiens (assembly GCF_000001405.40). Lineage (NCBI taxonomy): Eukaryota > Metazoa > Chordata > Mammalia > Primates > Hominidae > Homo > Homo sapiens. The sequence continues at coordinate 25,455,544 of NC_000006.12, forward strand.
GATTATTTCTAGAAAGCCTGCCAGATTACTTAAATATTGTCTACCACCCTGCTCCAGTTGGCAGTTATAGCTTTAATGACATTCTTAACCCAATTTTGTTTGAAGCCATGGCTAAATTCTATCTGGATTCTTACACGGTTCCATTTGTTTCTTTTAGTTTACTCATCCAGGTCATTATTTTTTTCTGCCTAGAAGTTTGTAACTGCCATTTTCCCAGGACCATTTCAGATTCAAAGCCGGGGATTTTAGTCATGGGAGAGGCACTGATGTTAATGTCACAGGTCTGAGAGGATGAAACATGGCCTTGGCAGCTTGCTCATCTGAAGCACAGAGATGGAGGAAGCAACATTCTGTCTGTGTGGGAACCCATCACCACACGTGAGACATGGTTTTAGAAGGTCCAGGTATGGTGACAGGGCAGTGCCTTGGTCATTGTTCTGTCACCAAGAGCCCCTACTACTGTCCTCACCCCTCTGATTTGCCTAGGATCTGCTCTTCTTCAGACATAGGCCCCGTGTTAGGACACTGTGCCCCTTATATCATGTGATCTGTAGCCACAGGAACTGAAGGATGGAGAGGCATGTGCATCGTCCTGTCCTGGGGCTGCTTTATCAGTTATCCAGCCTGCTGTTCTCTTTTCATTGTGGACTTGGCTTCCTATTTCTATATATCTTGCTACTGCACTAAAACCCGTAAGATCTATATAGGTGCTTCATGGTAATTTGTAAGCAATTTGAATGTTGTGATAATGTTTTCTTATTTATTTACTATGGTTCTATCAGAACTGAATCTAGGACCAGTCCCTCTGTTGTTGCTGAATAAGCATTCAGGAATAAGGATGACAGTGATCATGCTAGATCTAGCCAGTTAGTCTCTGGAGAACAGTAATTAGGAAGTACTTGGAAAAATGCCCACTCCAGTTGTTATTTGTAAAATGTCCAGTTGGCATTTTATTTAAGTATATTCTTTCAATTTGTTCTGTTTTAGGTTATCAGTAGGCCAAAAAAAGGCATAGATTGAAAATTTGTTGTAAATTTCTCATGGGATTTCTCGAAGGTCTGTGAGCTGACATGTTAAAAAATTTAATTACACTGTAATTTGGAGTGGTAGGGAATTATGAAGGTAGAGGTACTTACTGGTGCCAAGAAGAAGAAAATATATAGCTTTAACTACATCGATTTCTCGTGTTCCTGACAGATTTTTAAGAGGAGCTAATCCCATCAATTCTTTGAAGACTCAATGACATGCATCATTGAGCTTCAACTTGGCTCACAAGAGTCCAGGCAACAGATTCATGCTTTTTTGTGTTGTCATATTTCTTACTGATCAGGGTGACATTCTTGAGTGTGATACTATCAGGAAAGAGTTCTGAGTGTGGATTATGTTTGCCAAGGTTGTCCTAAGGACACTGCTGTCATTTTTTCCTAATCAAAGCTCCATTTTTTTTTTTTTTTTAATTCCTGGTCTCATTTATAAAAGCATTGCTGTTTGGAGAGTGGAATCAGATGTGAACAGCATTGGCTTCTGTTTTCATTCCTGAATTTCTCGAAATAGTTCTGTAGAAGAATGGTCCTCAACCTGGGTGACATGAACTCTGTGGGGTGAACAAGATGATGATATGTTGGGGATGTGACGTTAATAGTAGAACTTGATTTTTGTCTATTTTTTTCTCATTCATTTTATTTATGCATGTGTGTATGTTTTGTGCTGAGCTTAATATGTTAGTGCTGTAGTACATGTATATGATTTATAGATTAACACATTTTTTAGAGGGGAGGATATGCAAAATTCTTTGCTGTTGGGGATGAATGATCAAAAAATATAGAGACCACTCATTTAGGCCTCTAGGAATGTCCTCATCTGGGAACTGTTTTAGGTATTTACATCCTTCCCAGAGTTGGTGAGTGGTTCCGCTAATAATTTAATAATATACAAGACATGTCTCTATATAAGTTAGGATAGCAGGAGGGAATAGCTAATTTGTGACATTCTTAACTTTTTAAAGCACTCCAACTCCCATATTCAAAGTAGATGGAATGGAGAAAAGTCTCAATTATTCCCAGAAAGGCTATCGAATGAATATGTCAGGAAATGATAATGCTAGGCTCTGAGTTTTACCAGCCGTTCCACGAGAGTGCATAATCCATTGTGTGCATGCATGGAGCATGAAGAGTGGCAGGGCTGTGCATTCTTGCATTAAAACACCTCCTTTGAGCCTTTAAATGTTTATAAGATTTGTGAGAGGGAAATCTTCACTCCTGTGGTAGGTGGATATACTAAGAATAATCATGATGTTGTTCATTGAATTACTGCTCTCTCTATTTGTGCTTTTCTCACATTGCAGGTTGTAGGGCTTGCTAGATGTCCTTCACATCCATGAATTATTTTTGTTCTTTAACACTTTCCTGGTATACTTAACACTGTCTATTTAAAAGTCACAGTGTTCTTAAAATTTCAGAGAGATGGCAGGCAGGGGAAAGGGAGTAAGGAGGGAAATTAGTACTGATAATAATAACTAGGAAAATTAAATTCTTATAGTCATACAGATCAGAAAGATGGTATCAGAACTAGGTAATCTAGGTTTAATAGGTTATCTAGAATGTAGAGTAGCGAAGAATTTGGCAAGAGATCTAGACTCTCAATCCCTTGTCAACTTCTTTGTTTTTGCATTTTAACTTTGTATTATAAAATAGCCCCCACATATTAGCAGTTTATTTTTGATGTTCAGAAAAAAAGAGGGCTGTACAATTGTGACTTCAGAATACATCTTAATGCTCCACTAAAAATACAAAAAATTAGCTGGGCGTGGTGGCACGTCGCCTGTAGCCCCAGCTCCTTGGGAGCCTGAGGCAGGAGAATTGCTTGAATCGGGTGGCGAGGTTGCAGTGAGCTGAGATCCACCACTGCACTCCAGCCTGGGTGACAGAGCGAGACTCTGTCTCAAAAAAAAAAAAAAAAAAAAAAAGCTTTAAAATCAGAAGCCAAATGATTGGTTAATTGTGATGGAAGGGATTTTCAGTCCTTTGATCTGAAAACCTGTGGATATACCATCCTGGTATATCCTCTGTAGAGTATACCTCTGTAGAGTATGAAGATTCTTTTGATGGTATGGAAGGCAAGTTAGTCATTGGTGAGATGACAGCACAGTGGTTAAGACACGGGATCATGAGTCACACTGGCTGGGTTTGAACCCTGGCTCTGCCTCAGCTAGCCTTGTAACCTTGCATATTTCAAACTTCCCTGTGCCTTTGGAATGTTCATCTGAAAATGGGGTTAATAATTATACCTCTCTTCTGGGGTAATTATGAAGACTGTATGGATAAATATATTTAAAGCGCTTTGTGTTAGTACATAAAAATGTTATAAATGCTTGCTATTTTCATATGCTTAAAGGTCTTCCTTTTTTTTAAATGAACAATTATCTAACATGACAAGTTTTCTTAATTGAAAAGAAAAATAAAGTTAGAAAATCCTTATGTTACAGAAAATTTTGGATTTCCTGAGACTAGTTCATGGATTTTTTTCTGTGATGCTCTTATTTTATCAGTTTTATGATGGCTTTTTCTTCTGGAAAGATATAAGAGAAAAACTTGATTCTTTAGAGTTTTAAGGGAAGGTTTCGATTATTCTGAAGTGTCAACTGACATAGAAATAAGGATCCCAACTTTTTCTTTCTTTCTTTCTTTCTTTCTTTCTTTCTTTCTTTCTTTCTTTCTTTCTTTCTTTTTTTTTTTTTTAAGACAGGGTCTTGCTGTATTACCCAGCCTTGACCTCCTGGGCTTAGTTGATCCTCCCACTTCATTCTCAGTAGCTGGGACTACAGGCATGTACCACCATGCCTGGCTGATTTTTATATTTTTAATGTTTTACATTTTATTTATGATTTATTTGTAAAGATGGGATTTCACCATGTTGCCCAGCTGGTCATGAACTCCTGGGCAAAAGCTATCCACCTGCCTCAGCTTCCCAAGGTGCTGGGATTACAGGTGTGAGTCACCATACCTGACCTGGATCCCAACATTTTTTATACTCCCCAACCAGTGATTAGACTAATAACAAAACCAAAAAAACTCTATGTGTAGTAAATTTACATCAGGAAAAAGGTTAGTGAATATTAACTGTCTCATATCTCTTCAGTGTTGTGTAAGAAATGATTGTGCCACGTGGCTCTAAAAGATGTTAATACTGGATCCTTCTCCTCAAGGTTTGTAGTCTTAAGATGTTTTTGCTACCATTTTAAGGAAATGGTAGAAGTAATGTTTGGAAATGTACAGGAGAATGCAATGTTGCCATGTTGCCAGGACTCATGAGAGGGTTCCCTCAACTGTTACAACTCCTTTTAAGGCTGACTTTACTTTTCAGATCAAAGGTTACATCATAATTAGGAGTTTCTTAGGATGTCAAAGCAAAACACAGTGGGGGATGTACAATAAATGTCATGGACTGGTGATGGTAAAAAGCTGTTACCACTTCCAACTAAGAGAAATCAGTTAATATGACAATGGCTGATGTTTGGAAACCTTTCCCCTTATGTCAATTAATTGCATGAGCACTTAGTGAAAACACGAGGAAGGATCTGTCCTGCCATAAACTCCACCAGGGAAAATCAGGTAGTCCTTTGCAGTGAGTTGGTATCAGCACAGCAGTAGGGAGGCCCATGCAAATGTCAAATTAAATATTTATTCATGATCTGCTTATGTGCTCACTTATTACTGTGTCCTAAGAAAGCCATCCAGGAAAATGAACTCTCAGAAATGAGATTAGTTACATACTGTCTTGTGTATTTTGTATTTTCTGTTAAAATGAGACCTCATCAGAGTCTTGATTATTACTGGTTCCATAATTTTTTTATTATATGCAAACTTGTTTGTCCCATGCAGGCCTGAGTCTCCCTGATCCTTGGTCTTCATGTTTGTTCTGGCTGTCATGGTGGCTTGATGCCCAGAAAGTAATGAATTCTAGGGGTCCTGAATGTCACTCTACACTAGACCTTGCTTCTTACATAAAGCGTTTGCTGAAGTACTTCCTAGGCACTTGGTCTTACACTGTAAGCTCCTCATTCTCAGCATATTGCAGCCAGGCTGAGAGGTATTAAGGATCTAAGAAATTGAGGTTTTACATGTTGGTATGTGTAGCTATAATTTATTAACTTCTGTTTCTATTTCATATTCTAATGTATGAACATTCCATAATTTATCCATTCTAGTGAATGTTGGTCAGACATTTTGGTTAGTGTATTGTCTGTTATCTGTAATGCTGCTAAGGCCATCCTTGTACTTGTCTCCTTAGAGAAAAGTATGCAGATGTGTACTAGGATGGAAATCATTGTAAATTTAACCACTTATGTCCACCATTTAACACAAGAAATAGGCTACTGCCTCTCCTTAAAAGACTTACATGTATCAATTTTCAATCACCGTTCCCTCCTTCTCCGCTTGCCCCACCTGGTTATAATAATGATCCCAGTAATCTTTGTGTTCCTTTATAGTTTTATCACAAAAGTATGCCTATTTTGATTGGCATTGCATTACATCTCTAAATCAATTTGGAAAAAACTACTATTTTGCATTGGCCCTTGTTCTAGCCTCTGAACCCACCTTCTGCCTTAGACTCCTTCCATATCTCTGATACATCATGTCTACATTGTAGAGACTGTTACCTTGCCTCTGATACCTCCCACTGATATTGCAGAAATTAACTTTCTGAAACATTTCTGTTCGAAAGTTTTCTACGACTACCTTGCGTGCATGAAGTCATGCCTCCTAAGTGTAGCTTTCAAGCCTCATTTCTAAGTGCTAAGTGTTCTGGTTATCTATTGCTATGTAACAAAGCCCCTCAAACTTAATGGCCACAGCAAGAACAGTCAGGAGTCACAATGAAGAGTTCCTCATTCACGTGTTTGGTGCTTGATGCTGGCTGGCTGCTGCAAGGCAGCACTGGGTTCCATGGGTGAGCTTTCCATGAGAGAGAGCTGGGTAGAAACTGTATTAATATTACCTCTTCTAATCTAGCCTTGACAGTCCTGTAGTTTGAAGGACATCTGTGTTGTTTTTAGTTTCTGGTAATTATGAACATAGCTCTTAAAAATAAATAATTATCTACATTTTTATGTGAACATAAATTTTGATTTTTCTTGGGGAATTTCCTAGAAATGGGATTGCTGGATCAGATGTCAAGTATCTGTTAAACCTAATAAGATGCTGTCAAACTGTTTTCCCCATTGAGTGTATCATTTTGCATCCTCATTGGCTCCATTTGAGAGTTCCAGTTGCTCTGGGTCCTTATTAGCAATTGGTATTGTCAGGTTTTTTTAAATTTATTTTTTCTCTTTTTTAAACCGTGCATCTCTTTTTGGTTTTTCCCTAATGCATTTTTCTAATGCTACTAATTGTGAGCATCCTTTCATGTGCTTATTTGCTATACATATATCTTATTTAGTGAAGTGTCTGTTTAGATCTTTTGCTCATTTAAAAAAATGGGGTGATTGTTTTTTATTTTTGATAGTTCTTTATGCATTTTGGATACAATTCCTTTTTCAGAAATGGGATTTGTAAATATTTTCTGTCAGCATGTGGCTTATCTTTTTCTTCTCTTGACATCTTTTGTAGAGCAAAAGTTTTTAATTTTGAATAAAGTCCAGTTTATCGATTTTTTTATTTTTGTATTTTGCTTTTCGAAGATCTAAAAACTCTTAGACTAAGCCATACCTTACTCTGTTGCCTGTTTCTTCTGCTTATAATATGTGTCTCATCCCACTCCCTCATCTCTGAGGGCTCAGTAACATCCTCTTTCTCAACTTGGTTGTCTTGATTAGCACCCCTTTTATATGCACACATAGTATTTTGTATTCCCCCTACCTCACTAGGGCTTGTTTCACTGTGTTATAGCTGCTTTTCCTTCCTGAGTCTCCTGCTAGGCTGTGCCAGGCCATCAGGGCAGGGACCATTTTCTATGTTCATTTTTGCATCAGGCCCAGTGATTCATGCATGATGGCGGCATTTGTTGAACATAAGAATGAATGGAATTGCTGGATATGCTCAGGTTCCCCATGCTGTTGTACGTGCTATTCCTAATTTCTTAAAATACTCTTTCTCCCTGGCTGGTTGGTTTCCTTCTGATCTTTTAAGCCGGTGAGCCATTCCCCATTTACTTCAGGCCGAATTACTTGCTGTCCTGCTGTGCTCTTAGGGCTTTTTGTTTGTTTGTTTTTTAACATTTTCCCTATTCAGCAAGTCTCTCGTCTTTCGTTGTATTACAGATAGTTGAGAAGGGGTTTTTCTTTACCAGTGAAGTGCGATAGAGGAATAAGAGCTACACTTCTTTTTCATCTCTTAGCTCTCAGAGCCTAATAACCCTGCCTAGTACTAAGGACTAAATAAATATCTGCTGAATATGATATGTCATTGTCTCCTTCTAATTGTTTTTTTAACATAAGAAGCCTAGGCATTAACACAATTTAGAGAAACATGGTAGGCAAACCATGCCAATATGCTTAGTCTCCATCCTCCTCATGAATAACTTTTTCTAGAGCAAAAGTTTGTTTATATCATCCATGGAAGATTTAATCTTGTAAAACAGATTATGAATATGAATCATAGAACAATTTAAAAACATAATAATTTTGTTAGAAGACATTAATATCACCTTGAATGCTAACAAGGTATCCTTATGACATTTGGCTATATTTCTTTCTTTTTTTAAGAAAAGTCTATATTTGTTAGCATTTATATCTTTTTTTATATGTAGATTTTATTAATCCCAATTATATATTATATCACACAGATGTTCACTTTAGAATGCTGTATACCTTAAAAATTTAATATTGAACCATAAGCATTTTTGGTGTTGAGTATTGTGGTATGTAGAGATGATGCTGTTTTACTCACTGCATTCATGATTCCGTAGAGTGATGTGCCTTCAGTTCCTGAAAATGACTTCATCTATGACAAAAGCCAGTTATACTTCAAATCAGATCATGGGACAGAACAGAATACACAAAAAGTGGTTCTGAAGTGTGGTCACTCCTTGACATTAAATCCACAAAAAAGATGAGACTGCTTTGCCATCATTCTGAATGTTGAAATATACAAGAGAACGCTCAGCGTGGGCTTTGGGGACTCTGTAATAAGATGGAATTCACCCTTAGAGAAGCTACAACCTGTAATTAGGCAATAGGAAGAGATACAGGAACTTGTTCTGAGCACAGAGCATGTGGTCAATGGAGGGGGACGAAGAGAGGGAAGACCATAAAATAACTATTGAAAGAGTTGTTCTCCTTTTTTTTTTTTTTTTTTTTTGAGACGGAGTCTCGCTCTGTCGCCCAGGCTGGAGTGCAGTGGCCTGATCTCGGCTCACTGCAAGCTCTGCCTCCCGGGTTCACGCCATTCTCCTGCCTCAGCCTCCCGAGTAGCTGGGACTACAGGCGCCCGCCACTACGCCCGGCTAATTTTTTGTATTTTTAGTAGAGACGGGGTTTCACCGTTTTAGCCAGGATGGTCTCGATCTCCTGACCTCGTGATCCGCCCGTCTCGGCCTCCCAAAATGCTGGGATTACAGGCGTGAGCCACTGCGCCCGGCCAGTTGTTCTCCTTTTTAATCTAAAACTTAAAAAAAATTTTAAACTTAGGCAAAGTTAGTAAAGAGGCTTGTCAGTAGAAAACCTGGCATGTGGAAACACATGACTGAGCCTGCCTATTTCTCTGGATTTTTTTTTTCTACTATCTGTGGGCACTCATCTCATCTTTTTAAAGCATGTCTATTGAAACTGCACACATGTGGTGCTTCAGAGCCAGGGTTCTGACTGTAGTTCTGTCCCTTTGGCCTAGTTTCAGTTTATTTTCTGAACATCTATTCCTTCATCTGTAAGATGTAAACAACAGTGACTCCTGGGGTTGTTTTGAGATTTAAATGAACTGGTATATGTAGAGTGCCAAGCACAGGGCCGGGCCACCCAGAGCTATGAGATAATATTGATTCTCAGACTTCTTTCCACCTTCTGCCTTTCTCTTCTATTTCAGTAAAAATCTGAGTATCTGCTACTTGTCCTGCACTGAGCATAAAACTGATATGACCTCACTAAAGCTAAAAAACTGAAGTAGACAAAGGCTTGGTTTTCAAAGAATTGAATAATTGGGGGTGGTAGGGGACTGATGCTTAAAGCAACAAACTATAATATAAGATAGAATAAATAAATGCTAAAAAGGGAGGTGGGGTTTGACCAGGAGAGGACTTAAGGAGGTGAGGATGTGTAATAGTGGCATTTAAGGACACATAGTTTTTCATAACTGAACAGAGCAGTAAAAGATTATTCTGAATGTGAAATTGCACATCATGTTAGATGAGTAACAAGTTGTCAGCTTTTTGTCTTGAGCATGGGATGAGTTGTGGGAGCTTAGGCTGCAAAATTGGAATGGAGGCAGAACTGTCATGCAGATAGCTTCACTACATGGTCAAAGAGCTGATATGAAGCCTAAGACAAAAATGCACCTGGGCTATCTTATGGATGCAGTCACTGCTAAGAACTAAAGCAAAAAAAAAAAAAAAAAAAAAGACCAAATGGTTGCAAAATGCTTGCTAAGCATTGGGAATCCATCCAGTGCCACTTACTGTCAGGGTAGGCAGTACCTTGCTTGCAATATGAACTCCTCTGACTAGAGAATACTATATGAGATAATTGATGGTTAAAGAGTTTATGAAGGAGGCCAGGCACTGTGTCTTATGCCTGTAATCTCAGCACTTTGGGTGGGGGCCAAGGTGGTTGAGTTTCTTTGAGCCCAAGAGTTTGAGACTAGCCTGGGGAACATGGGGAAACCCCATCCATACAAAAATTAGCCAGGCATGGTGGCGCGTGCCTGTAGTCCCAGCTACTTGGGAGGCTGAGGTGGGAGAATCACTTGAGTTTCGGAAGTCAAGGCTGCAGTCAGCCATGATCACGTCACTGCACTCCACCTTGGGTGACAAAGTGGGACCCTGTCTCAAAAAAAAAAAAAGATTTTATGAAGGAGAGATCTAAAGAAATAAGACTTGTTATTGGTATGGACTTAGAGGTAGGATTTCTCTCAGAGCAAGGAGGTTTTTCAAGCAAATTCTGATACCAACCTCTTTCCTTTGGAAGTAGGAAACAGAGTCCCTAGAGACAATTTACTTCAACTTTTGGGAACTTTGAAGATCAGTCTTTGAGAACTTAGTTGTTGTCTAGTGGCCAACTAGATGTTGTGTTTCTGAATAATAGAAATTAACAGGTGAACTTGGATGTCATGGATTAAAAATTAAGTGTCAGTGTAGCTACTGTAGGAGCACTTTCATGTACTTTGTTGTTTCTGCTTCCAGGGACCTAATACCTATCATTGCTGCTCTGGAATATAATCAGTGGTTCACAAAACTGTCCTCTAAGGATCTAAAACTGGTAAGTAATCAAACATGCAGCAAATGTTGCTTGGCTTTGCTGAATTTCAAAAACCCAATAATTGTGGGAAAAAAACAATTTTTTTACTGTACTAGTAAGCTGTATACATTTTATTTCTTGAGGAGGTATTTTCCTTTAAATGATTTGCGTAACATTTAGTCAAATTTGTAATGTGAGATGCTTCCAAGTATTTCCTCATGTATTCAGCTGTTTCGGGCAATTTAAGAAGATGAACAAAAAGATACATTTAGTGTAGCCTTTAGTATAAAGTCATTCAGTTGGCAAAAACTGTTAAAGTTACATTTGCACAGCTGCAAATAGCAGATTTTATATTCCTATCTTACACTCTGTCTCTACAAAGTTTCCCTTCCTAGGAATTTAGGAAAACATTAACAGGTAGAGTTCCCCTGGTCGAGTAATGATAGTTAATGTTGATTTTCTAGATGGGGTTTTGGGTAGATTTATATGAAAGCAAAATGAAATTAAAGTGAAATCTGTTTTCATAAGATATGAAGGAGAAAAATATTTGGTATATTTTATTAGTGGAAATAAGATGCTGTGTTGGGGTTGCTGCCAGTTCATATCAGTCATATGGACAGATGCTTATACATAAATTAACTCTCTGGTGTTTGTTATGGGATAAGAAAGAATTTATATGTTTTCCTGGAGACTCTCACGTTTAAGCCTCTAACTTTCAGAGGTCATAGAATCTAGGGGTTTAAGATTTTCATAGTGAATACATCAGACTTGGAATGAGACGTGGATCTGTAGGACATGGAGGGTTGAGACTGGCTAGTGGGCAGGCGACTTGGTTCTCTGAATTTGCCTGGGGTAGGGGTGGCCTAAAACATTATAAGTATGAAAATGGACTAAACTCATTTGGGGTCCCTTAAGAGCCAATATGGTAGAGGAAAATGCATGAACTTGGAATAAGAAACCTGGATTTCAGATTTTAATTTTTATTACAAGGCTGTGGTACCTTAGATAACTTACCTGACCTTCCAGGGCCTCAGCTTCCTGCACACCTGTTATTGTGAGCTAGTTGGAACCATTTCTTATTCATCTCTACCCAGTGCTTATGAGAATGTGTGGCTCATAGTAACTATTTAATAAAAATTGGTTTAATAAGTAGATGTCTAATAAGTTATCAAAGAGATTGAGAAATGAACAAATATGAGAGTATGAATTATGTGAACTATATAATTCAAACAAGAGTTGTGTCTGAGAAGTGATGATGGAGTGAGAGTTGGCATGAGTTGGATCCAGGTGAGCTCTCAGGGAGCAGACAGGTAGCCATTATGGGAGACCTAAGAATAGAAGTCCCTTGTTTGCTGCTTGCTGGGATGGGACCATTTCCAGGACTGAGCCAGCAAAGAGTACAGGTGGGAAAGAGGAGCCACTGGAGGAATGAGAAGGAGATTAGTCCAGGGATTGTGGGAACAGAGAGAACAATGGTTTGCTACCATGTCAGTTTTTCTGGCTCATTCAAACATTTACATAAGCTTGTGAATTTCAAAATGGGGCCTCAAGAGGGTTTCAAGAAGGTTGTGGATATCTCACTTTTGGAGAGTGTCCCAACCTGCAATTACAGGAAGGTGTCCAGGCAATTGCTGCTGCCATTCTGTCATTATTCCTCCCAGGTATCATCTCCTTTCAGCTGCCTTAGATGTTTAGGACATAAAATATGTACCTAATCATTTCAGTCCTGGCAAAACAAACCATGTAAGTGCTAGTATGCTTTCTTGGGTGTCCTGGGATGGAAGGAAGTGGAGTGACAGGATGTGAGGGCTGCTTATGCCACTTTTCTGTTAACTGAGATTTAAACACAAAAATACAGTTTGCATATATTTTTAATATTTGGTATTTTAAAATGAAGTGATCTTTGTGGATATTACTCTACAGGTCTTCAAAAAGAATACTAAATTCTTGATGTTTTTTACCCAAAGTTAAAAAGAAATGATACTTCCCCTTTTGATTGGTACTGAAGTGGGCAGTCTCAGAGCACTGTCTAACATTGGGTTTATTCAAAGAAAAGGACAATGTGAAGAAGCACATCTTTGGATTTTGTAAACATGAAGTGCAAGGGCAAAAATAAGTGGCTGCTTCTCAAGTTATATGAGCTCTCTGGGTTAAGATTGTTCCTAGTCCAATAAAAGCCTCCTGTGCTAAGGTGCCACAGGAAAAATATGACTTTATGTTGATCTTATGAAGCAAATTAGCAATCACTATTTCTAATTTGAGTCAAGGATTTTTAAAAAAAAAAATGGTACCGAATATGCAATTAGGACCATGTTTTTGGCCAACATTCTTGATTCATTAAAAAAAACAGCAGAATTGGGGTCTTGCTCAGCTTCTTCTGTTTTGCAATTCAGGCAAATTGGTGAGCATCTTTTTTTAGTCTTTAGGGAATGACATGCTGGCACCAGATAATGTATACGGTTTCTTTCAGTTCTAAAGTTCCATTTTTTAAAAATTATTTTACTTTGCAATAGTTCATTTATTACTCTATAGTGATTCTAGTTTTTGTTGTTTACATTCCATTTTTAACTGAGTGCAAGCTCCTGGAGAGCCACTGTATCCAGTTTTTAAAAAATTTCCTAAACTGATGCACGTAGTGCTGCACATGCTGTAGACATTTGGATAACACTGTTGGAATTATCACATTATACTTAGTAGCTAGGTTTGAGTGTGTCTCCCTTTAAAAGTTTCATTTCCTTATATTCATCCCTGTAGAAAATGATGCTTTTAATGTACTTGGCACTCAATAAAAATTAGTAGAATTAATTTAATCATGAATGATTTGTTACACGTCTCCCCTACTGGCATTTTAAAGAAAAGTTGGAGACACTTTCATACATTTTCCTTAATAAATTTGTATTACAGTATTTATACCCCAATGAGCTATAAATCTTCAAAGCATTATGGTAAATTACTTTTCCGGGTGCACTGCAAGGTAGCCCAGAAATGGTAATGATCCCAAGAATTATTTCTGGTTATTAGGATAATCGCTGCAAAAACATTATCTAAGTAATCACTTTTTATCATGACAACACAGAATAAGACCAATTCCTTTGTATGTACATTGTGAGATAAAGAATTATACTGATAAGGGTGTCACCATTTTGAATATCATCACTGTCAGCATAATGTAAATTGTAGGCATCAGGTCAATTGGAATTAATTTTTCTCTTTCCTCCTAAATCAGTGGGACACATTAGAAACCCAGCAATAGTGTAAAAGTGGCATTATAGACAGAATGGAATCAAACAGCAAATAAGAATTATGAGAGCCTTACATGCTGTGGTACTTGGGGTGTATCCAAGTTAGGTTTTCTTAAAAATACTTGGCTAGAGAACTTGTGCCACATTCAGACTGTGTTCCAATTATGGTTAATCCAGTTGGGTATTTGTGATCTGATAAGTCAAAGTACTGTAATATTTTTATGTGCTATTTTAAGAAAAGAAAGTGCTTTGATATTATATGCTGTGGCACATAGAACATGCCTTCTTTCTCTCACTCTTTTTTCTAAATATCATGAAGTATTTAATACAGCCTAGGTTGCAAGGAGAATTTTAAAATCACTTTGTGTGTGTGTGTGTGTATGTGTATGTGTGTGTTTGCATGTGTGAAACGGGGTCTCACTCTGTGGCCCAGGCTGGGATGCAGTGGTGCGATGACGGTTCAATGCAGCCTCGACATCCTGGGCTCAAGTGATCCTCCCACCTTACCCTCCTGAGTAGCTGGGACTGCAGGCGTGCGCAGTCTGGGACCCCACCCCACTACTTTTTGTATATTTTGTAGACATGGAATTTCACCATGTTCCCAAGGCTGGTCTTGAACTCTTGAGCTCAAGTAATCTGCCTTCCTCAGTTTCCCAAAGTTCTGGGATTACAGGCACAAGCCAAAATGACTTTTTAATGTATAAGTAATATTAAGGTCAAGAACCACTTTAAATTAGTTTTGGAATGAAGCAGGTTATAAATATAAAAACATTAATAAAGAAAAAAATGCCCAATTCTACCACCAGGGCACAACTCTTCATTTTTCACTGTCCCCTGAAAATTTTGTTATAAGTTACTCATTTTAATTGTTGTAATCTTGTTTAACATATATGCATAATAGTTATATAACTACATAATGGTTTTTTTGACATTTTTTATTACATGAGACATGTTTATTAACATGAGACAATTATTTATTAAGCTTTTTCCTATTATTAGGTTGTTTCCCACTTTATCCTATTTATGCTCCAGTAGGAACATCCTAATACCAGTTAGTGTTCATCAAGTACTTATTTAGCCTTCCTATTAAGTTTATGACATCTTTAAACCTTAATTTTCTTATCTATGAAAATGGAATAATAATCTTTAATGGTTTTATAATGAAATACACATAGAGGGCTTAACTCAGTGCCTGGCACATGGTGAGAACTCTGCAAAGATATTTTCAACATCATTATCATAATCACTAACACTTAGTCTTCAGCTCTCCATTTTGAATGTCACTTTCTTTGGGAAGTCCTCTAAGTTTCATGAGCCTGGATTAGGTGCACCTATATGTATGCATAGCACTACCAAAATGGTCTTTTTATTATTTTATCATAATTGTATATTTTTATCATTTCATTCAGGCTGCTATAACAAAGTGCCATAGATTGGGTAGCTTATAAATAACAGGTTTATTTTCCAGTTCTTGAGGCAGAGAAGTCCAAGATCAAGGCTCCAGCAGACTTGGTGTCTGGTGAGGGCACAGTTTCTTGTTCACAGGTGGTGCCTTTTAGCTGTGTCTTTACTAAGTGGAAGGGGCAAGATAGCTCTCTGGGGCCTCTTTTACGAAAGCACTAATTCCTTCATGAGGGCCCCACCATCATGACCTAGTCAGTTCCCAAAGGCACCTAATTGCTAATGCTATCACAGTGGGGAAATTAGGTTTTTAACTGTGAATTTTGGGAGGTCGGGGGACACAAACTCTGACCATAGCATTCTTCTTGTCTGTTTCCCCTGCTGGATGGCACACTCTTGAAGGCCGGGACTTTCTCCTTTATATCATTGTATTTCCAGGATCTTCATCACGATGGTGCGTAGTAGTAGATGCTCATTCAAGGTTTATTGAATGAGTGAATGTTTTACTTAATTAAAACTTTGCATTGCATAGATTTATAACAATAAAGTTTTTCTTCTTTAGAGTTATGGAATAGTCAAAGAATGTTTTCTGTTACAGTCCACTGATGTCTGTGAACAGATCTTGAGGGTGGTGAGTAGGTCCAATCGACTGGAAGAATTGGTGTTGGAAAATGCTGGACTTAGAACGTGAGTATTTTCCTGAATATATAAATATGTTGCTTTAAAACTCTGTGCCATTTGCTCTTCTAATTAATTCATAGTTTTTTTTTTTTTTAATTGGGCTGATCACATATACAGCAATGTTTTTCCTTCTGGGAAAAAAATATCCCTATAATTGCCATCATCATGAAGGCTAAGAATTTGGTAACATCTCTTGATAACGGTGTCACTTGATATTTTTGAGAGTACATAGTATAGTTTTTAAGAGCATGGATCCTTGAGCCAGATGTCTCCTGGCCTTGCACAAGTTGTTTACGCTTTCTGTGCCTCATTCTCTTCACTCTTAAAATGGGGATAATAATAATGCCTATTTTATAGAATTAAAATTGCTAGGGTAAATGAATTAATATATTTAAAGTACTTGGCAAAGTGC
The DNA here is from genome assembly GCF_000001405.40 of Homo sapiens. Lineage (NCBI taxonomy): Eukaryota > Metazoa > Chordata > Mammalia > Primates > Hominidae > Homo > Homo sapiens. The sequence goes on from NC_000006.12 coordinate 25,471,664, forward strand.
CTTTTACTCTGTAGATGGTATATGTAGGTTTAATTATTATCGTTACTGGTGGTCATAGTGATAACATATTTCATATGACTTTACTGCTTTGCTTTGATCAGTTTTAGTCATTTTTTCTCCCTTTTCAGGTTAACACTTGCATAGTCTTTATCTAGTGGTTTAGTAGTCACTACCTAAGCCTACTGTTAAGAGCATAAGAGTTAGAACCTAGTAGAATAAAGATTTTACTGCTAAGTGAGGAGGGTTGACAGTTTCATAATCATAGCACTTAGTACATTATTTGAAGTTAAACATAACTAAAACAGTGGTTTTAATTTTTGCCAAAATGTAGCACTAGCAATTGTAACCTTTAAACTTAATAATTAGTGTAATCAGTTTTGCATTCACAATTGCATGGAATGAGAAATAAGATGTGGTGAATACTATAATTTTCATGAAAAGCAGGTTCAATCCAGGATTTTTTTTTTTTTTAAATTATGGAGGGGCCAGAAAGTACTGTTAATAGCACACAACAGAGTGCCTTTAAAGGGGCAATTGTATATTTTCTTTTTGCTTTTGGCCAATCAGAATGAACCGTTTTCTGGCTGTGGCTTTACAAATTCTCTAATGAGGTGTTAATGGGTATTAAGAAATATATGCTATATAGACTAATATTGTAAGGGAGGTTTCTCTATTTAGATTTCACTCTGTTCTAAGCTTTAAATGTTCCGTTCGAATGGTTTTACATTTTGTTATTTAATCTTATTGTTTTGTTTACACGCAGAGATTTTGCACAAAAACTGGCCAGTGCTCTAGCACATAATCCCAACTCAGGACTCCACACAATTAACCTTGCTGGCAACCCACTGGAGGATAGAGGTACTGCAGAGTTCTCATTATCATTGATGCCAGAATTGTAAGAGGATTAGAGAATTTTAATTTAGCCATGCCTGAAGAGCTGTATCAAGCTAAGTTGTAATTATAAGTGCTGTTAATGGTCCTGTTGGCTTCCAGTTCTTTCCACCCTTTCATATAAATGCTTATGTTACAATTGTATGATCTGCTTCACCTTTTTTGAAGTGAAACAAAAGGAAAGGAAGATATTATTTTTAATATGTTTTATTAGTTACATAGTCCTGCATAACAAATTACCACATACTTGGCAGCTTAAAATGATACAAATTTATTATCTCATACTGTCCTTGGCTCAGGAGTCTGGGTACGGGTTAGCTGGGTTCTGTGCTCTGGGTCTGTCTCTCAAGACAAGGCAAGTTGTCAGCAAGGGTTGTGCTCTCATCTGTAACCTGGAGTCCTCCTTAAGTTCACTGGTTATTGGTGGAATTAATTTCCTTGGAGCTATAAGCTCGATGTCCCCAGTTTCTTACTAGCTGTCAGTGGGCACCACTCCCACCTCCTAGAGGCTGTGCTCCTAGAATGGTTCTTGCCATGTGACCCCCCTATCTCACAACACAGAAGTTTGCTTTGTGTGTGAGGCCAGCTGGAGTACATCTCTCTGATGCTTTAGTTTCTTTTAAACAGTTCACCTGACTGCATCAGGCCCACCCGTGACAATTTCCCTGTTTTTCATGAACTCAAAGTCAAGTGATTAGTAACCTAATCATGGTAGGGATGTCTCATTACTGTTGACCCTTGAACGACACAAGAGTTAGGGGCACTGACCCCAAGCAACCAAAAATTCACATGTAACTTTTGACTCCCTCAAAACTTAACTACTAATAGCAGGGTTGACTGGAAGCCTTGCCAATAAAAAGTTGACTAACATGTATTTTGTATGTTATATGTATTATATATTGTATTCTTTAAGCTAAATAAAATTTTATTAAGAAAATCATAAGAATAAGAAAATATATTTCCTGTTCATTAAGTGGAAGTAGATCATCATAAAGGTCTTTATCTTGGTCATCTTCACATTGACTAGGCTGAGGAGAAGGAGGAAGAAAAGAAGGCCTTAATCTTGCTGTGTCAGCAGTGGCAGAGGTGGAGAAAAATCCACACGGAAGTGGACCAGTGCAGTTCAAACCCATGTTGTTCAAGAGTCAACAGTATATTTACTGCTCCCCACCCCCATATTCAAGGAAATTGCACAGGGCGTATACACCCGGGGGTGAGAATCTTGGGGACTATCTTAGAATTCTATTTACCACTATTATCTTTTAATATTTAACAAGATTTGAGTGTGAGAATAGGGAAAGGATGAAGGACTGTAGTTCACGAAGAGTCAGAACATTTTATTAAAAGTGTTTGCATGGGTAGAGAGAGGAGTCAGTAGGTTTAGAAAGGGAAACTTGAGAATTTGAATTCTTAGTAGAACACTGATGGACAAGGTTTAAGAAGGAATTGGTTTATCTCTAGTGGGACTATTTTGTTTTCATTTTCTGTTGCAAATGTTTTCCAGGTTTGTTGAATAAGGCCTTTCACCTTTCAATGTTATATTTGATGAGTATTAATTTTTTTTTTTTTTTGAGAAGGAGTCTTGCTTTGTCCCCCAGGCTGGAGTGCAGTGGCGCGATCTTGGCTCACCGCAAGCTCTGCCTCCCAGGTTCATGCCATTCTCCTGCCTCAGCCTCCCGAGTAGCTGGGACTACAGGTGCCCACCACCATGCCCAGCTAATTTTTTGTATTTTTTTTTTTTTAGTAGAGATGGGGTTTCACCGTGTTAGCCAGGTTGGTCTCGAACTCCTGACCTCGTGATCCACCCACCTCGGCCTCCCAAAGTGCTGGGATTACAGGCGTGAGCCACCGCACCCAGCTGAGTATTAATTATTAAACTGAGCTGAATATATGATATAGATGTTCAGTTTTTCTTTTTGTCCTTAATATGGTTATTGTTCTGTGCTGACAAAGATACCTAGGTTGTATTCAAGCAAAAATCTCCAGCGTAACTTGTCATCATCTAAAGTAGTGAATCTACAGGAAGGTTGAGACTGAATTAGAAAACTAGATCACGCAAAAAGTACCCTCATAGAATAAGCCAAAGCTGAAATTAATGGACGCATAGTAATGGAATAGGAGTTTCTCTAGGGTATACTCAATTCTTAGGAAAAACAAATGTTTCTCTATTAGATACTACAGAGAGGTGAATGTGACAAAGTAGAAATCATGGTGATCACTGTTTATAGGAGGGCTATTTTTGGTTTTGTTTTTAAAATGGGAAGGATTCAGTCATATTTATCGACAGACAAGAAAAAATCTCTAGAGGGAGGTAGTTGTTTGAGGAAGGTTCTTAAGCAAATGAAATCTAGAGTTAAGATGGACCAGGAAGGGGACACTTCTCAGTGTTTAGAGAAATGCAAATCAAAGCCACAGTGAGGTACCATTTCAAAAGCAGTAGTGTGGCAATAATCAAAATAAGTCTTAGAAAGGATGTGAAGAAATGGAAACTCCTACATTGCTGGTGGGAGTGTAAAATGGTACAGCCACATGCAAAACATGTTAGATAGTTTCTTAAAAAGTTAAACTTGGCTGGGCGTGGTGGCTCACGCCTGTAATCCCAGCACTTTGGGAGGCCGAGGTGGGTGGATCACGAAGTCAGGAGATCGAGACCATCCTGGCTAACACTGTGAAACCCTGTCTCTACTAAAATACAAAGTATTAGCTGGGCGTGGTGGCAGGCACCTGTAGTCCCAGCTACTCGGGAGGCTGAGGCAGGAGAATGGTGACTGGGGAGGCAGAGCTTGCAGTGAGCCAAGATCGAGCCACTGCATTCTAGCCTGGGTGAGAGAGTGAGACTCCGTCTCAAAAAAAAAAAAAAAAGTTAAACTCAAATCTGCCATATAACCCAGAAATTCCACTCCTAGTTTTATCACCAAAGAGAAAGGAGACTTAGGTCCACACAGAGACTTGTGAATGAATGTTTGTAGCAGTATTAGTTATAATAGTCAAAAAGTAGAAACAATCCAAATGTTCATCACTGGAGAGTGGTTACATAAAATGCGGTATATATAATATGTGCACTGGAATACTACTCAAAAGAGAATGGAATTCTGACACATGCCACATCATGGATGAACCTCAAAAACACTGTTGAGTGAAAGAAGCTAGACTTAAAACACCACACATTGTTTGGGGAGATGGAAGAGGAAGAATGAATTTGAGGCCCTTTGTTTTCTCTCCCGTTGTCCGCTTCATGTTCTCTGAGGTGCAGCCACATTAGACAACTTGTCACCACAGGTGCAGTTTCTTCTGTCTTGCCCTCACTTTGGAGCTCCTGTGCAAACTTCCATAATAGCACTTACTTCATTCTGCCCACATGAGAACTAGAGGTGGACATTTCTTCCCTCATGCTTCAGCACCTTGCTTCCTCTCATCCCCACCTTCTGGGTTTTCTGTCTCCCCTTCCTTCTTTCCTAAGATGCAAAGTGTCTAGTGTAAGACTTCGTCCACAATCAACAAATATTTTCTTTAAATCGAATTTGATTGATTTGATTTTATTCAATCTTAATGCTCTTGTATAGTTTTTTTATTTGCACTTGAAAATTACGGTGAAGTTTGAGAGATTTGTTTTGGATAGAGTCAGACCATGTGTTCAAAGATGATGTTTGCCTACTTTTTCCCTCTGCTTTCCTACTCCTGAGACCTGACTTTGTGTCCTTTTATCTAGCTGCGTCCCATTCACCAGTGCTGTCATCATGAATCATTCCAAGGATAGCCTTGAATGCTCCTGCCAAGTCTGTTGTGTGGTTTCTGCTCACATACCCTCAAATTTTGACATCCTGGAAATATTTTCGCAGACCAAGACTTTTCTCATTTCTGCCTCTTCTAAATTCATTCATTGCTGTATTTGCCAGTGCTCACAGGCAACTGCCAACATTCATATCTCCCACCTTTCTTTACTCTTGGGGATGAGCCTCCTGAACACAAATTCTTTATTCTTTTCATTCAGGCTAAATACCTGAAGATGATTGGTAGCTTTTCTGCTCATGGATGGAAATTCCACAAGAAATCTAATTGAGTGTAAAATATTTATTGAAATTTCAATCTAGAGAAAACTTTTAGTAATTTTTGTTCCCAAGCTTTTCAGTGATGGTATTTTGTGTTTAAAACTAATAAAAAGGGTGAATGAGAGGTCTATAATTAAGTTATACAGGATATAAAAAACACTAAGCCAGGACTATTATTTGTAAGGAAGCTCAAAGAAATACAAGGGCCTGGGCGCGGTGGCTCACGACTGTAATCCCAGCACTTTGGGAGGCTGAGGCTAGCGGATCATGAGGTCAGGAGATTGAGACCATCCTGGTCAATGTGGTGAAACCCCATCTCTACTAAAAATACAAACATTAGCTGGGTGTGGTGGTGTGTGCCTGTAATCCCAGCTACTCGAGAGGCTGAGGCAGGAGAATCGCTTGAATCAGGGAGTCAGAGGTTGCAGTGAGCCGAGATTGTGTCACTGCACTCCAGCCTGGCGACTGAGAGAAATTCCGTCTCAAAAAAAAAAAAAAACAAAAAACAAACAACAACAAAAAAAAAACAAGGGAGATAAGGTCTTAACAGTTAAGTGGCCAGGAATTCTGAGGAATTTAAACAGCAAATGGAATGTGGTTTTGTACCTAAACCTTCCACTCAGGGACTTATTTGGAAACTCTCAAAGAGTTGTATGATATGAATGTTGATGCAGCAAATCTCTGTTATTTTCACATCTATGTACAGAGGACCAGGCCTGCAGTCTTCTGATTGCTGAGGGGGTTGTGGTAAAGGAGGTTCGAGTATGACTTAGTAAGCAGAGGTATAATGTGTATGAGTAATCCTTCAAATGCTAGATACCCTCCTGCTCTCTTTCTGCAAGAGCAACACAAGATGGTGAACAGACCACACACATACACAAGCTATTCTTATCCTTGTTGCCAGGCCATGCCTGTTCACCAGCTTGCTCTTGGTCTTCATCTAACACAGTGTTTTTTTGGACTGTGGGTGAAGACCCATTAGCTGGCTGTGAAATCAATTTAATAGTTCATGACAAGCAATTTTTTTTTTTTAAAGCAGTGGAATAGAACAGAAAATGTCAGAGTACATTGTTCAGGGGAAACTTTAGTTTTAGTTTTCTAATACTAATATATGTGTGTACATTTATGCTTTACTTCTCTAAGCATTGCAAATTCTGTGTTCTGTTTTTCCTAGTTATCTGTCCCAATTACCTTAGTTTTTATGATTTCAGCCTTTTCAGAAATGTCTGTCCTCACTTCTTCTCATCACTTTTTTTTTTTTTTTTTTTTTGAGACAAGGTCTCACTCTGTTGCCCAGGCTGGAGTATGGTGGTGTAATAATGGCTCACTGCAACCTCCATTTCCTGGGCTCAAGCCATCCTCCCCACTCAGTCTCCCAAGTAGCTGGGATTGCAGGTGTGCACTACCACACCTGGCTAATTTTTAAATTTTTTTTTGTAGTGATGTGGTCTCACTCTGTTGCCCAGGCTTCTCCACTCACTCTATTCAAAATTCGATTATTTCATTTAGACACCATTTAGAATCCTAGCTCTAGTGTTTTTTGTTGACCTGAAGTACGCTCATATTTTTTCCCAGCTATTTGGTGGTGGCTCTGATTTGATCTTCTAAATAAGACAAGAGACTTATAGATTCTAGGATTGCTGCTTACTTTTCTTGGTGTTTTAGGTCTTTCATGTCTCAGTGTATATCAGTGAGTCCCAGAGTCGAAACACATGGGTTTAATTCCTGGCTTCACAGCTTTCTAGCTAAGTGTTCTTGGACAAGTTACCTACCTTCTCTGTACCTCAGCTTCCTTATATTAAAAATACAATGATAGTACCTACCAAATAAGAATGTTCTAAGGATTAAATGAAATAATTGATATTTTTATGGTTAAACAGGTAAAGCAATATTTTAAAAATGGCATAGATTGGCTGGGCACGGTGGCTCACGCCTATAATCCTAGCACTTTGGGAGGCCGAGGCGGGCAGATCACAAGGTCAGGAGATCAAGACCATCCTGGCTAACACAGTGAAACCCCGTCTTTACTAAAAATACAAAAAATTAGCCGAGCGTGGTGGCACGTGCCTGTAGTCTCAGCTACTCGGGAGGCTGAGGCAGGAGATTCCCTTGAACCTGGGAGGAGGAGGTTGCAGTGAGCCGAGATCGCGCCTCTGCACTCCAGCCTGGGTGACAGAGTGGGACTCCATCTTGGGGAAAAAAAAAAAGGGCATAGATTTAGATTTAGGGCGTTTAAAAGTTGGAAGTATTGACTCAATTTTTTCCAGTATGCCTATATTCTTATACTCTTGGTTCTAAGTCTTTTCCTCTCAGCCTTATTTTTGAAATGGAAATACTTCATTGTATTTTGCTTTTTCACTTACTTTCCTTAGTGTTTCTGAACTCTCCAGGAAAGTTATAGAATTGGTAGAAATGTAAAAATTTTTACTCACCTGTGCTCTGACATCCACAATGTTCCAATGTGTATGCTTTCTAACAGAGAAGAGGCCTTTTGTTTCTCCCAGAAACCACTACCAAGATCAAGAGACAGAATGTTCCCACCGTTCTCCAGACTTACCTTGTGGTTTGCCCCAGTGATTACCAGCCCTGTCCTCTACCACTTGGAAAAGATAACTACTATTCTGACTTCTCTCATGATGGATGAGCTTTGCCTGTTCTTTGCCTATGTACTCCTTTGTGTGTGGCTTCTTTTGCTTCTCTTTGTGGAGAGATTTTTTAATAATAGATTTGTTTCCTTGAATAGATAGAGAACTATTGAGATTATTTACTTCTTCTTAAATTAGTTTTGGTCTGTCATGTTTTTCATAAGGGATTTGTTCCTTTCTATTAAAATGATAGTTTTTTGACTTACAGATGTGTTTATACCCTCGAGTTATAATTCAACGCCTGTAAGATCTTTACATTCTCTTTTCATTTGATTTTGATAATTTGATCTCTGTTTCTCATTTATTTATTTTACCAGTCTTGTTGGAGTTTATTAATTTTGTTAGTATTTTTAAAGAACCAACTTTGTTAAATTTACTTATTTTTATGGCTGCTATCTATTTAACTGGATTCTTCCCTTTTTCTTATTTTTTTTCCTTCCTTCTGTTTACAGAGGTGGGTGAGGATTAATTTGCTGTTTTTTGAGCTGGATAATTAGATAATTATTTTCCAGTTTTTTATCTTTCTTAAAATATGTATTTAGGTCTATTGATTTCTCTCTAGGCATGGCTCTAGTTAGATCCCAAAGATTTTAATACCATAGTTTTTAGATTTAACTCAAAATATTTTTAAAATTCCCACTGTGATTTTTGACTCTTTTGTTATTTAGAAATATATTGCTTAAGTTATAATTATTTGGGGATTTTCTAATTATCTTATTGTTATAATTCCTATTTTAACTGCAGTAGTGGTAACAGAGAACATACAAATATTCTGTGTATGAATTCACAGTACTAAGGAACATTCTGTTATTTGTTGAGACTTTCTTTATGGCTCAGTATATGATTCCTTTTGGAAAATATTTAGTGTGGACTTTGAAGAAATGTATTCTGTAGTTACTGGGTACAGCATTTTAAATATATCAGTTATATCTTTTTTCATTATGATCTTGATATTTTCTATATCTTTACTGACTTTTTCTGTTCATTTATTAGCTACTAATAGAAGTGTGTTAGAAAACTTCCATTATTATATATGCGTGTGTGTTTATGTAATATGTGTATTTTCCTTTTGTTACTGTCAGATTTACTTTATATATTTTCAGATGATGTTAATCAGAGCATAGATTTAGAGTAATTGTATCTTCTTAATTAATGAAATATTCCATTTATCTTTAGTAATGTTTCTTAAAATTTAAATTGTCTTATTGCAGCTACATCAGATTTCTTTTAGTTAGTGTTTGTAGCATATCTTTTTTCGCTTTTACGTTCACTTCTGAATACATGTATCTCTAGGTGTATCTCTTGAAAACATTTGATATTTTTATTCAAATAAATCATCTTTGACTTGTAATTTGAGTCTTTATATTTATATAATAATATTTTTAAATAAAATAAATTTAAATTATTTATATTTAATTTAAATTTATATTTAATGTAATCATTGAAATATTGGGTGAAAATCTGTATTACTATTTGTTTCCTTTTTTTTTTTTTTTTTTTGAGTTGGAGTCTTGCTGTGTTACCCAGGCTGGCGCGATCTCGGCTCACTGCAATCTCCACCTCCTGAGTTCACGCCATTCTCCTGCCTCAGCCTCCGGAGTAGTTGGAACTACCCGCGCCCGCCACCACGCCCGGCTAATTTTTTGTATTTTTAGTAGAAACGGGGTTTCACCGTGTTAGCCAGGATGGTCTCGATCTCCTGACCTTGTGATCCGCCCTCCTCGGCCTCCCAAAGTGCTGGTCCATTTTTTTATTTGTCCCCTTTTTTCCTCTCTTTTTTGCCTTTTAGATTAATCAAGTTTTAACAGTTATTCTGTCTTCCCCCCTTTCCCACATCAACTTGTTAGTCACTTATTTTTTTTTTTTACAAGAGTGTATCAGCTAAATATCAAGGCTGCCCTCTTTTTGTAATTTACAAAATGGATTAGCATACTCAAGTCTCTAGAAATACTCCGATAAAAACCTGTTTAACATGATTTAATCCAGTGATTTTCAAACTTCTTTGACTGTGGAAACACAGTGGGGAAATAGAGGCTCCCAGAACACCCACTGTTCTAGGGGAAAAGCCCATGTAGAGGCTTAGTCTAGCTGCATGACCTCCATGTTGTTTCTTAGAAGTTGTGATAAGATTTGTAGATAATTTGGGGTTATATAAGGGCAGCAACCAGCACAGTAATTTCTTATTGCTGCCTGAAGCTTGATAATTAGTCTAAGGGAACAGGAATTAACATTGTTTAAGGAGCCTTCTCAAGAACATGCCCCTGGGGAAATGATGGCTCATCCATAGCAGGAGGTCAGTTGAAGGACCTGTATGAAGGGCATACGTTTGTGTATTACTTATTTCCTCCCAGAAAACAGTCTATGCTCATTGCAGTCCTTGGATGGGTGAGCTGGTGTTCCCAATCTCCCACTCTGGTTATTAAATTTAGAAGATATCTGATTTTAAATACCATAAATTCCTGGTGAGTTATCCAAAGTTACAAAATCTACTTTTAAGAAGTTAAAACATGCTCCGAAGCTCTGTATGAGGTTGTTAGCTATAAGCCAATTAAGTATAGGAATCCATCTGCCATTATCAGAATAGTTAATATTACTCCATTCTTCTTGGCAATAATTAAATATCATACATCCGCTCATCTAGAAGAGCGATCAACTCATTAAGACAGGTTAAAAAGAAAAGGGGTTAACAATTATCCTTTCCAAGAGGATTTGCATTTTAAATAGAACTGTGAGAAAAAGAGTGACACGTGGCCCCAAGAAAAGTATCTCCAATGGAAAAGTTTCAGATATTGTATGCCTAATAAGACAATCTTCCCCTTCTCTTACCCTGTAGGTAGGACAGAAAGAAAAGGGGACTTGATGGTAAATGTTTAGAAAACAAAGTCTGATATTAGAAAGAAAAATATGATCACTTCAGTCAGAATCAAAATTAAGTTAATTTTCATCCATTGTAAAAAATGCAATTCTGAGAACTTGAAAATTCTAATCGCTTCTTTTTCCTTTCTCAGGTGTGTCCTCTTTAAGTATTCAATTTGCCAAACTCCCAAAGGGATTAAAGCACTTAAATTTATCTAAAACCTCATTATCACCTAAAGGTACAGTATTTCTTATTTACCTAAGAGTGTGTCTGAAATATTTCTGCTGCACCTGCTACCTTAGTTAGAATTATTTGTTACATTTAAAAATACATTAAAAAAATACATTTAAAATATATGTATTATATTACTCTGGCAGTTTGAAGATAAAGACTTTATGTAATTCAATTTTTGATGCTCTGCAGTGAAGTGCTGTCAGAGCAGAGAGTAATTTTGACATGTACATGCAGTCTTTAACTTTTAAAACTTTGAGTCAGGGAACACTTGCCTGTCTGCCTCTGCCCTCCTGCCTCACATTCCAAGATGCACCTGGTTGTGTTTCTCTTGGTTCAACAAGTTGGCCTTTCTAACTGTCAGATAGACTGTCTGCTTTACAGAAAACTGTTGGGCTTAACTTGTGAATCACCACTGTAGCTCCACTCCTTGTAGTTCTGTCTTTAGAGATTTCCTTATCTTCTCTCCAGGTCAGTTCCTAACTTCACTCACCTTCATTTTTTCCATCAAATCCTGTCAATTCATTATTATTTTGCCACAGCAGCACCTCAATAATAATATTAGAAATTATCCTGCATTCTTTGTGCCTTTGTGTATCTTCACATTTTGCCCTGGATGCCTGAAAATTTTTTTTTAATCCCCAAATAGAGAGGTTCAGTTTGTTTTATAAAACTGTTTATCTGTGATAAACTCTGCTGAGATGTGTTCCCTCTTCCCAAGGCCATACAGAATCAATGAGTGTTCCCTTTGTATTACTTCAAGATCACATATGTAACATTATTGCATAAATATTGTGTCTTTCCTGCTACACTGGGGCTCTCCTTGTGGCCTGTGCTTCTCTCTATTTATCTGCAGCACCTGGCACTGTGCCTGGACTACTGTTTAACAAAAGTTTCTTGAACATCTTGCCATTTCTTAAGAAAGCCACTGTCTTTTGGAAACAGTATGTATAGTGGTTGAAAGTGTCAGTTCTGTAGTCAGATTGCCGAAGGTTGAATTCTGACTTTTCTACTTATGTATGAACATGCATTTATAATGTCTTTGCTCCCAGATGCCTCATTTGTAAGACAGAAATAACACTATCTTATTTCTACACAGGTAGAGTTAAATGATTTAATATACATATAGTATGGTTTCTGTCACAAAGTGCTTAGTAAACTGCTACCATCACCCCCACCAGTACCGGCACCACCACCACCACCATCATCATAATTATCATCATCCTGAGCTGTCTTATGTTTTTATATGCCTCAGTTTCTACCTGGAGCAACCTTAGTGTCCTTACCTGGAATGTCTCATGAATTACCATGCATCCTATGCAGATTCAGCTTCTATCTCTGTCTCAAAAAAAAAAAAAAAAAAAATGGAGGTAGATTAAAAAAAAAATCCGAGGTGGATTGAAAAAAAGTCGGAGGTGGATTTTTAAATTTTATTTATTTATTTTTTTGGAGACAGGGTCTTGCTCTGTCACCTAGGCTGGAGTGCAGTGGTACGATCTTGGCTTATTGCAGCCTCAACCTCCTGGGCTCAAGCGATCCTCCCGCCTCAGCCCCCCAAGTAGCTGGGACCACAAGCGTGCACTACCACACCCTGCTAATTTTTTTGTAGAGACAGAGTTTCCATGTTCCGTGGCCAGTCTCGAACTCCTGAGCTCAAGCGATCTGCCTGCCTCAGCCTCCCAAAGTGCTGGGATTACATGCATGAGCTACTGAGCCTGGCTGCTTCTATCTCACTTTCTCTTTGAAATGTTCTCAGACAACCCCCTCTCACCACACCCTGTATGACTAGATGCTCCTTTCTCTGTGTTCCTTAGCCCTGTGTAAATTCCTCTATCTTAGCATGTGTCCATCACATTTGATTGTGTCTTAGCCTGTACATTTCTGGACAATAAGGGCTTTGCCTCGTTCATTGCTGTGTCCTGGCACTTCTCAGTCTCTCACGGAATGTGCCTTGGATAAATGAGTGAAGCAAAGTCATCCCTTGATGATTTTATATCCATGCCATCATACACTATTCTGAACATGCAGTTAAATTAAGAATGGTTTGAAATTGAGATTAGTTCCGTAAGTCCCATGATTTTATGTGCACACATTTATACACACATATTTAAGATTAAGGCATGAAAATAAATTACCAAAGGGATTTCCCCAGGAGTCAGTGTTTTCAGACCTATTGCCTGAAGCCATCTACAGATCTTACAGCTAAGTTTAACTCCTTTACATTATCACTGTTCCACTTCAGCAAATCCATTTTATATAAACCTTTTTCTGATAATTATCAATGTAGTACACATTTATGGTAAAGATTTAGAAGATGCTAAAAAGTATAAATAAGAAGGCAAACCCCCTCCAAACTCCCTTGTTCCTTAGTCCTTTGTATTTCTTTTAGGGAAATCACTAAGTTTACATCCTTTGTTAGTTTTCTGTTTATAGTGTTAATCTATTTTTAAAAAAGTTTATATGACTTGTGTACATATTAAAAGCATTCATTATTGATTGTGTGCTCCATAGGTCTAGTTTAAGTCGTTTATAAGATAAAGGTGGTTTTTAAAAACCTGATTATATGAATTACATCTGTAATTCTAGCCACCCAGGAGGCTGAGGTGGGAGGATGCTTGAGCTCAGGAGTTTCAGGTTGCAGTGAGCTATGACAGGGCCACTGCACTCCAGCCTGGGTGACAGAGTGAGAACCTGTCTCTTAAAACGAAAACAAAAACAAAAAAATGATTATATTAATAATTCTTGATTATATTTATTTTAATTCATTTGTTCATTACTATATAACAAATAAAAGGATGTAGTCATCATTTATCCTTTCAAGGGCAAGTTTGGTTCTGAGGACCTTCAGTGCCACCTCTCCCTGATGTTCCTGTCCCTTTTAGTGTGGTAACAGTGGGGAGGTCCTACGGGCAAAGCTGGGCTTCTCCACCTCCTTACGATGAGGACAGCCCCACGTTGCCTGTACCCTTTACAAATAAGGGTCCTCCCATTTATCTTTTACCTGCAATAAAATATGTATATATTAAAATACATGTTTTGGGAATTAACATTGTTTTATAACATGACTTGAAGAATTTTTATCTTATTTTATTTTATTTAGACGGAGTCTCGCTCTGTCGCTCGGGCTGGAGTGCAGTTGCACGATCTTGGCTCACTTGCATGATCTTGGCTCACTGCAACCTCCACCTCCAGGGTTCAAGCGATTCTCTTGCCTCAGCCTCCCGAGTAGCTGGGATTACAGGCATGTGCCACCACGCCCAGCTAATTTTTGTATTTTTAGTAGAGATGAGTTTTCGCCATGTTGGCTAGGCTGGTCTCAAATTCCTGACCTCAGGTGATCCATCTGCCTCAGCCTCCCAAAGTGCTGGGATTACAGGCATGAGCCACCATGCCTGGCCTGAATAATTTCAAATTGCCCTAAGACAAAAATATCTTGAAATGTTTGTTTATTTATTTATTTTTTTAAATTGACTTCTTGAAGTATTTTACATAGGATCTGAAAGATTCGCAGTTTTAAAATGACTGGAGTTACATTGCAGTGTTAAGCTTCTGGTGAATTTGACTAGCATTTATATTCATGGCTCGATAACGCAAGACAGATTAAAAAAAAAAAAAACTCCCCATGACATCACCACTGCCTCCAAATACCCTTTCTTTATCTCATATGTTAGCTAACTGATAGTTTTCTGGATTTCTAGCAAATGTCCTGCTGGTTGCCAGATTATGTCAAGGCAGAACCATCTGGTACCACCTTTTTCCAGCTGTAAACACTGCAATAATAAGTAACAGAATGGTCAAAATCACTAGACAGCCAGAATCGAGAAAGGCATGTAAATGTGTTTAGTTAGGGCTGTAAGAGCCTTGATTTTTTTTCAATTCTATACTTTTATAATTCTCCACTCTTCGTGGGCTTATTAACACAGGCCTCATGTGAGCATGGGATTAGGGGGCAGCTGAGGAAATCCTTCATGCTGTTTCAGTAGCATGAAGCTGAGCTGATAACATGATGCTCTCTCGAGTCTATTCAGATGTTGGACAACTGCCAAGCGCCCGCACTTGTCCAGGAGCATTTTGCTGTCAGGACTAATTTAGCCTTCTATTTTGGGAATTTATTTATTGAGTTTTGTTATACCTCACTAAGGAAATGATTTTACAAATGATTTTCTTGATGAGAATCTGGTATTGGCCCTATGTTTTGGACTTAGTTATTCCATTAAAAAATACATTAATACTAATATCGGGACAAACTAAAGGAAGTTGGTCGTTTAAACAGTTATAGAAGATAACCTCCAGAAAATAACCTTTTTTTATAAGCCACCATACGTTTCTCTTATCTAACACAATTAATCAAATTTCCTCCTCCTCTACTGCCAAGCTTTTGTTCTTGCCCCATTGATAATTATTGCCTCACTGGGTAGTGATTATTCAGCTGTCTGTGTCTCCTGCTCCACTGGCCTTCAGTGAGTAAGATGGTATCTCAGAAGACCCTGCCTGGTACACAGTAGGATTTCCATAAAGGTTTATTGAAATGAATATTCCTTGTGTGGCACTGACTTTTCATTGTAGAGTCTAATTAAGTTTTTCCCTAATGGTCTTTGCAATTTTTGAGGGTAAAAAAAAAATGATCTTATTTATATTTTAATTCCCAGCATTTTGTTAGCATTCAGTAAATGGTGAGTTGACAGCCAAGAAGTTTTTTGCACTTAAATATTTTTTATTCGAAGTCTCGGTCTCCTGTATACCCACCCAAATGTGCGCCCACTTTGAGAAATGGCTCAGTAGCCTTTATCAGACACACACTAGAATCAGTTTATTATAACTCTCTGAAGCTGGAGAAGACAATGGCCTCTTTATCAGCCCCATACTGAACGTTCTAAGCTCACAGCAGGGAGGTGCTCCAGTGGAAGGCTGCACCTGCACCCCACAGCTCTTGTAGTACCTTCATCGGATCCTGCTGCTATGACCAGAACTGGCTCTTACTGGCAGACCTGACCTTGGCCCCTCTTCTCCATGAAGGGTCTGCCCAAATGTGGAGGGGAAAGAAAACCTTTTCCTGGTTCTTTAGAGTAGTTGACTTACTTGAGTCTCCATTTGATAGGTTGAGATTTTCAAAAAATTTTGCTGAAAAATAAGAAAAACAAAATAATTTATAAAAGGATACCCAATTAAGAAATAGCCATATTTCTAAAATATATAATTTGGAACCATGGACTTTTGGTAGAAACATGAAGAGCTTTGCTATCTCGCACATTCCCATTATGCTAAGTAAAATCATCAGTGCTGTGATGAGTGATTGAGTCTCAGTGAGTGATTAGACCCTTCTGGGCTCCCATTTTATAATGACACACCTCAAAGAGCTCCTTTTCCCTTCTGAAAAGAAATGGCCCCCTAGACAACCATGACTAGCAGGCCTGTCAATAACTGTTACCCACCTATAAGAGAACTTAGTTCTATCCATACAGGATAAGCAGCCTCCTCACATATTCATTCTTTGTTTTCTGAGGTGAATTTGTCAGTTTAGTTCAGTTTATGTTAATTTGAGCCATTTATGTTATGTATGTAAAGAGTGTATAGAGTGCTAATTATACATTTTTCCTTATGATTGCATCTTACATGGTATACAGATCATCTCCTCATTCTTTGTGAAATCCATTTTAATCCAAATGTTTCCTTGAATGTAATACATTTAAGAAGAGCTGTCTACTTCTCTTTTTAACTTCCCAATACTTTAAATAGCCTAAATTATCTGAACTTGGACATGCATCATTTAAACACCAGGCACTAACTCAAGAATCACCTGGCAGGATTAAGAGAAGGATAAACATTGTCAACTAGATTGCTTTCATCATTCTAAGGCTTCAGATTAAAATCCTTTCTGTCCTTGGACACATCAGAAGACATGGATCAAAGGGAAGCCAATTCATTACTCCTTCTGATTCAGTGAGGGGGTTGTGTCTTTGACCAACCTGTTCTTCCTGAGGGTGTATCAAAAGGAGACACAATCATAGCGCCACCTTTCAGGGACAGTGCTCATGGTTAACCTCAGTCCTGCAATTTGATGGAAGTGTTGGGCCATTTATAGAAACACAAACCTCATTTTGTTTCCTGGAGTGCAAACTGAGCCTGGATTTTCTTGATGTTGCAGGGGTGAACAGCCTTTCTCAGTCACTCAGTGCCAATCCATTGACCGCCTCTACCCTTGTCCACCTCGACCTCTCAGGGAACGTCCTTCGTGGAGATGACCTCTCAGTAAGTTTTCTTTTCTTTATTCCATCTTCGAAGAAGCTGTGTTTAATAAGCCTGGAATAATTCTAAACATGTCTTTGTAGTGCATTTTCCTGCCTCTCTCTTTGTCATGACACCTTTGAATCATTTAGTTACGAGCTTATGAAGTGTTTTACTGAAAATTCCAGAGCATTCGTTAATTAAATGTCATATATCACCACAATTATTTTTTTTTCTCATTTAGTGATGCTGAAGTTCACATTTTTTTGGAAGTAATGCTGTTGAAGAATTTTTTTCTTCATTTAAAAACATTAGCTTACAGGGACCAGGCATGGTGGCTCACACCTGTAATCCCAGCACTTTGGGAGGCTGAGGCAGGCAGATCACGAGGTCAGGAGATCGAGACCAGCCTGGCCAACATGGTGAAACCCCATCTCTACTAAAAATACAAAAATTAGCCAAGCATGGTGGCACTTGCCTGTAGTCCCAGGTACTCAGGAGGCTGAGGCAGGAGAAGTGCTTGAACCCTGGAGGCGGAGGTTGTGGTGAGCCGAGATTACACCACTGCACTCCAGCCTGGGCGACAGTGTGAGTCTCCGTATCAAACAATAACAACAACAACAACAACAAAAACCCATTAGCTTACAGGTTAAAATTGCCTGGTAAGGAAGATTGGGCACATTAACTGAACTTTCTCATTATTATTATTGTTACTGGGAAGACTGATGGTTATAGGTTACAATTGAAAGGGAGTATTGGGATAAACCTGAGCACTCGTCTATTCCGTGAATAAAATAGGGAGAAGAGTGGTC
Source organism: Homo sapiens (assembly GCF_000001405.40). Taxonomy (NCBI): domain Eukaryota; kingdom Metazoa; phylum Chordata; class Mammalia; order Primates; family Hominidae; genus Homo; species Homo sapiens. The sequence continues at coordinate 25,489,374 of NC_000006.12, forward strand.
AACATATAACCTGGGGCCATTTCTTCGGAGTTTGAATATGAAGGCAAAAACTACTCTCTCAATTATAATAAAATTTTTAATGTAACTGAATCAATAATGTAATATTTGGCAGATCTTTGACACAGTGGATTAGGTATTATCTCATTTCCATATGTGGCAAATGATCCCCTCTAGTCACCAAGATAGAATTGTTTCTTTAACAACATGGCCTACACCCAGCGGCCATCTTTGAATGGCCTTAATTTGCATTCCACTGCTTTGCCACAGGGCTGAAAAACACTGTGAAATTTATTCTTATTTCTCTTGTTTTGGTTTACCTGTAAGGCAGGAAGTACAAATGAAGGCCTTTTTGTATTTTTTTTTCCTTTTCCTCTCCCTTGAACTTAAAATTATTTAAATAATACTTGATTCCTGGTGTGCCACGATTTTTCAATCCATTTTCCAGTTTCAGTTGTTACCTTCACTGACAGTTCATAAATCTGCTCCCCCCCAAAATAAAACAAGGCCAATGTGACACCACCAAAATAATACTGTGGCAAAGTAGAAGAATAGAGGGAAGGATAAAAGGAAAGGCTAAAGATTAATAAGATTCAGCTAAAATAGGAACATTAATAGTCACCTAAAACAACAAAATAGCTCAAGATTTCTTTTTCTGGCCAGGGTGGGTCCTGTTGTAGCTTGCTTCTGGGGAGTGGAACGATGAGACCTGAGTGAGAGTGGGCTGGAGGGGAGAGTGGGCGGGGAAGGCAAAAGTTCCAGGAGCCTGGCGGCAGGTGCAGGAGTTTACCTGACCCTGTGCCCTCAGGGAAAGCAGCCTAGCAGGGCCTGGCCTCTTTGGAGAAGTGTGGCCAAATAGTCTTGTCACCATTTCATGGTGATAAGAGCTCCCCCAGCTGGTAGCTGGGAGCAAAGCCACAGTAAACTTAAAAGTCTCTTGAGACAATTTTTGCCAGGCAAACAGAGAGAGAGAGGCAGAGGATCTTCATGTGAGAGCAAAATGACTTTTCTGAATCAGAACTTTTCATAACAACATCCATTCTATGGCTGGGTGTAGTGGCTCACACTTAGAATTCCAGCACTTTTGGAGGCTAAGGCAGGTGGATCTCTGGGGTCCAGGGGTTTGTGACCAGCCTGGACAATATGTTGAAACCCTGTCTCTACAAAAAATACAAAAATTAGCTGGGCGTGGTGTCACATGCCTGTAGTCCCAGCCACTCAGGAGGTTGAAGCGGGAGGATGGCTTGATGCCGGGAAGTGGAGGTGGCGGTGAGCCGAGATCATACCACTGCACTCCAGCTTGGGCGATAGAGCCAGACCCTGTCTTAAAATAAATAAATAAATAAATAAATAAATAAATAAATAAATAAATAAATAAATAAAAAAAAATAAATGTCATTCTGTGTGTATGGTTATTTTAAAGTGTTAAGTGTTTACAGGCTATTTTTTTGCTCTTCTGAATTCCTTGATAGGATTCTTCTGAAGCACCATATAGCCAAACTGCTACACATAGTAAATGTTTGCAAGGACGTACTCAGTATAAGCTTGTTTGTTTTTGCAAGTATCCAGTGGCATCCAGTGAAGCAGAGGAGAATTTAAGCTATTTGCCTGGTGGCAGGGAGCTTGGACTCAGCTTGTTATGGGTGGGCTCTGGCAGTTGCTACACATACAGGGTAATTCCAGAACAACATTGCTGTTGATGTTCAGTATCTCAGTTGAACTGATCTGTTGATCAGTCTCATTATTTTGATGGCCTTGAATGAGAGGACTGGGGAAGTTTAAGCATTGTGACCCCCTGAAACCAGAAGTGTCTTAGCTATTAGTGAAATTTTTAAAAAAGCACTCATATTGCTGCCAAGCCATTCTTGTTAGCTTTGAGAAGTAACTAAGGGTAGAAAAATCATTATGTCGGACAGAAGAGAGGATAGCCTGAGACCATCCTGTGGTTCAGATTCAGATTCGTAGTTCTGCAAACACTTTCAAAAGTGATTAGCATTTTGATAGAGTGATTGCAGTTCAGGTGGTATTTTAATCTCAGGGGTTAAAATGAATTAGCACGGTTCCAAAATTGTATAATAAAAATTAAGCTATCCAGGAAAACTAAGTCATGCATAACAAAATGGGGGTTTGGTTTTCAATATTCCATTTGGCCTTTTTTTAACTCAAACATAATTTTAACTATTCTTGGGATTTTCACTGTCAGGGAACCTAAAGGAATGACAGAAAATTCTGATAATCCCCTTGGGAAGAGCAGAGAATGATCTGAGAAATTCTGGCAACTTCCTTTTAAAACATTAACTTGCATTGTGTGTATGTGTGTGTTTCTAGAATCCTAACATTTATCTTTTATTTTTTTTCAAGCACATGTATAATTTTTTGGCCCAGCCAAATGCCATTGTTCATCTGGATTTATCCAATACAGAATGTTCCCTGGACATGGTAAATTTAAAATATATATATATCTTGCTCTGAGGGGTCTCAGAAGAGCTATTTAGATGGGATGTAGGGGACCTCTAATAAAAGATTCTCCTGGACCTAGAAATACTTGAAAAGAAGAGTGCCTTATTTCTTTTTCAGGTCTGTGGAGCTCTTCTCCGTGGATGCCTTCAATATTTAGCTGTGCTCAACCTCTCCAGAACTGTCTTCTCTCACCGGTATAGATTTATTTCTGCTCTCATTGTCATCTGGAAGTGTCTTCTTCTGAGAAAAGTTGTAGTGATAAGGAAAACAGTGATAAAGGGTGAATGTTGTATATGAAAGAAGGCAGCCTTAAGCATTATCTATGAATATTAGTCCTTGAACATTCAAGTTTTTGTTTTATCATTTTAAGTGTAGGTTAATGTTCTTACCAATAATTCTAGCCTGCCTGCGTGAACTATGTGATAATACACTATTTCTCCTATGTGGTCAGGCAATCTGTCTTAATATGGGAAAAACCCTTTTAGAAACTTTTATAGGTATTTCTCACGGGTGAGCTTGGATGTAGGTATAAACTACTTTCAGAGAGTAAAGAGAATAGTTATCTCAAAGCTCATGCATTTTCACTTGTAGAAGTAATCGAGGGCCAGTCTGACTACTTCACTTATACACTCCTGACTTTAATTGTTTGCAGAATAAGGCAGTAGATTAGAAGCATCAAGGATTCACAGACAGTAGCAACTTAGAATGCAAAGAGACTGCAGAGGAATTATCAGAGGAATTATGAAAAGTACATGGGTTAGATAGGTATGGAATCTGGGAATATCTAAAGAATTAATACAGTTCAACACTTAGCATTTATAATTATGACCATAAATTATAAATAATATTTTAGTTATATGATTTTAAATAACATGGGTATTGGTTAATATTAGAAATATTTTTATTTTTGCTAGTTTTTAAAGGCCTTATATATTTAAAAGGATAACCCTCACTTATTTGGAAAATTCAGTTTTGTAGCATGCTTTATTCCATAACTGTGCCTTGCAAATCAATTACTTTGTATGTTAAAGTACTATTTTTTATTACTTCAATAGTGATTAAATCTTTACAGTAGCAAAAATATGCCACAAATACCTCCATAGATTAAAGTTAGAGAGTGTGAAGTCTGAAAATATAATGGTGGGAAAAGTTGAATTTTCCATGATAACTATATTTTGGCGAACATTTGAGAGTTTTAATTGAAACCTAGTCAACTCATATATTTGAAGCCAGCTTATAAAGCCATGCTTTGGTGGAGGAGTAATTGACTGGGGAACTAGGTTACAAGATGAAAGCACAGACTATAAAGGTTTTTGTATAATCAGCACTTTTGAGTTCAAAATACTGTGAATTCTGTGATGACTGGTCTTCAGTAGAGCTGTTAAGCTTATAGAACAGAATTGCGCTAACAAATTGTCTTGTCTTCCACATGAAAGGTTGTTATTAAACTGTTTAATACCTAATACGTTACCTAGATATAGTTGTAGAAAGCCCTTAGTAATTTTGTTGAAATTACTGCATTTACGTTGAGGTGTGGATTGTCAGCCAGACTATTCATTCTTTTATTCACAGATAATTTCATTAGTGTATCCATCAGGATAAGTTAGATTGTTCCACAGTAACAGTGACCGCTTTCCTCCAATGTCGATGGCTTTCAGCAACAGTGATTTTGTGACATGTCCATTGTGGGCTGGCATATAACCTTCACTCCAGGAGGCAGAGCAGCCTCCTATCTAGAACATTCACAGTCATATAGCAGAGAAAAAGAGATCATGGCGGTGCACATACTGGCTCCCAAGGCTTCTCTCTGGAAGTCATACACATCATTTCTGCTCACGTCTCACTGGCCAAAGAGAGTCACATGGCCAAGCCTGCTGTCAGTAGAGGGATGAAGCATCATCCTTCTTCAAAAAGGGGCAGTGAATATTTGGAAACACTGGAATGCTCAAAACTAAGACAGAATAGCAGGAGAAGAAATATATTTAGAGTAAGTTAACAGTATTTTCTCAGCAGAAAGTGAACAAGAATATACAACTTACATTGTTCCACTATATGGAAACAGAGTTGTTTGAGATTTCTTATATCACATAGTCTACCAGAATTCTCTTTCCTCTTAGTTTTATTTTTCATCTTCTCAGATATTTTGGTTGTTTAGATTTTTCTTCTCAAATAGTCTTCAATTGTCCTGTTTTAAAACTTTAAAAAAAAACCTGTCAAATATTGACAGATTTTCCCAGATCTCTATACATTAAATATTATTATTATTATTATTATTTAAAGTTAGTTTTTATTTATTTATTTATTATTATTATACTTTAAGTTTTAGGGTACATGTGCACAATGAAGGGGAACATTAAATATTATTGAATATTATGTGGTTGAGCTAAACCACTAGGATGCCCTCTTCCCTGAGATTCCATGAGTCCCTCCACAGAATATGAATAACTATCGTTAAGTGAGTGCTTACTCTGCATCAGCCTAAGTGCTTTACATATACTGACTTATTCAATCCTTCCATCATTTCTATCAGATAGAACAGAACAAGCACAGTGTTCAGATTCCATCTTGGACTCCTGAATCCTGTTTTTCTTAAACCCTTATCATATAGTGTTGATGCTACCTTATTATTGAGCTGTATGATTTGATCCACATACTTTTCTCTGTAATAGCAAGGGGATGTATTCAGAGGTTATAGCCATTTTATTTTGTAGTTTTGTCTTTCACTGTTCTAATAGTTGGCCTGAAATGATTAGGTTTTTGGTATGGACATACTAGCTGAATAGGCTATTTGTAATGCAGGCTTCGTGCCATTTGGACTTTCTGTGCTGTTTTAGCTCAACATCAGATCACAGTCTTGTTGCATGTGAAACCTGCTACATCTAAAAACATTGCCAAATGCAGATATTGATCTCTAACATTTTGTGCCACCCAGTGGGAAAGCCTTTAAATTGGTGAGAAATATACATCTTCTCTGACCTCCTATTTTTAAAAATTCCAAACCTGGAGTTTCCTGATCAAGAGGTAAAACTCAATGAATTCATTGGCTATGAAGAATAGCAATGAATTGTTTTATGGACTAAATATTTCTTTACCTCACTTATGTGGTTCCTTTAATGATATTGGATTTATGGCTTTAGGTTTTGGACATTTATTTGTTTCCATTTACTTTTAAATTTCTGCAGAAAATATGACTGATTTGTAGATTTCACAGTGTCTGAATAATCAATGAATATGTTTGATGAAGGTGTAACCGCTTGTGTAACTCTTGTGTTTTTTTCAGGAAAGGAAAAGAAGTACCTCCATCTTTCAAGCAATTTTTTAGTAGTTCTCTGGCTTTGATGCACATCAACCTTTCAGGCACAAAACTGTCTCCTGAGCCCTTAAAGTGAGTGGTTAATTCACTTTCTCCAGAGCTTTTAAAGTTCAACTTATTTTTACGAATGTGCTTGAGGGAAGGGAGAAAGATATATAATCCAAAGACAAAAACCACAGATGAGAATGCCTTTTTACTCTGGGGCAGAAAAATAAATTAAAATTTTAAAAAGTACATTGTGCACTATTGATATTATTGCATCTTCTAAGAAAAAACATCTTTTGGTTTATGACCTTGGCAGGAGTCACTGATCTACAAAAGTTGTACTCCCAGGTACTTACTATTGCTTTTATATTAACCTCTGTTCATTCCATTTCAGGCATATTCGTTTGTTCGTGTGTGTGTGTGTGTGTGTGTGTGTGTGTGTGTGTGTTTTCATCAGCATTTACTCTAAATCTTTCTACTAATAGTAATAAACTCTAAACACATTGTATGTATGCAACAGAATGAATTTTTAGCTACTTTGGTTTCTGAATTACTGAGGTTAGCATGGGCTATTTGGCACTTTTATTTGGCAGCCAACTTATGGGTTAATATCCCTAGTGTAGGTATAGTGGTGAAGTTAAAATTGTTAGCTAAATTGAGGTTTGAGAATAATTTATTATCCTTGAGATTTCTGTTGACTATTGCCAGAAAGAGTCAAAAGTTTAGTGTACAAGTTCAGTGAATTTGACTGTAGGGTCAAATTCTCTTTGAGTCTAAAGAAGGTATTTTCAAGTAGTTACGATTATGAAAGTTGTCAGATATGCTCAAATGTATGCATGGATTTCTCCCTTCCCAGCTGACTGTAAATCAGCATTTAATTTTTCCCTTGTAATGTGTATGAAATGTTAAAATTAATGTCTGCTATTCATCTTACTAGAAAATTAAGCTTCATTTAATTTATAAATTTTCTTTTCCTTTTTTATTTCTGTTTTGAGAGGTATGAAGTTCTTGATTTCATATAGTACCAGATGACCAAAACAATGGATGCCTTTAAAAAAGTAGATCCAGGCTGGGTGCGGTGGCTCACGCCTGTAATCTCAGCACTCTGGGAGGCTGAGGTGGGCAGATCACTTGAGGTCAGGAGTTTCAGACCAGCTTGGCCAACATGGTGAAACCCCGACTCTACTAAAAATACAAAAATTAACCAGGCATGGTGGTGCATGCCTGTAGTCCCAGCTACTCAGGAGGCTGAGGTGGGAGAATCGCTTGAACCCGGGAGGCGGAGGTTGCAGTGAGCTGAGATTGCACCACTGCCAGCCTGGCAACAGAGTGAGACTCCATCTCAAAAAAAAAAAAAAAAAACCAGTAGATCCAGTCAAGTGCTGAAAAAAAAGTCTGATGTTATATTATTGCAGGCTTAAAAAATGTTGAGTTAATATATTAGAGATCCCTAAATATAACAGCCACAAATAATAAACACCTCATGATTTGGCCGTTTGTATGGATATTAAGAAAGCTATCAGAATTGTATTCTAAAGTTCCATTATAATCATTCTCATTTATGTATTCATTCAAGTAATACTTACTGAGCATCTACAGTGTGCTAGACACCGGATGACAGGATAGGAAGCAAAACCAGAGAAGGTCCTTGTCCTGGTAATATATCAGCAGGAAATTAGAATATTCAAAATAGTTTTCTATTTTTAATTGTTTCAATGTTGTTTACTTTTGTATAATATAGAGTAACATTTTGTTGGTTAATGTGACTGATTTTGCGGAATATTCCAGTTTGCAACAAGGCTGGACTTACTGTACTTTGTTGCATATATACCTGTAAATGTTGTACTTCAAAGATATTTTGTAATTGTTAAATCTTGGACCTGATGTTATTGGTGTGAATGTTTGATAGTGTTAAATCAGTAGTCTCTTCAGCTCTGTGTTTTAATCAGCAAAAATTTTAATATGGGGAGAAAGCCTTCATGGCTGAAGATTGTGTAAATAAAATTCCATGTATACATTTAATGTGATATAATTATTTGAAAAGATAACACAAAACTGAAGTTCTCAGGTTTATGTGTGAGAGGGTGAGGATGAAAAGGAATTTGCACAGTACTACCCTAAACTAGACACTGCGCTGGGTGCTTACATATGGCCTGTCACCTTTAATGTGGATGACAGTGATGAGAAGTTAGTATCATTATCCCCATTTTACAGCTGAGGATATTGAGGCTCAGAGAAGCTAAGTAATTTGCCCCAAATCACTGTTGAAGATTGGGTTTCCTGAGCATCTGACTTTGAGATGGAGATTCGCAAGTAGGATATTTATAAGGACATTCTCTTGGGATTACCACCGGTGAAAAGGGAAGGGGGAGAAAGCAGGATCAGACAAAAGGGAGAAGCTGCACTGGGAGGCTCTTCCAGTAAAGAGGAAGAACCCAGAGGGGGTTCTGGGAAGTGCCTAGCAGTGTCCGCTGCTCTCAGCCAGCTGTCATGGGCTCAGCAGTGTTCCCTACCTCATTCCACCTTCAACTGCAGAAACCCTTGTTTCTCTAAGGGTTTGGGATTAGTAGCCATGAGAGAATAAACGAAAGCAACACAATTTCTTTTGAGACAGCGCTTTAAGTTTGGACATAACAATATTTTTCCCCACAAGTTTCCCACTTAATTTGAGATTCTTTTACAAGCGAATTGGGGAAGTAGAGTGTTATGCTGGAGGTGGAAGGGGGAAGCAAGACAGAGAATATGACCGCTTACTTCATTGTTGCGATTTTCCTTTGAGGCCTTTTTTGGTCCATGTTAATGTATTTCAAGGGGGTTTAGAGAACATGGTGATGCTGTTCCTTGGTGTTTTCTAAAATTGCTAGAATAGTCTGGTTCATATGTGTCCCAAGGATGCTCTTTGCTCCAGCATCACTCAGAGTGCAGTGTGAGTTCCTGGTTACTGCTCATTCTTGGTCTTTCATTTTCCCTCCCCCAAGCCTTTCTTCCTGGACATCCCCTTTCTCCCTGTCATGTGGTACCCCTTCTCTGTGACCCCATCTTTCTGGCTGAGTATTTTTCATAAACCTGTTGAATGTGCTACCCTGAAATTATAACTAGTGCCACCGATCTGGAGCTGGAAGAATTAAATACAAATTGTTCTCTAAGCAATTTTGCAATAGTGATTGAGGATCTAGAAGATGGTTGTTAAGGCAATTTTGCCATCATTAGGTTAAAATAAACAACATATTTTGCTATAGAATTTTTCCCCAGTGCCCAGTATGCTTTATTGTATTTGTTCTTTTATTTTACTAGGGACAGTTTCTATGGGTTATTTATTTTTACTAGTCTCATGAGTTGTTGCCTCCTAATCATTGGGCTTCTATAGTTAAATGCCTTAAAGCATATCATTTGTTTTCTTGGCCTTAATTCACATGTGAGAAAAGTAGGAAGTATTTTCCTTCCATATAAGCATCATAAAAATGCAATGTTGAAATATGTGTCTAAGTCCTAGAAACTCAGCATATGTTGGAAATAAAAGGGACCTCTTTGGTAATATCCTAACTCTCTCATTTTACTGACAAGAACTTGAGACACACACGAAAAGTGATGTTCTTAAGGTCATTCACCCATTACTCGCTGGGCTGGGATGTGAGAACTGGCCTTTTGGTTTTCAGCCTCCAGCGCTTTCACTGACTCAATACTGCGCCCATGAAAGAAAGGGGGCATAGTAATTTTTAGGAAAAGAGAAGCAATTTAATAAGCAATTGAACAAGTACACAGATGAGATATACCCAGTCTTTCTCAAAGGACACTGTTTTAGAATAAGGGATTAGTGAACTGAATTTAAAAAGTGAAAAGGAAGGCACTCACCTCCAGCCTCCTAACAAGGTCAGGGAGTGGGAGGAGGGGGGTTTTCATAGCTGGAGGCAGCCGAGCCCCTATGTGTTCCATGCCACTGCTGGAGTTCTCTCTTAGTAGATAAAGCCAGAGAATCACTAGAAAAGAAAGTCTCAGAGACTTGGGCATAAAATAATTCCCTACCTTCCCACCTCACCCTTACCCTAGGGTATTTTTGGGGTATGCTGAGTGGAGGTCCTTTTCCTGGGAACATGGAAAACAGGTAATCGCCCCCAGTTAATAAATACCTGGTTTCCACTCTTCTAGTACTTACCACTGGCAGCCTTGTGTTGGAGTTATTGGCACACATATCTGTTTTCCTTGCTTGAGAGCAGGAACCATCTTATGTTCATCTCTATGTTTTTCACAAAGTCTGATTTAGGGTCTTCTGTCCACTTAGTATAATTTAGTGGTTGTGTGTGCATGTGTGAATTTTCTGTTTCAAGCTTGCTTGATGGTGTTGGATTTTATAGGACTGACTTGTCAAAGTGGATCCAAGTGATTAGTCTAATCTCCTCAATTTGCAGATGAGAAAATTCCTTTTCAGAGCAGTGATATGATTTGTCTCAGCTCAGCAGGTAGTTGGACAGGCAGGATCCTGGACTCCAATTCAAGACATATGCCTTGTTTTATACCCTTGCCCACCCACTACTGTAGGTCGTTTAATAAACTCATCTAGATATAATTTGACATCCTGTTATACTACAGAGCCTGACTTCCTCACTTACATATTCCTTAGGGAAAACTAGCTTTACTTTGCGACTCTAATAACAATTGCTTAATAATATTCTAAACGTTATTAAATCTCTTCTCAAGCAGATGCAGTGGGAATTTATCTGTGATGAGCACAATTTAATTTCAGTATGCAATTAGGTGTGCTGTTGGTTTATTTGCATAGGAATAGCAATCCTGCAGGTTTTACATTTATGATGGGCTCACTGCCTGTCAGGCAAAAAGAATGCTGCAGAGTCAGTTTTTCACTGTAGTTGTGAGGCAGAAATGCTGTTGGCATTTTAAAAAGTAAGAGGGTGCTTGGTGCTTGACCTGTGATTCAGAAAAGGCAGCCTTCTTTCTCTAGGCTTTATTCAGTGTGCTTGCATTTTTTCTTTTGGGCAGTGTGTGGAATGTGTATCTAATATGTGTGTTTCCTCCCCTCAGAGCACTGTTATTGGGCCTGGCTTGTAATCATAACTTGAAAGGGGTTTCTCTGGATCTCAGCAACTGTGAGGTAAGAACACCCTTAGATTGTATACTGGAATAGATAATAGCCTCAACCGCTTTGCCTTTTTCCTGGATAAAATTTGATACTGTGATTCCACAGGGTGTAAATGAAGCAGAAAAATAAATTATACAAGTTTCTAATGTTCTGTATTTTGCAAGTTTCATCTACAGACAGCCACAGAACATCATTTAGAAAGCTTTCAAGTGTGTTTTTAATGACTTGGGTTTTGTTGTTGTTCCATTCTTGGTGCCTGCTGGCTGAGTATTTTATGATGAAGCCTTGAGGTATAAAACCATAGACTTGCTTTGCCGTCATGAAAATGAAACATGCAGCATTTGTTGCAAGGGACAAATGTGTATAACCTAACTTGGATTTTGTAGAGCGTGAAAGAGAATGGCTGTCTTATTAATTTTACTTTTTAATATCTTGATTTAAAACAAGAAAATTAACATACCTCTAGAAAGTATAGCAATTTCAAATACTTCCTATCAAAGAGCTCATAAGAACTGAGACTAAAGTGTCTATATATTTATATATTTTTTTTTCTTCTTTTTTTGAGATGGAGTTTTGTTTTGTCGCCCAGGCTGGAGTACAGTGGCACGATTTTGGCCACTCTGCCTCCTGGGTTCACGCCATTCTCCTGCCTCAGCCTCCCAAGCAGCTGGGACTACAGGCGCCCGCCACCACGCCCGGCTATTTTTTTTTTGTATTTTTAGTAGAGACGGGGTTTCACTGTGTTAGCCAGGATGGTCTGGATCTCCTGACCTCATGATCCACCCGCCTCAGCCTCCCAAAGTGTTGGAATTACAGACGTGAGCCACTGCGCCCAGCCTAAACTGTCTATGTTTTACAGGGCACCTAGACTTTTGCTATCTTGAAACTTTTACTTTGTGTGACTAGTAAGAAAATACCCAGATACAAACTATATGGCCTGTTCAGAGCCTGACTTAACATGTCAAGCTTTATCCCTTCTTCCCAGGAATGGAGATGGAAGTCTCCTCATTCCTATTCCCGGGCCTTTATACTCACTGTTCTCTCTTCCCCAGCACTCCTACCATGTCCATCTTCCTTCCCCTCCCCAAGACCCTCCCTCTCTTTGAGGAATTAACTCAACATGCAGTCTCCTGCATGCGTGCATCAGCTTCCTAGGCTATGCAATCCTGGATGAATTGGTTAATATCACTAAATCTCAATTTCTGTGCCTGCAAAATGGAGATAATAGTAACTCTCCCAATGGATTGTTAGGAAGTTTAAAGGAGCTCTTTTTGAAAAGTGCTTCTTAGGGTATCTGGTACGCAGAAAAGTTGTTTGCTCTTGCTGTTTTTCTATCTGTCTGCCAAGTTTCTTCCCTGCCTGCTTCAGCCCTTTGTGATCTTGATCTTTTCTAATTGTCTAGCACTTAATGATAATAGCATGCACTTGGACACCAAATCGCCAATAGTACCTTGCACAGATATTAAATTAACTCCTGTATGCTTGGATGTAACTTTCTGGAGGGCAGTATTTATGTCATACTATATTTTGTATTTCCCCTATCTCCTAGCAAAATGCCAGGCACCAAGCCAGTACTAAATATTGAATAAGATTAATGGTTTGCCTCTATGAAAATTCTAGAAATGGACAAGTCTGAATTTGTACCATATAAATTGTTAGTGTAGTATTTTTCATTAGTTTCAAGCTGGAGTGAACACCAATTATGTGATTTAACAGTCTTGTTGTTTTGAAAAAAGAAAAGCAAAAAACAATACAAAAAGACATATTGTAAAAAAAAAAAAAAAAAAAACCCAAACAATAGAACTCTAAAAAACTAACCTTGCGTTGTGGAATTTTCATATGCAGATTAATGATCTTTCATTTATAAAAACAGACTATAAAGTAGAAACCAAATCTGGTAATATTAATTAATTATTTGTTTACCAGCACTTTACTGAGGGGCATGCCAATAGTAATTTTATTTTTAATTGGGGGAGGAGTGAGAGATGAAAGGGGTGGGATAGGTTATTCTGTCAAAAAAGCAAACAAACAAAAAAAAAACAAAAAAAAAACACCAGGCTGGGCGCGGTCAATGCCTGTAATCCCAGCACTTTGGGAGGCCTAGGCGGGTGGATTACGAGGTCAGGAGTTCAAGACCAGCCTGGCCAAGATGGTGACCCTGTCTCTACTAAAAATACAAAAATTAGCTGGGTGTGGTGGCGGGTGCCTGTAATCCCAGCTACTTGGGAGGCTGAGGCAGAGAATTGCTTGAACCTGGGAGGCGGAGGTTGCAGTGAGCCGAGATTGTACCAATGCACTCCAGCCCGGGCGACAGCTAGACTCTATCTCAAAAAAAAAAAAAAAGTAAGTTGGTGTAAACTTTACTGCTCTATCAGATCAAACTACTAAATTAGCAATAACTTCTAATGTGGTTTTACAATCCTGATTAAATATCGTGACTGCCAGCAGTCTAACATCTTTTATTCAGTTCTGTGATAAAGCTGGGATGGGCATAAGTGATCATCTGGTTCCTTAATTATAGGTAAACTGAGGTTGAAAGAAGTGGAAATAATATAACTCACCAATGGCAGATCCATGATGAAAATACTCTGTCCTCATTCTCTTTTGCTAATAGTAATATTGACTGTGATAATTATTAGACTACTAAGTATGGTTAGGCATTTTCTTCTCAAATAAATTGATAGGGGCCATGTTGCCAAAGATTGCTATATACCTTGTTCTTTAAACTCCTTTATGATCTATTGGGAATAACTTTCAGATAGGTATAGTAGATGAACCCTATAAAACTGATATTTTGCATGTCAAAAATTGCAGACTATTGGCAGTTTCGTAAAGTTCAACTTAATTGCTAGTAGACTTTATAATCTTTTTAACGAAGGCAGGAATTCAGGTCAAATGGTTAATCTCCGATGATGAGCTTGAACAGTATTATTGTGATAATTCCAACTTCATTTTGGCCTTTCACTTATGCATTATATGATAAATTGATACTGCCGACATGGGGAAGTCTTGAAAGTATTGTAGTACCATGTTCTCCCCACTTATAACCTGAATCACAGTACTGGTGACCACATTTATAAAGTCACATGTTATGTTGATGCATGAAAGTTGGTAAAACACAAAATTGTTTTTCTAAACTATGTTATAGTGTTTTATCACATTTTGTTTCTTAGGCCTAGATGTCCACATTTAAGTAGGTTTCAGTTTGCTTCTCTTCATAATATAATAAATCTCCCCCCAAAAGTGTTTGGATTTCCAATATAATTCATGCTGGAATGCTTGACACTTTGAGTGTTAACTGTTTGAGTCTTTAATCATCTGTGTTTGATATTGTAGAGTTTATGTAATCCTCTTAGAAAGAAGCTCTTACTATCACGGAAGTTTAAAATCATGAATATGTATATTTTCTTTCTGCCTGTTCTCTATTTAGCTATAAACCCTCTCCACTCTTAGCATACCAGTTGAAATCGTAGCAGCTTCAGCCCTTGACTTTCTCCGATGATCAGATAAATCTAGTCTTAAAATCCAAAAGGTGGTGAGAAATGAAATTTCTCCTTGATACCATTGCCATCTTGGGAGGTTATTTTTCTGAGGATGACTTACTCAGGATGAGGAGCTGGCAGACCTAGGATGAGTCAAGGTCCAGCGCATTTGGCTGGCAGGTGTTGATCATTGTGCTTGGGGCCGTGGGTTGGCGGGGGTGGTGGTAGGAGGGGTTGTCCTGCAGTTTCTGATGTGGGCTCCGTAAGAGCTCAATGCATCCTGTGGGTACCTCTAATACAAGTCCACCTCAGCCAGGGAAACAGAAGCTATTGTGAGATACCTTGATGTCATCTTATATTTATAAATAGGTGATTAATTTTAATATAAAACATCTACTATATAGAATTTTTGATCCAGATTTAGTTCTTCTCCTGGTAGGGGGAATAAATCCAGTGATTGATTTTAAAATCACATTAGTATGAGTGTTATAGAGGATAAATGATGGTAAAAGATGGTAGTTGAGATTATTGGGAGGAAAGGGGAAAATAGTCTTAAAGTAGGAAGTAAAAGTGTTTGGACAGGGAGCTTAGAATAACTTAAGCAAATTATTTTTGATTTTGCCATATGCTGGTTCCTTTATTGTTCATTCTCACCTTTCCTAATAAGTTGGCTTGTAGGTTCTCAGGGTATTCTTTATTCCCCTGAAATAGACATGTCACACTCATTAATTTGAATGAGAGAGGAGACTTACACTTCATGCTATTAAAAAAAAAGTTTCCTGTGGGTATTTAGAACTTATGGAGTTGCTTTCTTACAATACAAACATCATTGTTATTTGGAAAATTAAATCTAAAATGTTGGTCTATATTCTTTTGGATCTGTGATAGCTAAGGTAATAAGCACTGAAATTAACCTTACGTTTTCAGATAACTTCTATACTTACAGGAAAAAACTTCGGTGTTCCTTAAGGCATTTTACATTAATTATATCATCACCTCTCTTTCTTTCCCTTGGTCTTTTAGTACTGAAAAGGAGTCTCTTTTGTGTATGAAAATGACTCAAAGTAGTTATGGGAGGCAAAAGAGTGAGCCAAGCGTGAGCACTTTGGAATCAAAAGGCCCCCTTTGAAACCTGGCTCAGTTACTTAGCTTATTAGGTGACTCACCTTCTTTTCAGCCTTTGTTGCTCATCTATTGAATGGAAATAATAGTTTTCAGGGCCAGCGTCTGGTACAACGTCACTACTCCAGCCCAGCATATGTGAGCCATCATCTGGGGAGTAAAAGGTTTGAGATGGAGGAGCTTTATTTGGAATGTCAGAATTGACATCATAGGTCAGTATTGCCCTTCTAAACATTTTTATTTAGAAGCTTTATAAATATTCAGTCTTTACCAAAACATTTTTGGGAATTGCCTTCAAAGCTATTTTACATCTTTCAAGAAGGATTACTCTCATCAGTTTATGGTGAGACAAATTCTTCTTGAAACCTGATTTTTTGATGCAAGACAGTATTATACTTCATGGCCAGATTAGCTTCAGAATGGCCTGTGGCTGATCCTTATTCATTCTCAAAGGGTAAAGATTTAGTGTCAGTACAGATGTTCAGAGAAATGTGTGTGTTCCATTGCCCTGTAGGTTAGTTCTAAAGAGCTTCAAAACCATTTTCTATGGCAGTAGTGATACTGGCATTCATGAGTAGTATTCCCATGTACCCAAGTATCTGAAGAGAGGCAGTGGATCTTTCATTCTCTCTTTTTTTTAATTGAGACGAAGTTTTGCTCTGTCACCAAGGCTGGAGTGCAGTTGTGCAATCTTGGCTCACTGCAACCTGCACCTCCGGGATTCAAGCTATTCTCCTGCCTCAGCCTCCTGAGTAGCTGGGATTACAGGCATATGCCCCTGTGTCTGGCTAATTTTTATATTATTAGTAGAGATGGGGTTTTACCATGTTGGCCAGGCTGGTCTTGAACTCCTGACCTCAAGTAATCCACCTACCTCGGCCTCTCAAAGTGCTGGGATTACAGGTATGAGCTACTATGCCTGGCCATGTGCATTCTTGTATGTTTAAAAATCTTATAACTTCATAGTTATACATTAAGAGAAGAATTGGTAAATGCTGGGACTAAATTCTTCAAACTTAGTCTCCTTCCAAATAGACAAAAGTCTCTAATACTTCAGAGAAGATGCAAAGGGCAATTAATTATAGCTGTGGCTTAGTTGTAGGCCTGGGTGTGGGAGTTAGTTTCTTTAAGTGGAAGCTTTTCTGAAGATGATCCTACAGTTTATTGCAATTCATGATGAGTAGAAAAAAGAGCACCAAATACTGACATTTGTAATGAGTTTTGCAGCAATTGAATACAAACTTTTGAGACAGTTTCAGTCCATTTGATAGTCATTCAACCAACCTTGAGGCAAGCATCATTGTAGTGCCCCTTACCTATCACTTCCCTGTCAGGCCAGGTACGGAATGCAGAATTGCAAATGTTCCACGTGACAGGATGCATGTATGAAAGCAATGAATATCTGCAACTGTTTGCACCTTGAAAATGACTGTATTTGCCTGGGCATGATGGCTCACGCCTGTCATCCCAGCACTTTGGGAGGCCAAGGCAGGCAGATCGCTTGAGGTCAGGAGTTCAGGACCAGTCTGGCTAACATGGTGAAACCCGTCTCTACTAAAACTACAAAAATTAGCTAGGCATGGTAGTGCACGCCTGTAATCCCAGCTACTTGGGAGGCTGAGGCAGGAGAATCGCTTGAACCTGGGAGGTAGGGGTTGCAGTGAGTCGAGATCGTGCCATTGCACTCCAGCCTGGGAGACAGTGACTCCGTCTCAAACAAACAAACAAACAAAAAAGAAAGAAAACAGCTGTGTTTATATACATCCTTCTTAGGTACTAGATTGTTATTTGGCATCAAATCCTGCTAGAAAGTAGACATTATGAACTGGATGTTGTCTAATCATGTTTTCTGTCCTTGGAGAAACCTATACCATTCAGTTTTATGTATGAAAATTTCCCAGGATAAAAATTAATTTAAAAAAAATTACTATTGGAACCCCTCTGAAAGAATAGCAGATAATTTGGGGGTCATTTTATATTTTTGCCTTATCTTTTTAAATGACAAATGATATTAAGGAAGGAAAGTAAATTATTAAAAGTTCCTTCTTGATTTTAATTTTCCTTGCTGTCCTTATCCCCATTATGGATATTTGAGTGTTTGATATAACTTTTTCCTTAGAATTATGAGTAAGATCAGAAACGTTCCACCTTCCTTGAATGAGAGGATACTACTCTCTTGAAAGAAAGACGATTTTATTTTTAACCGTTTAAAAAGTGTTCAACATTTTAGTCACATTTACTTCTCTTTGATCTTGCTTTCTTGTAAATAATGCTGGTGTGTGGGATCCAAATAAGGGTAATTTAAAAACCAGTTTTACATGCACACATGCAGACAGCCTCTAATTATGCAAATTCATTTAAAAGGATTTTCATTTACAGTAATGGAAAAGCTTTTACTGTTTTGGGAAAGCTTTAGCTTTTGGGGAATTTTAGACATTTAATAATCTGTGACTTGAATGTTCTTGGTAACTAAAGCTTAGTTATTTTCTTATCTGAATTTTTGTTTTGGGAGAAAATTTTAGTTAGAAGTATTTTTTCTGACTCTTTGCTTTTTTACATTTTGTATTGATAGAAACTTTAGCTTCTTCTTTATTCTTGTTCTGCATACTGCTGATAATGGTTTCTGTTTTTTCTCCTTGGGCTTTCATTAGCTTGGCCATTGTGTAAGTACTTTATGAATCAATTAGAATATATTGATACATTTGATTGTTTTTTAAGCATTGGAAAGTATGTTTTATGTGTGTATACTACAAATATCAGTAAGGAGTATGTATAAACAAAGTTAAACATTTAAATGTTACCTATATTTTCTATTTCTATAAATGGAATATTTTTACTGTACTTTACAATGATAGAACATAGAAATTTTCTAACAGAAATTTTATTTCTCAACAAGTAAATCACTATCAGCAAATATGAAATTGTGAAGACTTAACGCATTTACGTTTATCTTCTCAAAAGCATACTTTTTTCTTGCTCTAAAAATCAAATTGTTTTTTGAGAAGTGTTTGCTTAAATGAGTTCTTGCTTTAGCTTTGACATAGTGTATGTACACATTTACTTCAAGTAGTAAATATCTGTAGTAAATAAACTATTTTTATGTTTTTTTAAACTTCCAATCTATCATAAACCAATACATTTATAAAATATAATACGAATAAAATACAAGAAATATTTAGAAAGACATAGATATGCAAGCCCCCAATTTTTATGATTAGATACAACAGACCTAAAATTTTTACTACTAAGGTTTCTAAAAATTTTTACACTCAATTTCTGTACTTATTCATCTCAAATTTTGAGTAGCAAGGTGCTGGGGAAGATGTACAGGTGTCATGATGAGATAGGCTCGATGGGGCATTTAGGTAAGCTGGAGAGCGCCTGAGAAAACAAGCAGGTGTAGTGAAATGGGCCTGGCAGTCAGTCTTGACAATAGCTTCACACACAGGTTAGAAGCCCTTCAGCTGTGAAGTTGGTTTTGGTTTCCCTGAAGTATGTAGACCAGTCCCTTGGAGAGGTCTGCCTCTGTGTAATACTCTACTTCAGAGCTCACCTTAGAGCAATCTGTCACCTTAAAAAGTAGAAATGGTGAGATGCGGTGGCACATGCCTGTAATTCCAGATACTTGGGAGGCTGAGGTGGGAGGATCGTTTGAACCCAGGAGTTCAAGACAAGCCTGAGCAACACAGTGAGACGCTGTCTCAAAAAAGTAGGAATGGCTGAATGTAAATATCCCAACTGAAATTCTCCTGATATCGCATCCAAAATAGGGAAATGAGGATTCTTCTAATTCTTACATCAAAACCTAGACATGTGGAAAATAGCACCTTGTACTGTAAATTTGTTGTTAAACTTTTTATAAATTTTAATTTTCCTACATGAGTAAAGGACTTGCCATGTTCCTTGGTTTATAGTAGGTTTCCAAAAAATGATAGTTTGTTTTTCCTCATTAGATAGTAAGTTTACAGAGCAAAAGGGCCACAGCTTAGGAAACTTTGCATCCTTCACAATGCCTTACACAGAGTAGGAACTCAACAAATATTTGCTGAATGAAAAACACAGAGATATTATGACTGCTATAAAGTATGCTTTGGTTTCATAGAAAAAGATGAAAAGTACTGTATTGGGTTTTTCAGGTTGTCTTTCTCTTTTAAATAAAATTGCAAATGAGGTGAGAATAATCATTTGCACTTAGTTTTGCTCTAAAACAATCATGATAATAATATTTTATATTAATTTAACATTTTTCCATCCATGGCTCGAAGCATTTGTACAAATCATTTTGCAGTCATCTTTAGTTAGCTAATATCTGCCTTATGAGTGAGAACTCACACTCATGTCTTAGAACAGGTAGGGATGGGTCCTTCCTAAAATGTTTGACAATCAAAGTAAGTCTTCATTGTCTCCTTTGGTTGGGTGGAGAGTTTACACCTTGGAATCGGTAACAGTCAAATAAAACAGTAACTTTCTCATGTATAAAATGAATTTATTAAATTTCCAAAAGTCAGAAATGAAGAAATTCTTCTGGGTTGATAATGCACTGCTTTGCTACTATAGTGGCGTGGGTGGTGGTCATCTTGTTTCTCTTTTGTTTTTTTCTAATGTTTTTAGGATTTAATGTGGGATCACATGGCATAGGAAACAGCAGCAATGGCTAGTGATAGGCTCTTTACCCACTGATAATAGCTTCTTTGGAGTTGATAAGCTTTTACTTTTTCTTTGGTACTAAGTTTATTTTAAGACTGACTGTCTCTCCTATTTTTAATTTTTTGATTACATCTCCAGTAGAGTGAAGACTTTACTTTGTGTTTGGTTTGTGTTTCTCTAGCTGAGATCAGGAGGTGCTCAAGTATTAGAAGGTTGCATTGCTGAAATACACAACATCACCAGCTTAGACATCTCTGACAATGGTAAGTCAGATATTGAAAAGAAATGAAACTGAAATATTTTTTGAAGCAAGTTAATAAGGGGAAAATAATCTTCTACCCAAATCCAAACAATAGCTTAATAAAAAAATTGTTTTTTATTTTTTGACTAATAGGGCTTTTAAATTTAACAATGGGGTATATTTGTAGAATAGATCTGTGCCAGAGTCTTACTAAGTTGACTCTGTGGCCAACTATGCAAAGTCTATGCAGTAAAACAACTCAGTTATAAAAATATCACCAGTACATTGAAAAGGGTCTGAGACCAACTTTTTGCATTCTTGCTGATAATAAAATTGTACTCTTGTTTATTTATTCAAAAGCTTATTTCATTAGCTTCATTTCTGCTGATTGTAGTATCATGTTAGTATGAACCTGTGAAATTTGCATAGACAACTTTAACTCCACTTACCTCACAGTGAACAGTTTGTTGGAATCTTCTCTCACAGAGTGGTGGGGAGAGATGAAACTTTCTGCCATTATTCATTCCCATTTCCTGCTGACTTGGTTTAGCCACTGATTGTATAAGAGATTTAGATAAGTCTTTGTAGAGAATGAGTTTATCCCTGTGAAATAATAGGACATGAAAAGAGAGCAAAGAGTGCCTTTGAAAATAAAAGATTAGAATCCCAGGCCCCTCAGGAAGGTAAAGGAAGTCATCCAACTATATGTCACCTTTGCTTAATTGTGTTCCAGCTGAAAATTAATTTATACACATGTGTTTTGATGTTCTACTTACTCTGATTCTTTCCAGGTTTAGAATCTGACCTATCTACCTTAATAGTGTGGCTCAGTAAAAACAGATCAATACAACACCTGGCGTTAGGCAAAAATTTTAATAATATGAAATCCAAGTAAGAGTTTTGAATTTTTTTATATGACAATGATGAAAATAACCAGCCTCCTGAAAGCTTTTGATTTGATTCCACTGTCCACATCTCTAAAATCTCTTTAGAAATCTGACACCTGTATTGGACAACTTAGTACAGATGATTCAAGATGAAGAATCAGTGAGTATTATGTTAAACTTTTTACTAAAATCTTCTGTTTGTTGCCATTCTTACTGATTATTTCTACTGGATTAATGCTGAAATACTTTCAGATAGTTTTATCAACGTGTACATTTTCCATTACTTTTTAAAAATGGAATAAATACACTTTAGTAGAGTTGTAGAATGTATTTAAAAACTTTTTTTACTTTATTCAACTCACTGTCAATTAAAGGAAGATTGTCACTAATAGATAAAAAGAAGTATAAATTGACTCCTGAGCCTATCTTTTAATTAGCCTTACTACTCCCTAACTTTAGCTAATAAACTAATCTTCAGGCATGAATTTTTACATTCTAGTTGACTTTATGACCTTATATAATGCTGAGAAATATCATATTGCTAATTTGAATTTCATCTAATAATTATGTGGAATTATAGGGGACCAAGGAAGTTTTCTTCCATCTTTAATTGCTTCTTGAAGTCTAGTAGCACTCTGTATTTTTAATCCCCTTTCGTTGCTCCTGACCAAAATTTAGTTCAGGGTAAAGAAGTTTAATTTCAAATAGTATCTTATTTTGCTGTCCTTGAAAATGGATTAGGAGAAAGAAAAGTTATTTTATGGACAAAATAAGAAGCAGTCTACCATGAATCCATTTGATTTAGAGCTGGTGTGTTACACCTTATATTTTACTGATGCTCTCTAAGATTTTGTCCGTTTCCTCTCAAAGTCCTATTTGGTCACCAGACTCAGCTTTTCCAGTTCCTAAAACTCAGATGAATTTGTATTCCTACTATGAAGAGTCACATTACTCATGTTTTGTAATAGCTACTTTTGTAGGTCATGAGGATGATTTTTATATTAATCATGTGGAGTATGTCACATTTGGAAAAAGTATCATTTTCCCTCCTGAATTCATACCAGGGAAGAGCAAATTCTATCACAGCTTTAAGCTGACTTTTCTGTGAAAGCTAAGAGGCCAGGAAGGATAGACACTGGACACTTCCTCACTTGCCGTTGCCCCCACTTCTTTGACAGGGCTCTGAGCTGGTGGGCAGGAGAAAATTCTGTTCTCTTTCCTCTTCATTGTGGATGTAATTTTCAATCTGTGGGCTAGAAAATGAATCTCATTATTGTTTAATGAATTCAGCACTTCTCCTTACCCTCATTTGCTAATAAACCCCATATTTTGTTGCTCTTATGCTGGGTTATTGAAATTAGGGGTATAATTAGAATGTAATTTAGACTTCTCAGAGTTTATGCTGTTTGCTTTACGTATTTAATTTGACTTTGCATCACTCTGCCTTGTTTGAGTTTCTGATTTTCCAGTATTGGCCCAGTTTTAACAGATTAGGGAAGCTAATATTACATAATTATACTTAAAATTCACCCCAAGATGTTTTTTTCTTAACACATACTTTAGGAAAATTTGTATTTTTATGAAAAGTACATAAATTTTATGTTTTGCTCATTATGTGAGGTTCTTCAAACTGTATCTATAATTCTGGAAGTCTGTTACTTAAAGATGATAGTTAAAATATACCTAAAACCATATCTGCAGATGATAAAGTTTGCTATATAAATGTGAATTCTGTCAAGTCACAAGTTTGAATAGAGTGGCACTCATAATGCTGTACAATGAAAAGCTTTTTATGTTCCTGCCATTGAAAAGTAGATGGCTTTTTCAGAAAGCAATTCTTCTGTTTTTTTTCTACTTTCAAATTGGTAATATGGAAAATAATTTGAAATGATTAGGAGATGAGTCTTGTGATGATAAAAATTTTTACCAATACCTGGTACAATTGGGATCATTTTTTGTTTTATTTATTTACAAGTTTTACATGTTAAAAAATAATCTCTTTACTTTTTACATTCTGACCTGGTGTTTGTAGAGCTTGTTCTTTGACCAGCCTATGGAATACCTTATTCACCCAGTATTATACATTATGTTCAATTGAAAAACCTACATGCTGGTGGGTTCCAGTGTCACCTTCAACTATAGACAGTGGTTTTCAGTCTGCTGCACCCAGAGTCATGGGACAGTAACATAGAGGGCCAAGATGACAGGGAGTTTTGTTCTGAAGTATTACATATGAACCCATATTGTAACCAGTAGAACAGAATGTGATTCTCCTGGGGGTGCCTGAAGCCAGGAGACAGATTCTCAGATTAAGCATGTTCAGCTATGAAAAAGAAATAGTAAGATTTCAAATAGTAATGTTACACAGAAGTACAATAAATCAAGAAGGGATGACCTTATAAATATGCACGCAATTCAGGCTGGTCTGTTTGCATTAATGACTCTGCCTATTATTTTTAAGTATTAACTGGGGTGTATTAGAATTTGAATATAGTCCTGGAATTGATGCTTGACAGCTCGGAGAGTTGGCAGTTTTCCAGTATTAGGAAGAAGCTATAATATATCATTTTCGTAGTAATTGAATCAAGATTATTGAAATAATGAAAGATGTAATTACATCTTTTTATTAAAGCATACTGTGTTTGTTTTTCTTTAAAACAGTAAGTTTCCTGAGCCTGAAGTGTTTTTAGTTGTCATTTCCACTTACCTGTATGTAGGATGTTAAGAAAATTGAAGAAACCAAGCTAAACCCACTTGAGTCTAAATGTATTCAGACTTTTTGGCCCAGGTTTTAATTGCCTTAGCACTTACCAGGCCATTTAACTTTTATTAATTTGATTCTGATTAATACAACATTACCTTTTGATTTTACCATAAATGTATTAACTTTGAAAGCCATGGTATATTTGGATGATAAGGACAATAATATGCTTGTTGTCTCTTGGTACCAACCAAATGCATAATGATGCTTTGTTGATATCTGAGTCTTGAAACCATCAACACCCTCATTCTGTCTCCTGTAGCCCTTTGGTAGATGAACCTCTCACAGATGTTGCTTTGGAAGTCAATGTTAAGTGTTTGAGTAGACACAGACAAACCCCAGGCTGTGTGTGGGGGCTGTCGTGTAGACCACCCAGGCACACCTTGAGAGCTCCAATCCCCCAAGCATTGTGGAACTTGGTCATAGATTACCCCAGAAGCTGCTTCTATCACTACTTCCTGTAGTGTTGGGACTGCTTCTGCAATAACCATATAATTTGTTTAGTGTGGCTAGGACAATATAGAGGACCCCAAGCAACCCAGGAGACATCCACATCTCCCAGGGAAGTCTGAATTCTGACATTTAGAGCTACATTGGTTCAACCTGGTTAACCTGGAATTCTTAACCCCACTTTAATAAGTTATGGCTTAAATCAAGGAATGCAAACTCAAATGCCCACAGGGCTAGGAAGGCAACATAAACTAGTAAAGTGAGCTGGGTGTAAGTAGGAAGCTCTATTAATTTATTGTTACTATTATTATTTTGGTCAGATACCATGCAAGACAAACAAAACCTGCCTTTAGGCTGCGTGGCTTTCAATATCTGGTTTAAATGGATGGAAAATGAGTGGACTGGTTTGGATTCACCATACAGCTTATGGTCAAATAAAAACGTCACACAAGGCCTGGTGCGGTGGTTCACGCCTGTAATCCTAGCACTTTGGGAGACTGAGGCTGGTGGATCACTTGAAGTCAGGAGTTTGAGACCAGCCTGGCCAACATGGTGAAACCCTGTCTCTACTAAAAATACAAAAATTAGCCAGGCATGGTGGTGGGCGCCTGTAATCCCAGCTACTCGGTAGGCTGAGGCAGGAGAATCACTTGAATCTGGGAGGCGGAGGTTGCAGTAAGCTGAGATTATGCCACTGCAGCACTCCAGCTTGGGGGGACAGAGCGAGACCTT